>NC_000005.10:113443140-113746170 GCF_000001405.40 Homo sapiens
TTTTT
The DNA here is from genome assembly GCF_000001405.40 of Homo sapiens. Lineage (NCBI taxonomy): Eukaryota > Metazoa > Chordata > Mammalia > Primates > Hominidae > Homo > Homo sapiens. The sequence goes on from NC_000005.10 coordinate 113,443,146, forward strand.
CCATTTGTTTGTGTCCTCTCATTTCCTTGAGTGGTGGTTTGTAGTTCTCCTTGAAGAGGTCCTTCACATTGCTTGTAAGTTGGATTCCTAGGTATTTTATTCTCTTAGTAGCAATTGTGAATGGGAGTTCACTCATGATTTGGCTCTCTGTTTGTCTGTTACTGGTGTATAGAAATGCTCGCGATTTTTGTACACTGATTTTCTATCCCGAGACACTGCTGAAGTTCTTATCAGCTTAAGGAGATTTTGGTCTGAGATGATGGGGTTTTTTAAACATACAATCATGTCATCTGCAAACAAAGACAATTTGACTTCTTCTTTTCCTATTTGAATACCTTTTTTTCTTTCTCTTGCTTGATTGCCCTGGCCAGAATTTCCAACACTATGTGGAACAGGAGTGGTGAGAGAGGGCATCCTTGTCTTATGCCGGTTTTCAAAGGGAATGCTTCCAGTTTTTGCCCATTCAGTATAATATTGGCTGTGGGTTTGTCATAAATAGCTCTTATTATTTTGAGATACATTCCATTGATACCTAGTTTATTGAGAGCTTTTAGCATGAAGGGGTGTTGAATTTTATCGAAGGCCTTTTCTGTATCTCTTGAGATAATCATGTGGTTTTTGTCATTGGTTGTGTTTATTTGATGGATAACATTTATTGATTTGCATATGTTGAACCAGCCTTGCATCCCAGGTATTGAGATGGAGTCTTGCTTTTTCACCCAGGCTGGAGTGCAGTGGCATGATCTCAGCTCACTGCAACCTCCACCTCCTGGTTCAAGCAATTCTCAAGCTTCAGCCTCCCAAGTAGCTGGGATTACAGGGGCCCACCACCATGCTCGGCTAATTTGTGTGTGTGTGTGTGTGTGTGTGTGTGTGTTTAGTAGAGATGGGGTTTCGCCAAGTTGGCCAGGCTGTTCTCGAACTCCTGACCTCACGTGATCTATCCGCTTTGGCCTCCCAAAGTGCTGGGATTACAGGTGTGCATCACCGTGCCCGGCCTGTACAGCATTTTTAAAATATGAAAAACATTCTTACCTTCAGGATGGTACAAATACAGGTTACAGGTCAATTTTAACTGGCCGGTCATAGTTTGCCCATTCCTGGAAAGAAGGGGAAGAAGGAACCAAAGAGTCTGAGGGCCTGCAAAAAGTTTTAGTTGAGAGATGAAAGTAAGGGATAAGAAGAGACAGATACTGTAGTATCTATAGGGTGAAAGACAGAGATTGGGATTACTACATCTATAGTTGTAGGTTCTAAATGGATCCTCCTTAGATGTCCTTCAAGTTACTGGATTGAGTTTCTTTGAAGGAAAAAAAGTGTTAAATCTGCGGTCTACATGTCCTAGTCTTAGTTCCTTCTAAACTATATATATCCACATGTCTAATCTTGTTTCCTCATCTAAACTATATAGCCTTGAGAACAATTAAGGGAAGGGTAGATCGCCACCTACGTGGTATTTGGCCTTCAGATCAATGCTTAGTCTCATTACTAGGTCTCAAAGGCCATCTATTTCCTTTTCTTATTGTTGCTACTGGTTCCTGGCTCTGTTATTTATGCTAATAGAAAAGGCTTGTATTGTTCATCAATTATTACAGCTCTTTTAGTTTAGTGGTTCATTTAATATTACAGTTCTCTATATTGAAGGCCTTGCATCAGTTTCTGGGCCAATGACCTGATGACGATAACAACAACAACAATAGTAATTTAAAAGTGGGCTTTACCACTGTTCCATATCATTTATTCCCACAATAACCCTATAAAGGAAGTATTCCTCTAGATGAGAAAAGTGAGGCTCAATGCATTTAAGTAACTTATCCAAGGGCAGAGCTAGTAAAGGGCAGAACTGTATATTTAACAGACACAATGCAGTCTCTTAAAAACAAAATCCCTTAATGCTCACAAACCAGTAACCCAGATACAGCCCAGACACTTCAATTCTCTCCATCTTGGAGTATGGTCATGGTCTCATTTTCCATCCTCAGTTTCCAAGAAGGCTGAAGTACCCTTATTTATCTAAGTTCTGAATTGGGTTTAGGGCACCAGATCTAGGGATGTTTGGGAACATCATATACTTAAAATTTCAGAAGTCCTAGGGAGAGCAATCAGGCAAGAGAAATAAGTAAAAGGAATCCAGATAGGAAAAGAAGAAGTCAAACTATCTCTCTTTGCTGACAATATAATTCTATACATAAAGAATCCTAAAGACTCCACCAGAAGGCTCCCAGAACTGATAAACAATTTCAGTAAAGTTTCAGGCTACAAAATCAATGTATTAATAAAAAAATCAGTAGCATTTTTATACAGTAATAACGTTCAAGCTAAGAGTCAAATCAAGAACACAATCCCATTTATAATAGCCACACGAAAAATAAAATAGGAATACATCTAACCAAGAAGATGAAAGATCTCTACAAGGAGCACTATAAAACACTGCTGAAAGAAATCATAGGTGACACAAAGGGAAAAATATTCCATGCTCATGGATTGGAAAAATCGGTATTGTTAAAATGGCCATAAAGCCCAAAGCGATCTACAGATTCAATGCTATTCCTATCAAACACCAAACTATCAATGTTGTTTTTCACAGAATTAGAAAAAAACTATTCTAATACTCATATAGAATGAAAAAATACCCCACATAGCCAAAGCATTCCTAAGCAAAAAGAAGAAAGCTAGAGGCATCACATTACCTGACTTCAAACTATGTTATAAAGCTACAGTAACCAAAACAGCATGGTACTGGTACAAAACCAGACACAAAGACCAATAGAACAAAATACAGTACCCCAAAATAAAGCTGCACATCAACAGTCGTCTAATTTTTGACAAAGTTGACAAAAATAATCAAGAGGAAAGGACTCTATTCAATAAATGGTGCTGGGATAGCTAGCTAGCCATATGCAGAAGAATTCAACTGAACCCCTACCTTTCACCATATATAAAAATTAACTCAAGATGGATTACAGTTTTAAATGTAAAACCTCAAACTATAAGAATAGAATCTTAGAAGAAAACTTAGGCAACACCATTCTGAACAATGACCTTGGGAAATAATTTACAACTAAGTTCTCAATAGCAATTACAACAAAAAAATTGACAAGCATGACATAATTAAACTAAAGAGCTTTTGTGCAGCAAAAGAAACTCTCAACAGAGTAAAGAGACAACCTACAGAATGGAAAATAAATATCTGTAAACTATGCCTCTGATGACAGTCTAATATCCAGGATCTATAAGGAACTGAAATCAACAAGCAAAAAATATATAACCTTGTTAAAAAGTGGGCAAAAGACAGAAACAGACTTTTCTCAAAAGAAGACATATAAGTGGCTGATAAACATGAAAAAACTGCTCAACATCGCTAATCATCAGAGAGATGCAAATCAAAACCACAATGAGATACCATCTCACACCAGTCAGAATGGTTATTATCAAAAAGTCAAAAAATGACAGATGCTGGTGAGGCTGTAGAGAAAAGGGGATGCTAATGCACTGTTAGTTCAGTCACTGTGGAAAGCAGTTTGGAGACTTCCCAAAGAACTAAAAATAGACCCAGCAATCCCATTACATGCCACATGTTCTCACCTATAAGTGGAGCTAAACATAGTGTACTCACGGACATAAAGATGGCAACAATAGACACTGGGGACTACTGGCAGGGAGGGAGAGGGCAAGGGTTGAAAAACTAACTGTTGAGTACTATGTTCACTACCTGAGTAACAATATCAATCATACCCCAAACCTCAGTATCACACAATATACCCAGGTAACAAACCTGCACATGTACCCCCTGAATCTAAAATAAAAGTTAAAATTATTGAAAAAAATAAGATCATTTCTAGTAACTGGTCCAACCCTCCCCTCATCTTCCTTTCCTCATCTCTAATTGACCCTTTCTCCCTGAGGTTTTGCAGGTTATCTGCACACGTGTGGGTTTGGGAGGTAGAGCTGGATGAAAAATAGGCATAAATTTATCTCTCTGGGCACCTTTGTCTAAACTGATCTTAGGAATATCTTCAAATCATGACAAATAAATAAAATGATGATTTTTAAAGTATGTGTATTGCCAGATTAGAAACTCTTTTTCAAATGTAAGTCCTGCATGAGACAAAGAAAACACCTTTCTTTGGGTAGGAAGGGGTGGGTGGTCTCACATTTAGTTGAAGCATATGGCTGCATTTGGAGTATAAATTTTTTCAATTTTAAAATGTTTACTTTTTCCTTTATAAAAAGAACACATGCTTGTTATGTACAATTTGAAAAATATGCTGCAAATAATTTATTGAATTTTTTAAAGATATAAATTTATGGATATTGGAAGAATCTCTCCCTATACAGTGATCCCACTATGCTTTTTCTACAGCTGAAATCAGAACTGGAAGAGGTCTTAGAAATCATCTAGTCCGACCACCTCCTTTGACAGATGAGGAAGAACACATGTTCCGTATGATTACATTTTGATGTTCTCTTATAGTTGGCTCATTCCCTAAGGATTTTTTAAAAAGATTTATCTTTTTTTAAAAACTTGAGATACTATTAAATTGGCTAAAATTCAAATAAACACATCCTCCCTACATTCTCTCTCTCCATCTCTGCTCTGACTCTCAAAGATGCATATGCTGCCTCTTAGACTGTTCAACATATGGGGCCTCTGCATTGATGCCAAAAGTCCAGCAGTGTCTGGAACTGCCACAGGGCGGCCCACCGAGAGAGAGCATTTTGAGACAAAGGTCCAGCTGCCTCATTCTTGGGCAGTCACTGGAAGCAAGACAGCAAAATAGCTGTGGCTTTGCTGACCTTCTCAGGAGACCTATGGGCTTGAATCTGGCCTCTATCTGGGGAGAGGTGTAGAGGGACTGGAAAAAGGGAATAGGAGAAGGGAAAAGAAAATGAGAACTACCTTGGAAACAACAGTATTGAAAGTGGATTAACCATCGCTATAAATAAAAAACACATAACGCACATTAAATCTCACAATAGGATTTTTCTGTCATGTGCCTACTTTTAGATTCCAAAAGTTTTTAAGTATGACAAGATTCAGAGCTCTTTTTCAAAAGATGGAGGATCCACAGGATGGGCAGGCACCATGAGTGGGGTCAATCAGTCTTTGCCTCTCCATTCTTCTCCTTTCTGGTGCATAACCTTTGAAGGAAGAACATATGTGGAAGAGCTATGAGTCTGGTTTAGCATACATAAATTCTGAAAATATCGTGCTTCCAGACACAACTGGCTTCACATCAGAAAAACCTTTCCAGGGTAAACACTTTGTTTAAATATTAAACTTAAGTAAAGCCAGACGCAAGAATACAGTCTAAATAGCAAAGAAAGGCCATAATGACCTTAAGTGGAAAAGAATTAATAAAAGATTCCCCAAGCTGACAAGCCTTTCTGGCACAGAATGACAGCTGCAGATACCAATGATCCCTGAAGTTTTTCATTTTTCAGATTTGATGCACTGCCTTCGGTTGTGACAAATACACACTCCAGTTTTTTTAAACCTTAGCCTTTGCCTTGATCGTAGGAATAAGTACTCTGTTTTTGTACCTTAAGATTTTCTTCTCTAATATTTTTTCCCGGAATTACAAAATCATCATCTTAAAACACCATTACTATGAAGTCCTTAGATTTCAATGCTAATGGGGAAGAAGAAGGTGCCTAAAAACAAGGAGGGAAAATCATTCAAGACATCTCCAGGACAGCTCCACAAATAGAGGTATAACATTTGATTCTGACCTTTTTAATCTTGTATTTTATTTATTCCTCTCAGTAAAGAAGGTTTGAAATGTGGATTAAATTTTAATCCATTTTGTGTACTATATATTGCATGAATCAGGTAAAAGTTAACATTGTTTGTTGGATGCTCCAATTTACTATTAACCTTCAGTCAGTCATCAGTGTCTGCCCAGTCTCTACTGGTCATCAGGAAAATCCTACAGAGGGCCAGCTGGCCTCATTACTGGGAATAAAATAGCACAAATGGCTCACGAACTAATCAATTATGCAAATATCCTTGGGTCAGAGAAGATCCTTACTGGAAGCCAATTTGATATTCTTCAGCACCAGGGATTTAAGTGAAAGAAAAACAACTAATTCAGAAAGCTGGAGAACAGAACCTATGAGGAAAGCTAAAATAAACAAATTAGCCTCGGAAAGATAAGGTTGAAGAATGTTCTGAAAAAGGTCTTCCTGTATATATGAAAAGCAGAAAAGGTGGTTGGGGAAAGGAAGAAAGAAAAAGAATAAAATGAGACCAATATGGTGATGCAAGGAATTTAACACTATAACTGGGAGCTGAGAAAGGGTGCATTCATTCACTCATCTGACATTACCCCAAGAGTGTACTCTCAGCCAGACACTAGCTGTGTGCTGCCTCAGCGGAGGCCAGGTACCCACCTTCCTGTGATGATTTCTGTGAGGACTTATCTAAACACAAAGGGATTGAGAGTCAGCTTATTTAAAATTATTTACTTCTTTTTTGAGGGAAGTAGGGCAAGGTAGAGTGGAACAGGAAAAGAGCAGTCATGGAGGAGGCTCAGAGGTAAAACTGCCCATGTGTTATAGCTGTTACATCCCAGGACAGTCTACATGTGGGTTTGGGAAGTGGAGGAGGACAAAAAATAGGCATGAATTTATCTCTTCGGGCACATTTGTCTAAACTGATCTTAGAAGTTTCTTCAAATCACAACAAATAAATGACGATTTTTAAAGATGTGTATTGCCAGATCAGAAACTCTTTTTCAAATTTATAGTCCTATGTAGGTGAAGTACACGGCTGCATTTGGAGTATGATTTTTTCCATTTTAAAATGTTTACTTTTTCCTTTATAAAGAGAACACATGAAATTATATACAGTTTGCACAATTGCACAATGTATAATTTGCAGTGTATTTTACACTGCAAATAATTTATTGAATTTTAAAGATAAAGATAAGAGTTTACGGACATTGGAAGGGTCTCTCCTTATGTCCACACTCCCCTAAGTCTCTCAGAATGAAATTCTTTCATTTGACTCTCTCCTGGAGTTAGGGTGGAAGTTCACAGTTAAAATAAGAAACTGAGTTGGAGAGAAATAACATTAAATGTTACCTTATTAGCACCTTACCTTGAATTAGTTTATTAATTTAAGCCTAGAGAATGGACTTGAGGAACCTGAGAAGCCTCAGAAAGACTCAGGCTGCAGAAGAATCTCTGGGAGGACAAAAGTGAACTCCATTAGCTGCTGTGGAGTTAGCTATGGGCCTCGCCTTGGTGGGGACCCGGGAGCTTGAGGTAGTTCTTTGGCAAATATAGCTGCCTTTGACTGATGTGATGCCCCCCCAAGCCTGGCAGCATCATGAACAGAAATGTGTGCGAACCCCAGGAGATAAAACATTTTGGCCAGGACCATTTGCTTAACATGACCCTTACAGGACCCAGCATGCTTTTGAAGCTATGTAACAGATGTTCTCACAGCATATGCTACATGTAGAAATGCTTGTGAGGTATTTCAGAATTTCCACTTCCCTCTTTAGAGCTGATTTTGGATTTCTTTTCATAAGCATTTTAAAACATGTTCCACTCAAACTGCCTCTTCCATGGTACACATGTACCTACGTGCTGAGAAAGTGTCACTCTCCAGAGGGAACAGTTCTGTTAATGCACCATCAGCATCTTCAGTAAGGTCTCCAGAAGGCAACTTCTTGAAATGCTATTACAAAGCATTTTTACCTTTCTATTCTGGAAGAGGACTCTTAGCCTTCATTTTATTATAAAAATGTATTAGCAGAAGGGCCTTGTAGGTTGTAATTCATCCTTTCTGAAGACAGCCCCTACCCTCCTTTTTTTTCACCCCCATTCTCTCTCTGACCCACATCCTTTCTGCTTCTTTTATTCTAATGCATCTTTCCTTTTCCACAATTGCATTTTTTTTTCTTTTCTACACTGCCCTAGGCTGTAACTCAGTTTGGTCTCTGTAAGCAGAATTCAGGAAGTAAAATAAGAACCCATAGCTGGTGGCATACCGCCAACCACACCTATAAGATGCTTTATCTCAGTACACCCTTTCACTACTTCTTCACACTCCTGAGATGAAGCCCACTACACTAGAAAGCTTTCCCTTGCTCTGTACTACAACAAAAGGCCCTCAGATAAAGCAAGGGATCTTTTAGGAAGAGATGAAGAAAGAATAACGATTTAGCAACTAGCATTTTAAATTAAATCTACAGTTTATCCAGACCATTTGTTTTTATTATTGTACTGGTCACCATGACAACCCTGAGAGGAAAGCATGTTTTGTATCATCTCCATTTCATGGATTAAGAAAACTGAGGCTGGGTGCGGTGACTCATGCCTGTAATCCCAGCACTTTGGGAGGCCGAGGCGGGCGGATCACCTGAGTTCGGGAGTTCAAGACCAGCCTGACCAACATGGAGAGACCTCGTCTCTACTAAAAATACAAAATTAGCCAGGCATGGTGGCGCATGCCTGTAATCCCAGATACTCAGGAGGCTGAGGCAGGAGAATCACTTGAACCTGGGAGGTGGAGGTTGCACCTTTGCACTCCAGCCTGGGCAACAAGAGTGAAACTCTGTCTCAAAAAAAGAAGGAAGGAAGGAGGGAAGGAAGGAAAAACTGAGGCTTGGAATAATCACATCACTTGCCCAAGCCACACACCAAGTTTTTCAACTATCCACTGCTGTGTAACAAACCAATCTAAAATTTGGTGGCTTAAAAAATCAGTGTGTTTAACTACTCATGATTCTGTGGGTTGGCTGGGTTAGCTGAGCAGTCCTTTTGCTCTACATCATGTCCAACTGGGAGCCTGCCTAAGGCTGGAATGATCAAGATGGCTTCACCCCCATGTTTGGCTGTAGGCACTGGCTGTTGGCCAGGGCACTTCCGTTCTCCTCCACATGTCCCGTCAATCCTCCAAGAGCTCTTTCCTCATGATTTGTCCAGCAGGATAGCCTAGACTTAATATGACTGGGGCTTCCAAGAGGGTGCAAATGGAAACTGCCAGGACACTGAAGCCTCAGGCCTGGAAGTCACACACCATCACTTCCACTGCCTTCTATTGGTCAAGGTAGGGTCAACCAGATTCCAGGGGGAGGAAATAGATCTACTTTCTAGACAAGGAAGCCACATGCATATATAGGAATGGGAAGAATTGTGGGCAGCTATATGCTGTGGTCTCAGTGTTTGTGTCCCCCCCAAATTCATATGTTAAAACTTAATCACCAATGTGATGGTATTAGAAGGTGAGGCCTTTGGGAGGTGATGAGGTCATGAGGGTAGAGCTCTCACAAATGGGATTAGTGCCCTTATAAAGGAGGCCCCAGAGAGCTGCCTTGCCCTTCTACCATATGAAGAGAGTGAAAGACAGCAAGCCATCTATGAACCAGGAAGCAGGCCCTTACCAGAGACTGAATCTGTCCACATCTTGATCATGGGCTTCTTGGCAACCAGAACTGTGACACATTTCTGTCTTTTATAAGCTACCTGATTTATGGTATTTTGTTACAGCAGCCTAAACAGACTAAGACACTATATTTGCAGACAATCTATTAATGCCACACCAGAAGGGCATAGTTGGAACTCAGAAAGATCAGTGATAAGCCACTATTCCAGTAATTCTTTAATGTTCAAGTCTAAGATTATGATTTCATTGCAGGTGCATGCACAGGTGCAGGATGTTAGTTCCCCATTTGGTCTCAGGTGATGTTGGCACCACTGCCAGTTTGCCTTTATGTGTCCTTTATTTGAAAGGAAGAGATTAACTTAGGCTTGTATATAATTATTGTTAATTTGGCTTAATAATCAGCCTTAATAATTAGCCTAAAGCAAATGTTCTCAATAAGAACTTTAAGAGCAGGGTATGAGGTGACAAAGTATCAACAACTGGCTGAATAATGGGTACTTGCTGATTAATGTTAATGGCAAAGAACCACTTGTCAGCAGAAATCATGGGAAGGAGGTTGTTTATGTGACTGTCTCAGCAGTCTTATTGAGTTTTCCAGCGTGAACGCATGTTCGGTGGTCACCCAATTAAACCCTGTCTTTAGACAGATGCATTGTTACATCTGAGATTCTTTTAGGTCTGAAACTCCTCCAATGCCTAACTCATCTAACACGTCCACTTCTCTGGGCCCCAGCTTGTACACACACACAACACGTACACACACACACGGGCACACATACAGAGAGTCCTACCACCAAGAAATGTTGTAGAACAGCTTTTTTAAACAAGTGAAAATTAAGTTCAAAACTTTGTTTTCCAGATTCTCACAAATCTCTTGAAGTGACCAGAGCCCTCCTGGAGTGTCACAGCCTAGGCTGCTGTCACTGGGGCTTCACAGTCACCATGACACCCATGGCTTCAACTCCTCCTCCACCTCCCTCAGCAAAGGCAGGCGCCGTGATTCCCTTTCTGATTTTGAACCACCATGAAAGGTATTTCACTGCTCTGTGAAGGCATGCCTGCTTTCTAAGAGACTTTACAGCTGACTCCCAGCTGTTTATGTGTCTCCCCATTAAGCTGAATGGGAAGAAGAAAGTCACAGAGGAAAAGATCTCTGGGGTAAGGGTGCAGGGACTAGGTTCAGGGAGAGGACACTCTAAATCCTGTTTGGTATTTAGTCACTGAGGCTTAAGTTTAGTTTGGTTGTTTAAAAAATGTACTCATAGTAACTTAAAAATTAAAGTAATAGCCAGGTGTGGTGGCTCACGCCTGTAATCCCTGCACTTTGGGAGGCTGAGGCGTGTGGATCACCTGAGGTTGGGAGTTCGAGACCACCCTGACCAACATGGAGAAACCCCATCTCTACTAAAAATACAAAATTAGCCGGGTGTGATGGCACATGATTGTAATCCCAGCTGTTCGGCAGGCTGAGGCAGGAGAATTGCTTGAACCCAGGAGGCGGAGTTTGCGGTGGACGGAATATCGCGCTATTGCACTCCAGCCTGGGCAACAAGAGCGAAACTCTGTCTCAAAAAAAAAAATTAAAGTAATAAATGTACATTTAAAAATATTTGAAAAAATCCTAAGATCATAGCTCGATGCAGCCTTGATCTCCTGGGCTTAAGTGATCCTCCCGTCTCAGCCTCCTTAGTAGCTGGGACCACAGGCATTTGCCACCACATCTGGCTAATTTTTATATTTTTTGTAGAGACAGGGTCTTACTTTGTTGCCCAGGCTCGTCTACAACTCTTGGGCTCAAGTGATCCTCCCGCCTTGGCCTCCCAAAATGCTGGAATTACAGGCTTGAGCCATGGTGCCTGGCCTGTGTTTTTGTTTTCATATAATTTAGTAAGTTTGTAGCAGAATTGAGAGCCCAAGGCAGATGGATGATTGCCTTGAAAAGGTGTCACTTTTCTAGTTAAATGTCAGTCATAATAAAACCCTAAGGGAGGCTAATTGGGCCATTAATTTTTAATATCTTAACAATGTTAACAGACTTCAAAGGGAGAATCTACAACAAAGATTCTAAGAAGAGTGTATAAATTCAAAAGATGTTCCCACATTATCAGCATTAACTGAAAGTACTTAATATTTGCTCTATAAGGACAGACTTAAAGAAGTCCATCAACTATAAAATTTATTAGTAGAAAAATCATATTATATATGGAGGGGAAAATCAATGAATACACATATACATCTTGGGAGTTTTAAAAATATTTTGCCTATTTTGTTAAACCTAATATAGTACTAGAAAATGTTCATCTGGGAGAGGAAATACTACATGCATGCACACACAGTCATAAACTGAATAATATTAAATAAATAGTAACAGCCTGAAATGAATAATTGCAGCTGAGGAGTCATGCACATGCACACTCAGAGATGTCACTTTCATTCTTCACTATCTGACCCCAGGCTCCAGGGTAAAATCCAAGCTCTCCCCCAGGACACACCAAGCATTTTATGTGCACTCCCTTTCCACCTGTTTGCTTATCCTCCCACCGCACCAAAGATCCAGTCCAACCTGACTTCTTGCAGTTTTCAAAAGTACTGAGATCCCATTTGGCTCAGCTGATGCCCCATTCCTGGTCATCCTCAACTTGGCAGACCCTTCTTCATGCCCATCACTCGGCTCAGCTGATGCCCCATTCCTGGCCGGCTCCAGGTCCCTTCTTGGCCAGCCAAGGCTGAAAGGCCACCTGCCTGCTAGCCCATATTTTCTCATCTTCATGTCTGTCCCTTACTAGAGTAGGGCTCCCTGAAGACAAGAGTGGCATCTTTTATGCTGCACTCCCCCCCACCATCACCACCACCACCCCACCTGCACTTGGCACACGGCAGGAATTCAATAAATATTTATTCAGTGAATAAGGTCACGTCTCAGGGGTCTGTAACAACTAACAGCTTATCTGATAGGCATTTGCAAGAGATGGACGCCATGTCAACTCCTCACAGCAGCCCTCTGAGATGGGACATACAAGTCTAAAGCCCTTTTCCAAATCTCTTGGGGATATATATGTTTAGGATTTCAGAAATTTGTGTATTTTAGAAAGGCAATATGTTGTATTAAACAGTATACAATAGCCCCAGAGGAATTTGGGGCCATACCAATAATCAAACATGTATAATGAACCAAACATAATCAGCCCCAAATATGAGCAATCATACTAAATGGAATAAAGACTATAAATAGACTCTGGTCAGTTCAAGTTTTATTACCTACTGAGTTTGCAGAAAACTTGTGAAAAAGCCGTCCATTTTACAGCTTTCTGTATTCAGAATTGCAGATAAAGAAGAACGGACCTGCACAATTATCCCTATATATTTTGGAAATAAAGAGAGGTGCCACAGAAAGGGTAAATAAACTGACCAAGATCATACAGCTAATAAACTAGAATTTAATGCCTTACTCCAGAACTCTACTCTTTTAAAAAGGTTAAATTATGTAATATTTGATATACACAATATATGTGACACATATGTAGGTTAATGCATAGCAATTAAAATAATAAAATAAAACCGTACCTGCCACCTTACTTAGAGATATGAGCCCCTGATCTTAACTCCCAGGCACACCACCTCAGGACAGGCTAAGCCTAACCTATTTATGGCTATGTTACATAGGCTGAATTTTAATGGCTTAGGAATGCCACCTTCTTAGGTGGGACCCAGGAGATCACACAGCTATGACACCAGTCAGACTCTACCAGGGGAAATTAAATCCTTTTATATGGGTCGAGTATCTTTTATCTAAAATGCTTGAGATCAGAAGTGTTTCAGACTTTGAACTTTTTCAGATTTTTGAACATTTTACATTACATATACCAGTTGAGCATTCCAAATCTGAAAATCCAAAATCCAAAATGCTCTGATGAGCACTACCCTTTTTTTTTGAGACAGAGCCTCGCTCTGTTGCCCAGGCTGGAGTGCAGTGGTGTGATCTTGGCTCACTGCAAGCTCTGCCTCCCAGGTTCACGCCATTCTCCTGCCTCAGCCTCTCCAATAGCTGGGACTACAGTCACCCGCCACCATGCCCAGCTAATTTTTTTTTTTTTTTTTTTTTTTTTTTTTAGTAGAGACGAGGCTTCACCATGTTAGCCAGGATGGTCTCGATCTCCTGACCTCGTGATCCACCTGCCTCGGCCTCCCAAAATGCTGGTATTACAGGCGTGAGCCACTGCGCCCGGCCAATGAGCACTACTTTTTTTTTTTTAATTATACTTTTAAGTTCTAGGGTACATGTGCACAACGTGCACTACTTTTGAGTGTCATGTCAGTGCTCAAAAAGTTTTAGATTTTGGAGGATTTCAGATTTTCAGATTTGGGGTGCCTAACCTCTATCTCAAGGCATCTATGAAGCAGGGAGGGGATGAAATCATAATGAGAGGTGACAGCGTGCTGGCAGTCCTCACAGCCCTGGCTCGCTCTCACCGCCTCCTCTGCCTGGGCTCCCACTTTGGTGGCACTTGAGGAGCCCTTCAGCCCACCGCTGCACTGTGGGAGCCCCTTTCTGGGCTGGCCAAGGCCAGAGCCCACTCCCTCAGCTTGCAGGGAGGTGTGGAGGGAGAGGCGGGAGCGGGAACCGGGGCTGCCTGCAGCGCTTGCGGGCCAGCTGGAGTTCCAGGTGGGCCTGGGCTTGGCGGGCCCCACACTCGGAGCAGCTGGCTGGGCCTGCAGGCCCCAGGCAATGAGGGACTTAGCACCCGGGCCAGCGGCTGCGGAGGGTGTACTGGGTCCCCCAGCAGTGCCAGCCCACCGTTGCTGCTCTGGATTTCTCGCCGGGCCTTAGCTGCCTTCCCGCGGAGCAGGCCTCGGGACTGCAGCCTGCCATGCCTGAGCCTACCCCCGCCTCCGTGGGCTCCTGTGCAGCCCGAGCCTCCCTGATGAGCACAGCCCCCTGCTCCACGGCACCCAGTCCCATCGATCACCCAAGCGCTGAGGAGTGCGAGCGCATGGCGTGGGACTGGCAGGCAGCTCCACCTGCAGCCCAGGTGCAGGATCCACTGGGTGAAGCCAGCTGGGCTCTTGAGTCTGGTGGGGCCTTGGAGAACCTTTATGTCTAGCTCAGGGATTGTAAATACACCAATCGGCACTCTGTATCTAGCTCAAGGTTTGTAAACACACCAATCAGCACCCTGTGTCTAGCTCAGGGGTTGTGAGTGCACCAATGGACACTGTATCTAGCTACTCTGGTGGGGCCTTGGAGAACCTTTATGTCTAGCTCAGGGATTGTAAATACACCAATCGGCACTCTGTATCTAGCTCAAGGTTTGTAAACACACCAATCAGCACCCTGTGTCTAGCTCAGGGTTTGTGAATGCACCAATCGACACTCTGTATCTAGCTACTCTGGTGGGGCCTTGAAGAACCTTTGTGTCCACACTCTGTATCTAGCTAATCTAGTGGGGACTTGGAGAACCTTTGTGTCTAGCTCAGGGATTGTAAACGCACCAATCAGCACCCTGTCAAAACAGACCACTCGGCTCTACCAATCAGCGGGATGTGGGTGGGGCCAGATAAGAGAATAAAAGCAGGCTGCCCGAGCTAGCAGTGGCAACCCACTACGGTCCCCTTCCACACTGTGGAAGCTTTGTTCTTTTGCTCTTTGCAATAAATCTTGCTACTGCTCACTCTTTGGGTCCACACTGCCTTTATGAGCTGTAACACTCACTGCGAAGGTCTGCAGCTTCACTCCTGAAGCCAGCGAGACCATGAGCCCACCGGGAGGAAGGAACAAACTCCAGACGTGCCGCCTTAAGAGCTGTAACACTCATGGCGAAGGTCTGCAGCTTCACTCCTGAGCCAGCGGGACCACGAACCCACCAGAAGGAAGAAACTCCGAACACATCCGAACATCAGAAGGAACAAACTCCAGACGCGCCACCTTAAGAGCTGTAACACTCACCGCGAGGGTCCATGGCTTCATTCTTGAAGTCAGTGAGACCAAGAACCCACCAATTCCAGACACAATAATGCTTCCCAGATGTAAAAATGATGCAAATGTGATATAAATTAACAAGGGCTCTTTTAAAAGCACAATGGATAAAAATGTAATAGTGTGTAAGACCAAAACATACTGATGTGTGCTGCTTGTATAGGCTAGCATAACAAGAGCACTGGGCTACTGACCTGAGCTGCTGAGACAATTAGGAGTTGGGAAGAAAGTGTGAGGGGTTACACACAGAAAGAGTGCTTAAGGCCCTGTATATGGCATGGTTATCTGCAGATAAGGACAAAACCCAAAGTGGTCTGCCTTGTTTAATAAGATCTCCCTTTTAGGGGCCTCCAATTGACCAGAGGAATCTTCAACTCACCTAGAGCAAAGGTTCAGAAGATGAAAGGGCTTTCACCTCAGCAAAGTGGAACTGATATTGTGGGAGAGTTATTGAGTAATAGACCCTCATCCTCACATCAAACATCCCTAACCTTGCCAGACACCAGCCTCTCCCAGACAGCTCACTGAAGAAGAGGTCCAACCAAGACCATGGCTGGAACCTGGATGCTCTGAACAGGTGATGGCAACAATGAGGTCTCTGGGGAGGAGTAAGGATATGTGTGTGTGTGTGTGTGTGTGTGTGTGTGTGTGTGTGTGTGTGTGAAGTGGGTGGGGGGGGGAGAGAGAGAATATGAATGAAGACTCTGGAAAAATATACCTTTTGAAAAAGCCACAGGCCAGGTGCGGTGGCTCACACCTGTAATCCCAGCACTTTGGGAGGGAGGCCGAGGCGGGTGGATCACGAGGTCAGGAGATCGAGACCATCTTGGCTAACATGATGAAATGCTGTCTCTCCTAAAAATACAAAAAAATTGGCCGGGCGTGGTTGTGGGTGCCTGTAGTCCCAGCTACTCGAGAGGCTGAGACAGGACAATGGCATGAACCCAGGAGGTAGAGCTTGCAGTGAGCCGAGATCCCACCACTGCACTCCAGCTTGGGCAACAGAGTGAGACTCCATCTCAAAAAAAAGAAAAAGCCAGAATTCTGTGTTCACAGAATCTTATTTTGCCTCTGAACACTGTTATTCCCTGACTGGTGGTGGAGTGGCAATCCTGATGGAAGGACCTACAGGACCAGAAGGAGCCATATTCATGTGCCACCTCAGAAACCTCTGTCGCTGCTCGCCCATTCTACCTTTAGCTCTCCAATGTGATCACTGACTTAAAAGTCAAAGGGCAGACAAATGCTTCAAATAAAACTAGATAACAGATATCCCTTGCAAAAAGGAGTCCTAGAATCGCTATGGAAAACACACACACACACACACACACACACACACACAGGCATGCATACATATGTGCACACCTTAGTTGTATTCTGTGGATATTTAGATAGATATTTAATAGATACTTAAAGAAAGGACAAGTAAACATCCTAGGGCAAGGAATCAAGCTGGAAACTTGCTTCATCCACATGACATTCAGTGAAAGCTGAGAAAAAGGGAAAATAAACTGAAGCAACATGAAGTAAAGAGGTTGCCTAAGAAGAGTCCCTTGTATGAAAACAGATGTTTATACCTAAACATATAAAGTGTTAATACCTAAACTATAAAAAACCCAAAACCTCCCAAGTGTTTGCAGCTGAAGTCATTTCCAGCTTTTCATGACTGTCATGGGTAGCTTTGGGGAATATCATACATGAAGGGAATCCTCTTTCCATGGGAAATTTTGACAATTTGTGGACACAAGAAAAAGGGTGAAGCCTGAGGCATGTGACACATCATCTGAGGCACCTTTTCGGTGGGGATTTCTCTCAGGAAGAGGTCCAGCAGCTCTCTGTTTGGATGTGACTTTGCTCTTTTATTCAACTAATATTTGGATTAATACATCTTCTTCTGTGAGTTTTCACATCAGTATTCCCTCCTCTTTACCTTGTCTTTTCCCCCAAACACACACCACACACATTGTGAGTCAGTAGCTCACCCCCAGTGGGTCAGAGAACTAACTTCCAGCAATCATTTCTCCCCATTACAAGCTGTGGGGAACTGTGTGGGCCTGCAGATTGCTCAGGGCTCCCCTAACAGCCCCACGCTGTACGCTGTGTGCCTTGTGCTCACAGAGCATCAAAAGATGCTCACAGAGTTCAAAAGAGAGCATCATATTGAAGACCTGGCTCCTTATAAATGCAGTCTGTCATGTTTGAGCAGAGATTCTGAGACAGTTGTAGCTTGTTGCCTTATATTTGGCTGCTGCTAAAGTGTGGCCCATGGACCTGCAGCATCTGCAACACCTGACCGTTTGTCAGAAACGTAGAACCTCAAGCCCACAACAGAACTGCAGAATCTAAATTTGCAATTTAACAATGTCCCCAAATGATTTTAGCTGCACATCAAAATTTGAGAAGTACTGGTTTATGGCACTTTATCGCATTTATTTTATTTAAGAAATAGTTGCATTAATTACTATAAGCCAAGCACTCTTAAAAACACATTTTTCGACTCAGGAGGCTGAAGCAGGAAGATGGCTTGAGGCCAGGAGTTTGAGACCAGCCTGGGCAAAATAGTGAGATCCCATCTCTAAAACAGTTTTTAAAAAATCAGTCAGGCATGGTGGTGCACACCTGCAGTCTCAGCTACGCAAGAGGCTGACACAGGAGGACTGCTTGAGCTCAAGAGTTCAAGGCTGCAATGAGCCATGATCATGTCACTGTACTCAAGCCTAGGCAACAGACCAAGACCCTGACTTAAAAAAACAAACAATAAAAACCACGTTTTTCAAATAACTCATTTACTCCTAAGAACAGCCCCCTTTATAATTGTATGGTCAATAGATACTATTAAGCTTCCATTTTACAGATGAGGAAACCAAGGCATGAAAGTGTGAAGTTTTTGCCCAAAGTTACATGGCCAGTATGGAGTGGAGAGGAGATTAGAACTCCAGAATCCATTGTATATGCCACAACTCTATGCTGCCTACCCCTTGGACACATACAAGAAATAATTAGAAGGTCCAGGTATGGTGGCTCATGCCTGTAATCCCAGGGCTTTGGGGAGGCCGAGTTGGGAGGACTGCTTGAGCCCAGGAGTCTGAGACTACAGTGAGTTATGATCATGCCACTGCACTCCAGCCTGAGTGACAGAGTGGGACCATGTTTCTTAAAAAAACTGTTTTAATTTTTTAAAAAAGAAATAATTAGAATGGATTTTAAGGATGAACAACTTGCACCAGTAAAAAAAAAAAAAAAAAAAAAAAATTCTGACAGGTGTTTACAACAATAATTGTGGAAGCTACAGATTATAGTAGAGATGTTCTACTCCAAAGGGACTATTCACTGAGGGAGGCATGTAAGAAGTGAAAGGTTTTCCCATCCCATGCCATCGAGCACCCAGGAAAAGCAGGAGTGACAATTTGCTAAATAGAGGACACACTAGGTTAAAAATTATTACATATGAATATGTCTTTAGGACACTGTGAATGTAAGTCTGACTGGTAAAGTAAAAGGGTTTAACCTGCATGCCTGAGAACCTTAGCCTGTTAATGCCCACAAAAAAAATTAGAAACTGAGGAGAAAAGAAAGATTTTAAAAATGGTATTTTCTTGCTTTACTTTTCAAAGTCAGGTCAAAATACTTTAAAACTAGTTGCAGACCACTGGTAGAGCTAGGCCTCTGGCCTTCTGGAACCATCCATGTGGGGATGTGACTCTGGCTAACCCAGCCATTCACCCACTTTCTACTTTTGTTTCTGGGCCTTGCCTCCTTTTAAAACACCTCATGCACAACTCTGATCTCCAATTTGTCCACAGACTTGGATTTTCCGGGCTGCTTGTTTCATAGTTCCCAGGGCAGCATTCAACAGAAACACTGGGAAATAGCACCTCAGGCTGCCATATTTTCCTGAAGCCTCCAGAAAGTGGATTTCATTCCAGTCGAAACAACACTTTTAACACATTTAGAAATGTCATTAACAGTATTGTATAGCTATCAGCCTAGAATCTGTGAATTTACTCAATCTTGAGTCCAGATGGCATGCACAAAGGACAGAGGGCAGTTATATCAGATTCCGACAATGTGAGAAAAACCCCAACAGCAATTTGTTCTCCAGTAACTCCAGAAAAAGCCTAGAAACCCCTCAAAAAATAACTTTTTATGTTCATGAAAATACACTGCTTCTGCAAATTTAAAGAAATGTACTAGTAAGCCAATTATGCAAAAAAGGCAACATTTTGGGTTAATTCTAAGAAGCAAAAGGACTTCATTGATTCTTTCCACAAATATTTACTGAATAGTAACAATGTGCCAGGTTACTGTGCTAGGCCTGGGGATTCAATGGTGAATAAAGAGGGACACAGTCTCTGCTCTCATGGAGCTCAAGGTTGGGTGGGCCAAAAAGATATTAACCAACAATTCCCACGAATGAACATATCATTACAAATGGAGATAAGTAACACAAGAAATACTTAGAAGATAATATTAAAAGAAAGAAGATAATAATAAAAGAAAGATGAGAGGGCCAGGGAAGGCTGAAAAAGTGTCCCCTGAGCTGAGTTTACAGTTTGAGAACAGCTGGATGTATCCAGTGCACAGGAGCTAGATAGGGAGTGAGAGCAGAACACACTGGAGAAACTGAAATTCAGAAAAGAAGAGAGTGGTTGATGTACAGAGAGCCTAGAGGAGAGAGGGCAAGATGAGGTAGGAGAGGAAGCCTTTTTGGCCCTGCATGGTTAAGAATTATGACTCACTTGAAGGGTTGTAAGCAGGGGCAAGGTGAGCAGATTAGCACTTCAAAAAGATCTCTCTAGGTACAGTGTGGAGGACTGCATTGGAGGGAGGCCAAAGGAGAGATGGGAAGGCCAGTTAGGAATATTTGAAGTGCTCCAAGTGAGACAATTAGGGTAATCATAAGGGAGATGGAAAGAAGTAGACAGATTTGAGAGAGATTTAAAAGGTAAAATAATAGGACTTGGTGATGAAATCAACATGGGAGTTCATGGAAAAGGAGAGCTCAAGGATCTTTCCAAGTTTGTTCTGGCTTCCCGTAAGTGGGTGTACATGGTCACATTCACTGAGAGAGCAAGCCTGGAAGATTAGTTTTGTGGGAAGAATCCTGAATCCATTGTTGGACTTGTGGAGTTTAAAATGCCTTACAAATACCTGGCAGGAGATGATTTATAGGCAGTTGGGTCAATTAGTTATGCAAGTCTGAGATGCAGAAAAGAGGACCGAGCTGGACATTTACTAAGGGAGTCACTGTCACATACAAAGAGAACTGAAGCTGAAACGTAAATAAGAGACGAAACGTAAATACCTAGAGAGAATGTCTGAGGTTAAAAGAGAAGTGAGCAAAAATTGATGCCTTAAAATATTCTAACACTCAATAGCTAGGTAGAGGAGGATAAGCCTGCAAAGGAGATAGAAAGGAATGAGCCAAAGAGGTGGGAGAACAGCAAGAAGACTGTGGGGTCTTGGCAGCCAGGAAAAGGGGATGCGTCCAGAGGCAGGCAATGGGCAACACAGTCAATGGCTGAAAGGTGATACAGGCAAGGGGAAAACACCCTTTTTATTTACTGACAAGGTCACTAGTGACCTTAGCATTGATTCAATGAAGTGACAATAGGGCACCATGAAGTGACAAATGCCAGAACTCAGTGGGTTGAGGAGTTTATGAGAAGCAAGAAAATGGAGACAGTAAATATAGGCAATCAAACAGAATCAAGCAGGAAACTCAATTAGACTAAAAGCCAAAGTCCTCACAATAATCTGCAAGGCCATAAAATCTGCCCCCTCACTACTTCTCTTCTACTACTCTTCTTTTCTCACTCCAGCCACACTGGCCTGCTTATTCTTTGAATGCACCAGCTTCCACCTCATGGCTTTTGCCTTTGCTGTTCCTTTAATCAGGAACTTTCTTCCTTCACAGAAATAAATGGCTGCTCCCTAGCCCTCAGGTCTTTGCCCCCAAAATTATTCTCTCATCAAGGTCTCTCCTAACTACTTCATTTAATATTAAAATTAGCCTCTCACCCCTGAACTCCCTTCACTATTCCCTTCCCTGCCTTTATTTGGTATTTCTTACTCTCTAACATATCATGCTTTGTTTTTGTTTATTTATCTCACCTCCTGTCCCATGTAAGTTTCTTAAGGTTGGCTATTTTGTTCACTGCTATATTCTCAATGCTTAGAAGAGTCACTAGTACATAGTATGCACTCAATAAATGTATGTTGAATAAAATATTTGAATAAATTAAATAACTTTAATATATACTATCAAATAGCAACAAGAAAAAAAAAAGGCTAAAAAAGCTCCACTCATGGCAGCAATAAAATGTAGGGGGAAAATTAGAGAAACAAAATAAAATGAAAAATAAAGCATAAGTTGATTGTATTAGGAAAACTTCACTGACTGACATAAAAAAGACTTGAATAAATGTAGAGACATATAATCCCTCTTAACAAAAAATTGGCTTGCAGAGATATCAATTCTCTTTACATCAATTTAGAAACGTATCCTATTTCCAATTAAAATTCAATGGAATTTTAAAGTCCTTTTGGGAGGAAAAATATGCCTGAAAATAGCCAAGATTTTTTTTTTTGTGGGGCGGAGGGAGACAATGAGGAAGGGAGGCCACATAAAATATTAAACCATGTTATAAAGCAACAGTATTGAGCTAAGAACAGGTAGATCAAGAAAAAAAAAAAAGATCCATAATGAGATGCAAATATATGTTTTTCAAAGTTGTACACACATTAAATTATGTATTTTCAAGTCAGTAGAGATTCATCACATGGAAGTAGGAAAAATGGTTAACCATTTGGGGGAAAATTATGTTTTCTATCATGTGCTAAAAATTCATATACACAAAAATTCCTGAGGCATTAGATATTTAACTCCAAAATAAACCCATAAAATACTTATAAGAAAATAATGTCAATATTTATCTACTGAGCTCAGTAGAGAGAGTTTTAACATACGCAAAAGGAAAAAGTGAAGAAAAAGATTGACAGTGATAGATTTGGCTGCATAACCATATAAAGCTTATATTTTGCAAAAGGTATTACAAAATTTAAAACAAGACGAACATTTTAGGAAAATATTTGCAACCTGACAAAAGATTAGGATCTCTAATATACGAAGACCTCTTAGAAATCAAAAGAAAAATACAAATTCCTAACAGAAGAAAGTGAGCAAAAAGAAAATTCACAAATTAGAAATACAGATAGTCAATAAATAAATGAAAAAGATGTCCAAACTCACTAGGATTCAAAGAATTGTAAAGTTAAATAATGTTATACCATATTCAGATGTTAGATGATGGAGATTTAGAAAGGTTATAATAGTTAATGTTACTGAATAGATAAGAAAATGGGCACTCTTATAGACTGCTGATGTTAAACTCTGAAAAGCAATTAGGAATACATTAACCCACATTTTTTTTTTTTTTAGATGGAGTCTCGTTCCATCGCTCAGGCTGGAGTGCGGTGGCGCGATCTCGGCTCACTGCAACCTCTGCCTCTAGGGTTCAAGCGATTCCCCTGCCTCAGCCTCCTGGGTAGATGGGACTATAGGGAACAGTGTGAGCCATAGCTAGAGTCAATCTGGCTGGAAGCAAAGAAAGAGGCTGAGATCTAGGAGGGTAGGTGAAGTTGAGTAGCCATTCTTTTTTTTTTTTAATTTTATTATTATTATACTTTAAGTTTTAGGGTACATGTGCACAACGTGCAGGTTTGTTACATATGTATACATGTGCCATGCTGGTGTGCTGCACCCACCAACTCGTCATTTAGCATTAGGTATATCTCCTAATGCTATCCCTCCCCCCTCCCCCCACCCCACAACACTTCCCGATGTGTGATGTTCCCCTTCCTGTGTCCATGTGTTCTCATTGTTCAATTCCCACCTATGAGTGAGAACATGTGGTGTTTGGTTTTTTGTCCTTGCCATAGTTTGCTGAGAATGATGGTTTCCAGTTTCATCCATGTCCCTACAAAGGACACAAACTCATCATTTTTTATGGCTGCATAGTATTCCATGGTGTATATGTGCCACATTTTCTTAATCCAGTCTATCATTGTTGGACATTTAGGTTGGTTCCAAGTCTTTGCTATTGTGAATAGTGCTGCTATAAACATACGTGTGCATGTGTCTTTATAGCAGCATGATTTATAATCCTTTGGGTATATACCCAGTAATGGAATGGCTGGGTCAAATGGTATTTCTAGTTCTAGATCCCTGAGGAATCGCCACACTGACTTCCACAATGGTTGAACGAGTTTACAGTCCCACCAACAGTGTAAAAGTGTTCCTATTTCTCCACATCCTCTCCAGCACCTGTTGTTTCCTGACTTTTTAATGATCGCCATTCTAACTGGTGTGAGATGGTATCTCACTGTGGTTTTGATTTGCATTTCTCTGATGGCCAGTGATGATGAGCACTTTTTCATGTGTTTTTTGGCTGCATAAATGTCTTCTTTTGAGAAGTGTCTGTTCATATCCTTTGCCCACTTTTTGATGGGGTTGTTTGTTTTTTTCTTGTAAATTTGTTTGAGTTCATTGTAGATTCTGGATATTAGCCCTTTGTCAGATGAGTAGGTTGCAAAAATTTTCTCCCATTCTGTAGGTTGCCTGTTCACTCTGATGGTAGTTTCTTTTGCTGTGCAGAAGCTCTTCAGTTTAATTAGATCCCATTTGTCAATTTTGGTTTTTGTTGCCATTGCTTTTGGTGTTTTAGACATGAAGTCCTTGCCCATGCCTATGTCCTGAATGGTATTGCCTAGGTTTTCTTCTAGGGTTTTTATGGTTTTAGGTCTAACATGTAAGTCTTTAATCCATCCTGAATTAATTTTTGTATAAGGTGTAAGGAAGGGATCCAGTTTCAACTTTCTACATATGGCTAGCCAGTTTTCCCAGCACCATTTATTAAATAGGGAATCCTTTCCCATTGCTTGTTTTTGTCAGGTTTATGAAAGATCAGATAGTTGTAGATATGCAGCATTATTTCTGAGGGCTCTGTTCTGTTCCATTGGTCTATATCTCTGTTTTGGTACCAGTACCACGCTGTTTTGGTTACTGTAGCCTTGTAGTATAGTTTGAAGTCAGGTAGCGTGATGCTTCCAGCTTTGTTCTTTTGGCTTAGGATTGACTTGGCGACACGGGCTCTTTTTTGTTTCCATATGAAGTTTAAAGTAGTTTTTTCCAATTTTGTGAAGAAAGTCATTGGTAGCTTGATGGGGATGGCACTGAATCTATAAATTACCTTGGGCAGTATGGCCATTTTCACGATATTGATTCTTCCTACCCATGAGCATGGAATGTTCTTGCATTTCTTTGTATCCTCTTTTATTTCATTGAGCAGTGGTTTGTAGTTCTCCTTGAAGAGGTCCTTCACATCCCTTGTAAGTTGGATTCCTAGGTATTTTATTCTCTTTGAAGCAATTGTGAATGGGAGTTCACTCATGATTTGGCTGTTTGTCTGTTATTGGTGTATAGGAATGCTTGTGATTTTTTGCACATTGATTTTGTATCCTGAGACTTTGCTGAAGTTGCTTATCAGCTTGAGGAGATTTTGGGCTGAGACAATGGGGTTTTCTAGATATACAATCATGTCATCTGCAAACAGGGACAATCTGACTTCCTCTTTTCCTAATTGAATACACTTTATTTCCTTCTCCTGCCTGACTGCCCTGGCCAGAACTTCCAACACTATGTTGAATAGGAGTGGTGAGAGAGGGCATCCCTGTCTTGTGCCAGTTTTCAAAGGGAATGCTTCCAGTTTTTGCCCATTCAGTATAATATTGGCTGTGGGTTTGTCATAGATAGCTCTTATTATTTTGAGATACATACCATCAATACCTAATTTATTGAGAGTTTTTAGCATGAAAGGTTGTTGAACTTTGTCAAAGGCCTTTTCTGCATCTATTGAGATAAGCATGTGGTTTTTGTCTTTGGTTCTGTTTACATGTTGGATTACATTTATTGATTTGCGTATGTTGAACCAGCCTTGCATCCCAGGGATGAAGCCCACTTGATCATGGTGGATAAGCTTTTTGATGTGCTGCTGGATTCGGTTTGCCAGTATTTTATTGAGGATTTTTGCATCGATGTTCATCAAGGATATTGGTCTAAAATTCTCTTTTTTGGTTGTGTCTCTGCCCGGCTTTGGTATCAAGATGATGCTGGCCTCATAAAATGAGTTAGGGAGGATTCCCTCTTTTTCTATTGATTGGAATAGTTTCAGAAGGAATGGTACCAGCTCCTCTTTGTACCTCTGGTAGAATTCGGCTGTGAATCCTTCTGGTCCTGGACTTTTTTTGGTTGGTAAGCTATTGATTATTGCCTCAATTTCAGATCCTGTTATTGGTCTATTCAGAGATTCAACTTCTTCCTGGTTTAGTCTTGGGAGGGTGTATGTGTCGAGGAATTTATCCATTTCTTCTAGATTTTCTAGTTTATTTGCATAGAGGTGTTTATAGTACTCTCTGATGGTAGTTTGTACTTCTGTGGGATCGGTGGTGATATCCCCTTTAACATTTTTTATTGTGTCTATTTGATTCTTCTCTCTTTTCTTCTTTATTAGTCTTGCTAGAAGTCTATCAATTTTGTTGACCTTTTCAAAAAACCAGCTCCTGGATTCATTAATTTTTTGAAGGGTTTTTTGTGTCTCTATTTCCCTCAGTTCTGCTCTGATCTTAGTTATTTCTTGCCTTATGCTAGCTTTTGAATGTGTTTGCTCTTGCTTTTCTAGTTCTTTTAATTGTGATGTTAGGGTGTCGATTTTAGATCTTTCCTGCTTTCTCTTGTGGGCGTTTAGTGCTAGAAATTTCCCTCTACACACTGCTTTGAATGTGTCCCAGAGATTCTGGTATGTTGTGTCTTTGTTCTCGTTGGTTTCAAAGAACATCTTTATTTCTGCCTTCATTTTACTATTTACCCAGTAGTCATTCAGGAGCAGGTTGTTCAGTTTCCATGTAGTTGTGCGGTTTTGAGTGAGTTTCTCAATCCTGAGTTCTAGTTTGATTGCACTGTGGTCTGAGAGACAGTTTGTTATAATTTCTGTTCTTTTACATTTGCTGAGGAGTGCTTTACTTCCAACTATGTGGTCAATTTTGGAGTAGGTGTGGTGTGGTGCTGAAAAGAATGTATATTCTGTTGATTTGGGGTGGAGAGTTCTGTAGATGTCTATTAGGTCACTTGGTGCAGAGCTGAGTTCAATTCCTGGGTATCCTTGTTAACTTTCTGTCTCGTTGATCTGTCTAATGTTGACAGTGGGGTGTTAAAGTCTCCCATTATTATTGTGTGGGAGTCTAAGCCTCTTTGTAGGTCACTAAGGACTTGCTTTATGAATCTGGGTGCTCCTGTATTGGGTGCATATATATTTAGGATAGTTAGCTCTTCTTGTTGAATTGATCCCTTTACCATTATGTAATGGCCTTCTTTGTCTCTTTTGATCTTTGTTGTTTAAACTCTGTTTTATCAGAGACTAGGATTGCAACCTCTGCCTTTTTTTGTTTTCCATTTGCTTGGTAGATCTTCCTCCATCCCTTTATTTTGAGCCTATGTGTGTCTCTGCACATGAGATGGGTTTCCTGAATACAGCACACTGATGGGTCTTGACTCTTTATCCAATTTGCCAGTCTGTGTCTTTTAATTGGAGCATTTAGCCCATTTACATTTAAAGTTAATATTGTTATGTGTGAATTTGATCCTGTCTTTATGATGTTAGCTGGTTATTTTGCTCGTTAGTTGATGCAGTTTCTTCCTAGCCTTGATCGTCTTTACAATTTGGCATGTTTTTGCAGTGGCTGGTACCAGTTGTTCCTTTCCATGTTTAGTGCTTCCTTCAGGAGCTCTTTTAGGGCAGGCCTGGTGGTGACAAAATCTCTCAGCATTTGCTTGTCTGTAAAGTATTTTATTTCTCCTTCACTTATGAAGCTTAGTTTGGCTGGATATGAAATTCTGGGTTGAAAATTCTTTTCTTTAAGAATGTTGAATATTCGTCCCCACTCTCTTCTGGCTTGTAGAGTTTCTGCCGAGAGATCAGCTGTTAGTCTGATGGGCTTCCCTTTGTGGGTAACCTGACCTTTCCCTCTGGCTGCCCTTAACATTTTTTCCTTCATTTCAACTCTGGTGAATCTGAGAATTATGTGTCTTGGAGTTGCTCTTCTCGAGGAGTATCTTTGTGGCATTCTCTGTATTTCCTGAATTTGAATATTGGCCTGCCTTGCTAGATTGGGGAAGTTCTCCTGGATAATATCCTGCAGTGTTTTCCAACTTGGTTCCATTCTCCCTGTCACTTTCAGGTATACCAATCAGATGTAGATTTGGTCTTTTCACATAGTCCCATATTTCTTGGAGACTTTGTTCGTTTCTTTTTATTCTTTTTTCTCTAAACTTCTCTTCTCACTTCATTTCATTCATTTCGTCTTCCATCACTGATACCCTTTCTTCCAGTTGATTGCATCGGCTACTAAGGCTTCTGCCTTCGTCACGTAGCTCTCGTGCCTTGGTTTTCAGCTCCATCAGGTCTTTTAAGGACTTCTCTGCGTTGGTTATTCTAGTTATCCATTCATCTAATTTTTTTTCAAAGCTTTTAACTTCTTTGCCATTGGTTCGAATTTCCTCCTGTAACTCAGTCATTTGATCGTCTGAAGCCTTCTCTCAACTCGTCAAAGTCATTCTCTGTCCAGCTTTGTTCCGCTGCTGGTGAGGAGCTGTGTTCCTTTGGAGGAGGAGAGGCACTCTGATTTTTAGAGTTTCCAGTTTTTCTGCTCTGTTTTTTTCCCATCTTTGTCATTTTATCTACCTTTGGTCTTTGATGATGGTGACGTACAGATGGGTTTTTGGTGTGGATGTCCTGTTTGTTAGTTTTCCTTCTAACAGACAGGACCCTCAACTGCAGGTCTGTTGGAGTTTTCTAGAGGTCCACTCCAGACCCTTTCTGCCTGGGTATCGGCAGCGGTGGCTGCAGAGCAGCGGATACTGGTGAACCACAGATGCTGCTGCCTGATCGTTCCTCTGGAAGTTTTGTCTCAGAGGAGTACCTGGCTGTGTGAGGTGTCAGTCCGCCTACTGGGGGGTGCCTCCCAGTTAGGCTACTCGGGGGTCAGGGACCCACTTGAGGAGGCAGTCTGCCCTTTCTCAGATCTCAAGCTGCATGCTGGGAGAACCACTACTCTCTTCAAAGCTGTCAGAGAGGGACATTTAAGTCTGCAGAGGTTACTGCTGTCTTTTTGTTTGTCTGTGCCCTGCCCCCAGAGAGGCAGGCAGGCCTCCTTGAGCTGTGGTGGGCTCCACCCAGTTCGAGCTTCCCAGCCGCTTTGTTTTCCTAATCAAACAACTAACTCAGTAATGGCGGGCGCCCCTCCCCCAGCCTTGCTGCCGCCTTGCAGTTTGATCTCAGACTGCTGTGGTAGCAATGAGTGAGACTCCGTGGGCGTGGGACCCTTCGAGCCAGGTGAGGGATATAATCTCCTGGTGTGCCGTTTTTTAAGCCCGTTGGAAAAGTGCAGTATTAGGGTCGGAGTGACCCGATTTTCCAGGTGCCGTCTGTCACCCCTTTCTTTGACTAGGAGAGGGAGTTCCCTGATCCCTTGCATTTCCCGGGTGAGGCAATGCCTTGCTCTGCTTTGGCTCACGCACGGTGCGCTGCACTCACTGTCCTGCACCTACTGTCTGGCACTCCCCAGTGAGATGAACCCGGTACCTCAGTTGGAAATGCAGAAATCACCCGTCTTCTGTGTCGCTCACGCTGGGAGCTGTAGACCGGAGCTGTTCCTATTCGGCCATCTTCTGTGTGGCCATTCTGAGCATGGTGCATACTTCTTGCAACAAACTTACCCCTGAATAGAATAATATTCACCAATAAAGCCTAGTTGATTGTTTATTCTCCTTTTCCTGAACCTTCCTAAGCAGTTTGCATTTTTATTTGTTTATGCATGTGTATACTTATTGCATAAGACAAAATACTCCTTAAGGTCACAAGTTATAATATATTCAACTTTGTATTCCTCTGTGCCTACAGTGTACATTCAATGAATGTTTAACAATAATAATTAATATTCTTAAATTTGTTCTGCTCTGACAGTTATCAAATTCTGTAAGTATGGAAGATTTAGGAAGTAATCTGTAAAGTAACTATTGATTGTGAATAGCAAATTATTCCTTTTAGAGAAGCTATAATTTATATTAACAAATAAGGAGCTTTAACTAATTTACAAGATCAAAATGCAATATTTTTTGTGATTTCCTCATCCATATTATTTCACAGATGCTAATTCTGGAAGCATGTAAGCATATGGTTAGAGACAGATTAACATGGTACAGGAGTTTTCCTCTATTTTAGGAATGAGAAAAATCAAAATGCTATTTGGGAGTGTGAAGCACCGTATTTTGTCTTAAGGTAGTATTAAACTATTGGTTCATTCATTCAATGTTGCTTTAGCATCTAATCAACGCATGATGTCAGGTAGTGTGAGAGATACAAAGACATTGTTGCATTCATGATGCTTACAGTCTAGCAGGCGAAAGAAGCAGAATAGAAATTACCATAATACAAGTTAGTATTGGGTAAGTTCCTTTATTTTTATTATATTATTACTTCTAAATGTTAGTTTACTGTGACTACCCAGTAACTAACCATAGAGGGATAGCTTATGAAAAGTAGACTACAAAATATTAATTTAAGAATCTCTTTCTAACTTTTATGTACCTTGGAGTAGTCAAGATAAAACTGGCTGGGTGCAGGGGCTCACACCTGTAATCCGAGCACTTTGGGAGGACAAGACAGGAGGATCACTTGAGTACAGGAGTTTGAGACGAGCCTGGGAAACACAGTAAGACCCCATCTCTAGAAAAAATGTTTAAATTAGCTGGGCATGGGGGTGGATGCCTCTAGTTCCAGCTACTTGGAAGCCTGATGCGGGAGGGTTACTTGAGCCCAGGAGTGTGAGGCTGCTGTGGGCTATAATCACACTACTATGCTCTATCCTGGATGACAGAGCAAGACCCTTTCTCAAAACAAAAACAAAAACAAAAACAAAACAAAACAAAACAAAATACTGTGTGGGCAACTGTCCATCAACTTTTCAGTAACAACTATAATACAAAATTATGAGTAGTTTTTAGGTTTACTCCATCTCATAACCTTCACTTAGGAATTGACAAAAAATCCTAACCAAGAATTCAATGCTTTTGAAAATACTATTACTGCATGGAATTAAAGGAACTGGATAATAACAACTACAAATAAAGAGAAACTATGGATTTATCAGGGTTAGTTCATAAACAACCAGACAGCTGCCCAATAGAGACTAACTTAAACAGCATGCCTTTCCATAAGAATATGCTACCACTAAAATCCTGAGCTGGTACCTACAATCCATAAAAATCAAAGTATTTCAGGCCTGAAAAGCTGACAGAAAAAATCCCAGAAGAAGAAAATGATACTGATTAGAAAGTGATGTGAGACTTATCTAAAGTTACACGACCAGTTAGTAGCAGGGGCACTGAATTTTGGTCACACTGATCTTTTAGATTAGGTAAAATGCACCTAATATGTATTTTCAAAATATAAACTCCTCAGCTAAATTGGACAAAAAGTTGATAAACTTTTTTCTAAAAATTATCAAGCATTTGAAGTGTTTCTATTAAGAGTTGGGCACTGAGGTTACAAAGGCAAAAGAAAAGAAAGCATGGTCTCTGCCTTGAGTATGGGGAGAAAGGAAATGAAAACTATGAGAATATCCAGTGTGAGCAGTGCTGGTGTAGGAGTATGTGCAAGGTACTAGGGCATCAGGAAAGTGTCCAGAGGGGAGGAGCTATATGGAAACAGCCTAGAAAAAAATGAGAGGGTGCTCACCAGACAGGTAAGGGCGAGAGAAAGGCACTTACTGGGAGCTGCATGTGCACAGCACCGATGCTTGGAGCAGCCTGGGACGCTGCAGTGAAAGAGGAATGCAGCAAGAGATAATGCTGGAGGGGGAGTGGAGTCACCGTGCCAGACAGGCAGGGCCTTAAATTAAATGCCCCTAGAAGGAGTCTGAACTTATCTGTAAGGAACAGGCAACTGTTGAAGGATTTTAGGAAGAGCTGCCTGCTCAGTTCTGTGTTATAGAAAAATGACTTCAGTGTCAGTGCCGAGAGTCCTGGAGGGGGCAAGCCTGCAGATTAGAATACTAGGATAATAATCCTGGTTAGAGATGAAGTAGCTTAGGAAACCAAAAAGGGAGAGAGGGATAAGCCGCACTGATTTCATCCTTTGCCTATAATAAATATAAAATTGCCAACACATTTTCAGAAGAGGAAACACCTCCCCAACAATTTTATCAGTGACTTTCATCCTGTTTATTACTGTGAAGTAAAGTCAGCTTAAGACTACATCACATAAGATTGAACAAATAAAGCCCTCTCTTGAAAGCATCAACCTCTAATGTAGAATATTTTGTTAAGCTTCTCATTTCTCAGAAAGAAGTTCTGAAATTTTATAAATAAATGCAGAATTCTGATATTTAAAGGAAATGCAGCCACATCGTTATGAAAATGCTTCCCTTCACCCCATCTACTTTCTCACTTCCTTCATTTATACTACAAATTTGGACCTGTGGATGTTTTAAATAATAGACAACAGGTGTACTAAACAATGTCACTTGCCATAATATTGAATAGATGCCCAATTAACACCAACATTAAGTATAAATGCTCTTTCAAGTATCTGGTATATCACTGATGTGAATGTTTTAAATAATTAAACACAAAGCTCATCTATCTAGAATTTTCCAAGCAACAGTTTCACAAGTAAATATTCAACTGAGAGTTACATCAGACAAACATTTAATGCTTATTAGTCAATCTAGAAACTTGTTCAATTTACTTTTTCACTTTATTAGGTGACAGGGATCCAAATGTTTGAAAAAGTAATAGGTCCAAAGAGTCCTTCTACCTACCCATCTTTTTTTCTCCCATCAGTTAGAGTCATCGATAATCAATGGCATAAATTTAGTAATGACTCATTTACATATTTAAACTGGCATTTTGAAATGACAATGAGAAGCTGACAGTTAACTGTTCTCTAAGGAAATGCCCTTTCTCTCCATATGGCTTCCACTCTGAGACTAAGAATTAAAGAGATTTTTCAATTTATGGAACAAGAGAGAGTCTCTCCAGCTGAGACTCCCATGTCATTTCATTTAGAATGCAAATCTCAACATTTTAAATGTCATTCCTACTGATGCTAAGAAGGCAGTTATAAAATGAAAAATCACCCTCACCATAGAGCTTTGGTAAATTAAAAAGTAAAGGACTTTAAGACTTTAAGGGAAAATAAGTTTTCTCATGTTAGCTAGGCCGCATGTATGGTGGGAAATACCCTCAAGAAGCTATGTTACCTTAGCTCCTCACCTTAAAATGAAAATACTAATTCCTGTTGCAAAGATTACATAAAATAATGCATGGTCTGATTGTAAACTATAAAGGTTTGTGTAAACATATGCCATTATTACTTTAGACTTCCACTGATATGTTGACTCAAAATAAAAAGACTGTAAAATGATCCTGTGGGCCAGAGGAAAAATCAAAAGTACCCTGAAAAACATAGTTACTAAAAATGCACGTGAACGAATTAGTTTACAGATTCAACACAATCCTTATAAAACTCTCAGCTGTGTTTTTTGAAAAGATCGAAAACTAATCCTAAAATTCACATGAATACTCAAGGGACCAACCACAGACTAAAAACCTTGGAAAAGAAGAACAAAGTTGGACAATTCGTACTTCCCGATTTCAAAACTTAGAACACAGCAACAGTAATCAAGACAGTATGGTACTAGTATAAGGATAGGCACACAGAGCAATGGAAAGGACTTGAGAGTTCAGAAATATATTCTTACATTTATGGTCTATTGATTTTTGACAAGGGTGTCAAGAAAATGGGAAAACAGACGAGTGCTTTCAACAAATGGCTGTTGACAACTGAATATCCACATTCAAAAGAATGAAGCTGGATCCTTTCTTCACACCATACACAAAAATTAACTCAAGTGGATCATAGACTTAAATATAAGAGCTAAAACTATAAAACTCTTAGAAGAAAACATTTAAATTATTTCTGACCTTTGGTTAGACAAAGACTTTTTAGCGACAATATCAAAACACAAGCAATAAAAGGCCACAGAATGTACAATATCCATAGCAGGCAAGTCTAGAGAGGCAGCAAACTAGTGGTTGCCTAGGGCCGGAGTGGTTAGGGGAAATGAGGATGACTGCTAATGGGTACAGGGTTTCTTTTTGAGGTGATGAAACTATTCTAAAATTGGTTGCAATGATTGTTACACGACTCTGAATATATAAGACCATTGAATTGTATGCTTTAAATGGGTTAATTATGTAGTACGTCAATTATATCTCAATAAAGCTAGTTAAATATAACTTAAAGAAATGTATGTGAAAAGCCGCATTGAGTAGTGGTCATGACCTTCATTTGTTAAACATGAGTTTGAATTCAGGTCCTACTAACTGTGGAATCTTGAGCAAATAACAATAATTCTGAGCCTGTTTTTCTCATCTTCAAATTCTATAATAAAAATTCCTTTCTCAAAGGAATGAGTATTAAATGAGATCATGCAGACTAAGTGCTTACTTGGCACAGCCTAGTATACAGTAAGCACTCAATAATATTAGCTATTAAAAGAAGAGATATGTGGGCCTAGACTGTAGGTAGTTGCTAAAAACAAAACAAGACAAAAACCAGTAAGTTGGTTGAGGCATTTCTGTAAATGTTATTTTTTAAATTATATATAAACTTAATAACAAACAGGGTGCTTCCAAATAGGCAGGCTCACTTTGAAATACTCAGTACAAAGCGAAAGAAGGTCATAATCATAGGTCACAGAGGCTGGATTTACCGTTTCACCTAAAACAGCTAGAAATCCAAATACATGAAATAATGATTTTCAGACATCATATAACAGCATAAGAATACAATCCATGAGTAAAGGGCAACAAGCAAGGTGAGCCTACATTTACACCAACTTGCTGCCTGGAGGCAGTCTATATGCTGCAGAACAGGAGGGAAAATCCAAACTGCACCCAGTGGTCTCACCGAGTTGAGGAGAGAGAGAACAAAATTCAGGGAAGCCAAGGCAGATTAAATTTGTGGTGCAGAGGGAAGAGGAAGGAATGCTTTAGATAAAAGGAGCTCCAGAGATGTGAAGAGTAGGCTAATTTAAATTAGCCCTAGTCTAAAGACTCCTCTAGTCATGCCAAACAAAGAAAGCTTAAAGGCAAGCTTCCAAAAGAGCCAAACTCAACTGCAAGCCACAACAAAGTATAGGAAAACAATACAGAAACCAGTACCGAACAAGTTTATATATCTGGCATCCAATTAAATGTAACTAGGCTTGCAAAGAAGCAGAAAACAGTTCCATAACCATGAGAAAAATCAATCAATAAACCCAGAAATGACAGAGATGATGGAATTGGCAGATAAGAATTTTAAAAGTTATAAATATGCTCCATGTGTTAAAATGGAACTTCTAGAGGTGAAAAATACAGTACGAATACAATATGAAAAATGCAATACCACTCCACTTTTTGGTGATGACACTAAGACAGAGGCAAGGTTTGGTGCCAACTCACATAGTGGCAGAGCCTAGAGGGAACCCAACTTTCCTGGCTCTGATCCAGGGCTCTTTCCACTATGCTGCAGAGAAATAACACAATCTGACAGACACTTTAGTTGGTTACTGGCTGCTGTATGCCTGGGCCTTAGGTGGAATGTAGAGGCAGCAAGAGTAGAAGTAGGAGTCTGTTATAATAGACATGGTGATAAACAAGTGATGGTTTGGACCTCAGTGGTAGAAAGGAAGATGGTAAGAAACGGTTGGATATTAGGTATATTTTAAAGAGTTGGTAGGGTTGCCAATGGGTTGGATGTAGCATTTGAAAAGAGGAAAATGCAGGAAGACTTCAAGTTTCTGACTTGAACCTCTAGCAAGGGAGTAGCCATTTACTGTAATGGAGAAAACTAAGGGAGGAGCAGCCTGGGGAGAGGAGTCAGGAATTCGGTTCTGTATGTGATAAGCTTGGGATGCCATCAGACATGGAAGTCAAGTATGCAGTTACTGCATATAGCTGTCTGAAATTCAAGGGAGACATTGAGGTCAGAGATATGGAAAGAGTAAAGATGGTGGACAAATGACTAAAATTTGGAAGCTCTGGGCTTTAAGGGTCTTTAGATAAGAGGAATCTGTGATCCAATAATGTGGCATCATGTTCCTCAGGCAAAGCAGTCTCTTGCCAGTCTCACAGAGAGTCCTTCTTATCATTATGGCTTCTCACACTATTTGTCAGGATTATCCACTTTCTTTCCCTGTGTTTCTGCATTATCTATCTCGCATAGCTACTGTGAGCATTACATAAGCGATATGAATATCTGGTAAGCACTCCATACGTGTTAGCTGTATCTTATCTGAAACAGATAATCCTGTTTCTCAAAAGTAATATGGTTTCACTTGTATGTGAATGTTCATAATGCCTTTACTTACAATAGCCTCAAACTAGATACAACCTAAATGTCCATCAATTAATGAACGGATAAACAAATTGTGGCACCTTCATACAATGAAATGTTAGTAATAAAAAGGAACTACTGATATATGTAAAAGTATGCATGAATTTCACATGCATGACATTGCTCAAAAAATGTCAGATGCAAAAATAATACATGTTGTATGATTCCATTTATGTGAAATACTAAAAGACAAATCTAATCTGCAGTGACAGAAAGCAGATCAGTGGTTGCAGGGGACTGGGTCTGGGGTAGCAATTGACTAGGAAGGGGCACAGGAAACTTGTGTTATGAAAATCAATCCTGATTTTGGTGGTGGTTAAAGGGGTATATAAATTTGTCAAAACTCATTGAAATATACACTTTAAATGGGTTCCTTTTATTGCATGTCAGTAAATCAGAGAATACTGCATATCGGTTAGCTCTTCTCAAAAGTAATATGGCTTCACTTGTATGTGAATGTTCATAACGCCAATGTGTCCTCTTCCAAATTGTCTCCCATGTTACTTTACAATCCTAAGTAGGGCTCTACTTTTTATCTTGAGCTACCTCAAGGGGAGTTCTGTAGGGTGTTTTTTTAATCTAATTAAAATATGAAATAGGATCATATTTTTGACTTATCTTGGTAGGCTGATTGCTTTATGGCTGGTCTTAGGATTTTAATGGTTTTTCTTTTTTCTTCTTTATTCTCCCACTTAGGTTCAGATTATATATTTCTTAGTGACACTATGGTTTCATTGTAGCTTTGAGGCTTTCAGTGCTATTCAGTTTCTTTAATGCTTGGCTTTGGTTATGCTGCCATTTCAATCTCACAAAGGCTCTCTTTCAAAAATTGTGTTCCAGAGTTACTGTTTCCAAGAAGAATAAATATATTGCAGGTTTTATGCTTATGTCATGAGAATCTACTTTGCTATGAGACAAGGAATCTAGAGGTCATAGTCTTTCTGTTCCATTTACCTTTGGTTCAAGTGACTCTTTCAACCCTTTAAAAGTTAGATGACTTTTCTCTCTTGCCTCTCCAAGTTCAATTTCTGCTAACACTGAATAAGGGAGAATAGTAGATTATGTTTAAGATGTATATAAATTTGTAGTTCTTTAGATAAGCAAACTACCATATTCTCCATTAAATCTGACAACCTTTTGTTGTTTATAGTTGTTGCTGCTGTTGCTTAAGGACGACTGAGCAAAGCGCCTGCAAGCAATTTTAGGTCATACATTTCACTGATAACTTCAGTTTTGACTAATTCTCTAATAACACAGTACATGGAACAATGAAGGTGTTTATTCTAGCATTATATAAAATACCATATTTCAAAACTTCTAAGATGCACAGTTTAACATTGTGAAATCTGAATGTTTCTTAAAATTTATTGGCCTTGTGCCAACACAGTTACCATTGCTTGTTCTGTGTGAATCAGGTTGTTATTCCTTCTAAAATGGACTAAATAACTGCAAACCTCGATGCTTCCTCAAGAATAAAAGTCGTGGTTATTGTCTGAGAAACTTCCATCAACGTCTTCCATTAAGATCAGGAGTGTCAACATCAATACTTGCAGAAAGGGTGTAGGCATCTTAGAAGAAAATACTATAGAAAATAGTTTGCTGCATCCCTAAATATTTTGATGTCACAGAGGTTGATGTGAAACACAACATCAGTACTCTAAATCAAAAGGTGATTTGGAAGATTTGGATTTCATTATTTTTATTTATTTTATTTTATTTTCAGACAGTGTCTTGCTCTGTTGCCCAGGCTGAGTGCAGTGGGTATTCACAACTCACTGCAGCCTTGACCTCCCAGGCTCAACTGATCCTCCCTCCTCAGCCTCCTGAGTAGCCAGTACTACAGGTGCAAGCTGCCATGCCTGGGTAATTTTTGTAATTTTTTTGTAGAGACAGGGTTTCTCCATGTTGCTCAGGCTCGTCTTGAACTCCTAGGTTCAAGAGATCCACCTGCCTCAGCCTCCCAAAGTGCAGGGATTACAGGCGTGAGCCATTGCAGCTGGCCAAGACTTGGATTTTAAATATGAAGAAGTTTTAGAATTATTTTAAACAATTTGAATATGAAGAAGTTTTAGAATTATTTTAAACAATTTGATTAGCCTATTTCCCTTTTTATATATGTACAAGAGTGCAATATGATAAAAATCTATAACTCAACAATTTTAAGGGAGTCCTTTCAGGAAGAATTTTAAAATTCTAAGTGGTAAGAATTATTTTGCCATAGTTTAATTGGTACATAAAGTAATGGTTTGTCTTAGTCTTTGGCAACTTAGATTTAATGAAATTCTAAAAGAAATAATTAGAAACAATCTAAATAGTCAACAACAGAACAATAATTAAATTAATTAAATAAATAATGAGATTACAACAAATATAAATCTTTTTGGCCAGGCGCGGTGGCTCACACCTGTAATCCCAGCACTTTGAGAGGCTGAGGCGGGTGGATCACAAGGTCAGGAGTTCGAGACCAGCCTGGCCAACATGGTGAAACCCCGTCTCTACTAAAAATACAAAAAAATTAGCTGGGCGTGGTGGCGCACACCTGTAGTCCCAGCTACTCAGGAGGCTGAGGCAGAAGAATCGCTTGAACCCGGGAGGCGGAGATTGCAGTGAGCCGAGATTGTGCCACTTTACTCCAGCCTGGGTGACAGAGTGGGACTCCATCTCAAAAAAATAAAAAATAAAAAATAAATCTTTTTTTAACAGCTTTGTTGAGTTATATAATTCATATACCATAATGTTCACCCACTGTTTTTTACTATATTCACAGAGCTGTAAAACTATCACTACAACCAATGTTAGAACACTTTTGTCATTTCAAAAAAAGAAATCCTATACTCTTTAGCTCTCATTCATCTATTCTTCCCATTACCCACAAACCTGAGTAATCACTAATCCACTTTCTATCTCTATAGACATTTCACATAAATGAAATAATATAATATGTGGCCTTTTGTGACTGGCTTCTTTCACTTAGCATTAATGTTTTCAAGGTTCATCCTTGTTATAGCATGTATTAGTACCTCATTCCTTTTTATGGTTGAAAAATATTCCACTACATGGATACATCACATCTTGTTTATTCATTCATCAGATGATGAACATTTGGGTACATCTTTTGACTATTATAAACAATGTTGTTATGAACATTCATTTATGTTTTTGGGTGGACATATATTTTCAGTTCTCCTAGCTGTATATCTAGGAGTAGCATTGCTGGGGTCATACGCCAATTCTATGTTTATGTTTTAGAGGAATTGCTAGACTGTTTTCCAAAGTAGCTGCATCATTTCACATTGCTATCGGCAATATAGAAGGGTTCTGATTTCTTTACATCCTTGTCAACACTTATTATCTGACTTGTTGATTATAGTCTTCCTAGTGGGTGTAAAGTAGAATTCCCATGGTAGTTTTGATTTGCATTTCCCTAGTGGCTAATGATGTTGAGCATCTTTTCGTGTGCATATTGGCTATGTGTATGTCTTCCTTGGAGAAATGTCTATTCAGATCCTTTGTCCATTTTTACATTGGGTTATTTGTCTTTTTATTATTAAGTATTCTTTATAAATTCTAAATACTAGTCCTTTATCAGATGTACAATTTGTAAATATTTTCTCCCATTCTGCAGGTTGTCTTTCACTCTTTTGATAGTGTTTTTTGAAGCATAAACTTAAAAAATTTGCGGAAGCCTAATTTAACAATTTTTTCTTTTGTAGCTTGTGCTTTTGGTGTCACATATAAGAATCCATTGCCAAATCGAAGTTCACAAAGATTTAGCTCTATTTTTTCTTCTAAAAGTTTAATAGTTATAGTTCTTACATTTAAGTTTTTGATACATTTTGAGGTAATTTTTGTAGATGGTGTGAGGAAAGTGTCCAACTTCATTCTTTTATATGTGACTATCCAGTTGTCCCCATATCATTTCTCAAAAAGACTATTTTTTCCCCCATTTTACCCTTGACCTTGGCATTCTTAATCTTGGTGCTTTCGTTGAAAATCAATTGACATGAATATGTAGGTTTATCCCTGGACTTTCAATTCTATTCCATTGACCTATTTGTGTATCGTTATGCTAGTACCATAGTGTCTTAATTACTGTTGCTTTGGAGCAAGTTTTGAAATTAGAAAGCATGAATCCTCCAACTTTGTTCTTTTTCAAGATTGTTTTGACTCTTCTGGGTCCTTTAAGTTTCCTCATGAATTTTAAGATCAGTTCATCAATTTCTGCAAAAAACAGCAGCTGGTATTCTGAGAAGGACTGCATTGATTCTGTAAATCAATTTGGGAAGTATTGCCATCTTAACAAAAAGTTTTCCTGTCCATGTACATGTGATTTTTTCCATTTATCCAATCATTTTTAATGTACCCATAGAGGAATGGCATGATGCAGATATATCACTGGGAAAATAGAAATAATATCCCTTGGTTATGGGATTAGAGATCATTTTGATCTTATTTTTGTATATTTCTATATGTTTCCAAATTTTCAACAACAAGAGTATCTTTTATATAACCCAAAAGAAGTTATTTTTAAAGAAAAAATATCTTTAATAAAATATACACATATCCTCAAAGACCTAAAGACAGAAATACCATTCAACCCAGCAGTCTCATTACTAGGTATATACTCAAAGGAATATAAATCGTTGTATTATAAAGACACATGCACCTGTATGTTCACTGCAGCACTGTTCACAATAGTAAAGACATGGACTCAACCTAAATGCCCACTGATGATAGACCAGACAAAGAAAGTGTGGTATGTATATGCCATGTGATACTACACAGTCATAAAAAAAAAACTAGATCGCGTCCTTTGCAAGGACATGGATGGGACTGGAGGCCATTACCCTTAGCAAACTAACACAAGAACAGAAAACCAAATATCACATGGTCTCACATATAAGCGGGAGCTAAATGGTGAGAACACATGGACACATAGAGGGGAACAACACGCACTGGGGCCTATCAGAGGGTGGAAGTTGGAAGGAGGGGGAGGATCAGGAAAAATAACTAATGGGTACTAGGCTTAGCACCCATAACTAGTCGGCACTAGGCTTAGTATCCATAACTATAGTGGGCACTAGGCTTAGTACCCATAACTAATGGGTACTAGGCATGGGTGATGAAATAATCTGTACAACAAACCCCCACGACACAAGTTTACCTATGGAAAAAATCTGCACATGTACCCTTGAATTTAAAATAAAAGTTAAAAATATACATATTTAAAATATTACATAAATATGGAAAATATCTGAAAATGAAAATGTTTGAAACATTTTCCAATATACATGAACATACCACTGTTTATTCTTGGTCACATTTTCATCAGAATTTGCTGATTGTGTGCTACATGGTAGATACTGTGCTAAGTACTGAGTACACTGTTTTTGAGAAAACAGATATGATTTCTGCCCTCAGGAAGCCTACATTTAGTGACAGAATGACAATAAACAGGCAAAGTAGCAAACAGAAATGGAATTATAAGTTGTAAAGGGCACTTTGAAAGAAAGCAATCAGTACTATGATGGACAATAACGGCAGGATAAAGCAAATCTATTTTGATATAGTGGTCAGGGAAGCTCTCTCTAAGGCATCAACATTTGAGCTGAGACTTGGGAACTCAAAAATGTTAAGCACTGGCTTTCAATATTTGTCAAAGGTATGTTCAACATAAGCAGTTTCTTATATTGAACGGTAAAAACAAAAAGCTTTAAAATTCCAAAGGGAAAATAATTTCAACAAATAGAGTAACCTCCACCACCTTCTATAATATGGTATGCAGGGTCCAAAAAATCCAGTACCATAAAATATGTGGTAAAGTCATTGTAAGGTTAATGAAATGCACTGAAAGAGCTTACGGTGGTCTCACTCTGCTGCCCAAATCCAGCGGGGTCCCAGCCGCAGTTTGGAGCTACTTGATCATAGCTTTCTGTTCTACCTTAACTATTGATGGGGATGATTCTGGGTCCCTTTTATAGGCTAAAGTTCCTTGGCAGAAGCAGCAATTCCAAGAATCTAGTTAGCTGATGCCTTTTTTGTCAGCCTGATAGGAAGACTGGGCCAAGAGAATATTGAAAGCACAAAGCACCACCCCTTACCTCCCTGACATTTCCCCTCACGGCCCAGTTTCTCTTCCACTTATCCTTCCCCCACACTTAAGATTTCCAGCCTACTCCTGTTTAGAATGAGGGTTCAGCGGAGGACCAGAGCAAATATACTTGAATGTGGATTATCATGGGATGGGGGGTTTATTATAGGTATTAACCGCTACTTGCCCACCCAATATCTATTTCCTGCTCTTAGTAACAGAACCCAGATTTTGTTTAGGAGGTAATGTGCCTAGTTGAATTATATGCTTCCTCGGACTCTACTGAAGTAGGCATGGTTAAGTGATGTAGTTTGACCAATAAGATGTCAATTAAGGGATTTGGGAAAGCTCTGCTTTAATGATACAGGCACAACTTATTTCCACTTCCTTTTACATCTTCTTCCCTAGAATTTGGGGATGAAGAGGGAGACAGGGCAATCACCTTTGGACTATGAGATAACCATGAGGATGAATGCTTTATGTGAAAAATGGTGTTGGAGAAAGGTAGAAGGTAGCTGGGGACTGACACCACCGCAGAGCTGCTGCCCCAACCTAGATAGCCTACCTCCAGATTTCTACTAGGTGACAAAGCCAACCCTTACTTGACTATGGTTAGGTTACTGTGATGACATATAGTCATCTGAAATTCTAACAGATACAGCTGTCTACCAGGAACATAAATTTAACGTCTTTAGATGAATCCAAAGTTTTTAAGGTTTTAATGTTAAAAAGTCCAACTCTCATGTCTGATAGAACAGGAATGCACAACCCTCCAAACCACATCACCCACTACAGAGTGGTAAGTACAGGTCATTAAATGAAAGCAGCACAGAAAAGTGGCTTCAGAGAGGGAATCATTTAATGCCCCTTACCTTCATTAGCCCCATTCCCCAAGTCTTACCACATAAACGTAAATTCCAGGTAAAACTGTGCTTACCAGGTAAACACACTTCCAGACAAGTTCCTTGTTGCCCTAGATTGCCATCCCTAAACTTCTCCTACATGGCAATTCTGCCACAGCATAATTTTCAGGGCAGCTCCACCCACAGTTAAAGTTATGATTTAGGGTTCATTACTACACATACCTTGAAACTTTTAAGCAGACACATTAAAGTAATGCAGCTCAAGGAATGTTAACAACTTTTTCCACTTTTGCCCCAGCCAGTTTCTACTCTAATCCAAAACGGCTTCTTTATCACCACCCACTTTACTCAAATTACGCTTACAGAATTCATTATCCTCCCGGGTAGAATCACCGAAAATAATGTGAGCATTTATATAGAAAGTGTAGTTCAGATAAAGCAATATATTAATAGGCCAAATTAGAAAAGGATAGCACGCTGCTAGTTTTCTGTATGCACTCTTGCCCGTGTGAAATTAAACTTTTTTGCATCCATGCGGGGAGCGGTGGCTCAGGCCTGTAATCTCAGCGCTTCCTAAGGCCGAGGCGGGCGGATCACTTAGGGTCAGGAATTCGAGACCAGCCTGGCCAAATTGTGAAGCCCCTTCTCTACTAAAAATACGAAAATTAGCCGGGAGTGGTAGTGGGCACCTGTAATCCCAGCTACTCGGGAAGCTGAGGCAGGAGAATCTCTTGAACCAGGAGGCGGAGGTTGCAGTGAGCCAAGACCACGCCACTGTACTCCAGCCTGGGTGATAGAGCGAGATTCTGTCTAAAAAAAAAAAAAATTGTATCCAAAGTTGGAGTTTGCCTTTATTATTGCAAATGAGATAATAACCTTTCAAGTAGGAAAACAACAAAAAGGAAAACTATATAATGAAATTTCTTTTACTCCCAGAACCAAAATAACGAGACTTCCAGATAGAAATTTGCATGGAGTCAATCAGAATTACATATTATTTTCATTTCCGAACAGAATTACTCCATCAAGTTTTCTGATATCTTCCTAATGTTTCTCAGTAAAACTTTAGCAAAGTAATAAAAATTCACCTAAGAATGATCAAAATTGCGTTGAGTCCCAAATAAATAATTTTTTTTATTTTAAGGGAAAAATTCCGCACTTTGCTTTCTTTTTTTTTTTTTTAGGTAGGCAGGGACAATCAGGAAGCAGCCCCGGATTTTCAGAAACGATCTTTAGCATCACCAAGACATAGACTAAAGAAACATGTAATGCACAACTTAGGCTGCTCCTTCATCCAAGGCAATTCAAATTTCCACGGATACCAAGTCTTCAATGGCCGGTGTCAACCATTCAATAGAAGCATACCAGAAAATGTTGCGATTGCCTTCTTCACCACAAGAGTCTAAGTGACACAAATTTGGGCAGAAGTAATTATTTGGCCAAGCCGGGAGGCAGGAAGCTTAAATACCGCCTCTGTAGGAAGTGCGGGGGATCCGAAGCAAACACCCCAAAGTTTGTTTGTGAGTGGAGGCGCGGAGGCGCCCGGAGCCACGCCGAAGCTCACCTGGTCAGCGCACAGAGCCGGGTAGGAGTCGGGTCTAGCCCTAGTTTGCTCCTGAGCGCTTCGTTCCTCTCAGGCTACTGCGTTTAAATCAATACTGGGTGGCAAACGATACCCATTCTTTGGGCTCTGAAGTTTGGAATTCATGGGTTCTGCGGCACAAGAAAGTTTCTTCACAGGTTATTTCCCTGTCCGAGGCTGTCGCTTAGCTCATCTCCTCCCGGTGCGGCCCTGGGGTGTCCACCAAGCCGCCGGGCAGATCGCTGCCCCGTGCTGCGGCATCTTGATGCCCAGGACCCCGAGGCTGTGGGGCAGCCCCTCCTACCTGGGACAAGCGGCCAGAACTCCTTTTCCCACAGGGAAGAACACTCCAAGCCCCCGGAAGAGTGCGCATCCTAAGGAGATGTCTCCCAACGCCTAGACAAAGACAGCGCTGGGAAAAGTTGGACCAACTGGCACCCCCGCAAGGCGAACAGAGCAGTCCCCTCGGCCTTCGTGGCCGAGCCGGCT
Source organism: Homo sapiens (assembly GCF_000001405.40). Taxonomy (NCBI): domain Eukaryota; kingdom Metazoa; phylum Chordata; class Mammalia; order Primates; family Hominidae; genus Homo; species Homo sapiens. The sequence goes on from NC_000005.10 coordinate 113,488,100, forward strand.
ACGCGCTCTCGGAGTCGCGGCCAACTTTTCCCGCGAGCTTCTGAGCAACTTGCCGCAAGTTGGGGCGAGGGGGCAGAGCAGGGGTCAAGGGCGCGCGGAGGGACTGATCTCGCTCCTGTCGGTTTCCTCGTACCTCCCCGCGTACCTGCTGATGTATCCGTCCCCGTCGCCGTCGCACGTCTGGAAGAGGCGCCGCATCCTCTCCTCCTCGCCGGTGCTGGACGTGTCGCTGCTGCTGCTGCTGCTGCCGCTGCCGCCGCCGCCGCCGCCGCTGCTGGAGCTCCCCGCAGCCGCTGCCGCCGCGGCCGCCATCATGCGCCCGCTCCCTACTTGGGAGGAGGAGTACGCGCGACCGCAGCTGGAATCCGCGCGGCGCGCAAGCTGCCTGCAGCCCCGAACTTGCCTGACAACGGAGCATGCCCAGTGGCCGCCGGGGCGCTCCGGGCGAGGGATTCCACCTCTCCGGGTTTTGCCCGGACTGGGAAGATGGGCGCTCTGGAATCGCCCGAGGAGGCACCTCAGGGAAGAGGGAGGAGGGGAAGGTGGCTGGAAGAGTCAGGGAGCTAAGGGTGGCAACGGGAACACAAGAGGAGGCAGAATACACTGGAAGCCCCCGGGAAGGGTGTCAGCATTGTGCATCCGGCAACGACGCGGGCCCGGGACACTTGGGGACGCTTCAGGCAGAGGGCAGGTGTACTCCCGGCAGACCTTCTCCGACCGCCCGGAGTCATGGCTTCCTTTTCCAGAGAAGCTATATAAACACTCTCCTTCTGCAAACTCAAAACGGTGCTTGTAATCCCACTCTCCAGGATTGTTCCGGGTTCTGTACCCATAGCCACCAATGAGAACCGGAATGACTGGCCTTTTTATGAAATTTTGACACCTGTCAAGAAACCTGGCCCTCGCAGCCCTCATCTTGGCTCCCACTCTGTACTGGGAAGAGTCTGCACGCTGTGTGGCATTGTGTACGTTGGGTCAATTTCTGGAAACGGCTCACTCTACTGGCCAGGCATCACTAGAATTTCCCCCAACAGCTTTAATAATGCCAAGAGCGAACATAATAGATGGTCTCATTTGATCCACACTACAGACCTGGAAGATGCCTCTTTTATTATCAATCCTACGACTTAGGAAGTATTAATAGATAAGTACCTCATAGAGTTATCTTACATATAAAAGGAGAGCAGACATAATGCAGTTAGGACAATGTCTGACACCTAGTAAGTGCTCAACAACTGTTAGCTCTCATTGTTCCCAATTTACAGGTAAGAAAACTGAGGTACCAAGACCTGCTCAAGGTTCCAGGTTTAGTAAGTGTTAGGGCAGAGGCAAGCCCGGGCAGCCTAACTCCAGAGCAGGAGCCTTTAAACACTGCACTATTCCCCCATAGCCAAAGGGAAACCACAGTGAAGCAATTTGTGGTTTCGTGAATGACTCATTATTCTGTCCTGGATTTTCTGCCAGAGAGGCGTGTGAAGTTCTCTGGTGGTTTTAAAATATGTCCACAGATTCTTTGGTGCACCCCTCATCAAGAGGTGGAGTCTGTTGCTTCCCCTAAACCTGGATTGGACTTGTGACTGCCTTGACTTCTGAGACTAGGTTAGAAAAGGCAATGCAGATTGCACTTGGCTCTCTCCCTTGGGACACTTACCTTTGAAGCCTTGAGCTGCCTGAAAAGAAGTTTGGCTACCCTGAAGCTGGAGAAACCATGCAGAAAGACCATGTAAAGAAAAAAGGAGATGACCAAAGAGCTACAGCTGTTCTAGCCCTGGATCTTAGAATCTTCCCAGACTAGGTGCCAGACATGAGTGAGAGATGATGCTAGCTCTAGATGCTGCAACTGCATTGGAGACCCTGAGCAAAACTGGCTAACCAACCCCCAGAGCTGTGAAGATAATAATTAAAAATTGTTGTTTTAAGCCATTAAGTTTTGAGGTGATTTGTTATGCAGCAATATATAACTGGAACAAGTCCATATGTCTTGGGAATGTCTGCTAGGTCAGAAGGAAGGAATCTCTGCTCTCTTTCTCCTCCTCTCCACCCCATCTACCTATTCCTACTTTACTTCTTTATTATTCTCTAAGTTCCCAGTATTTCAGGGCACTAAAATCATAGATTCATGAGTTAATGAGTTAATGGGTTATCATGGGAGTGGGACTAGTGACTTTATAAGAAGAGAAGGAGAGACCTGAGTTAGCAGGCTCAGCCCCCTTGCCATGTGATGCCCTGCACTGTTTTGGGACTCTGCACAGAGTCCCCACCAGCAGGGTGGCCCATTGACCTTGGACTTTTCATTCTCCAGAACTGTAAGAAATAAATTCATTTCTTTATAAATCACCCTAGTTTCAGGTAGTCTGTTCTAAGCAACAGAAAATTGACAAGACCAGAAATTAGTACCGGGAGTGGGGTGTTAACGAAAACGAATACCTGAAAATGGAGAAGCAGCTTTGAAACTGGATAATGAGCAGAGGCTACAAGAATGAAGCAGCAGTCTAGAAAAAGCCTAGGTTCTAGTGAGGGCTGAGAAGACAGGAAGAACAGGGAAAGTTTGGAACTCCTTAGAAATTGGTTAAATGGTCATAATCAGAATGCTGATGGAACTATGGACAGTAAAGGCCATTCTGACAAGGTCTCAGATGGAACTGAGGAACAAGGTACAAGAAAATGGAGTAAAGACCATCCTTGTTATAAATTGGCAAAGAACTTAGCTGAACTGTTCTATGCCTGAGGGCTTTCTGGAAGGCTGAACTTGAGAGAGAGAAACTGGGGTATCTGGCCAAAGAAATATCTAAGCAGTAAAGCATTCAGGCTGCAGCATGGCTACTTTTAACCACTTACATCAAGCTGTGAGAGGGGGAAAAAAACTTTAAAGGTGGAATTTACAATCATAAGAGAAGCAAAGTGGAAAGATTTGGAAAACTCTCAGCCTGGCCATGTGAAGAGTGAAAAGGTGTGTTTGGGAGAGGAAACCAAGGGTGTAGCCCAGCAACCTTTTGTTCCAGAGATTAGTAAAGGAAGAAAGTATCATTACGAGAAGGAAAGACCTCGATGGCATTTCAGAGAACTTTGAGTTGTTCCTCTCATCACAGACCCAGAGGCAGGAGGACAGAATGGTTTCAGGAGACAGACATGAGGCACCTTTCATGGGCTTGCTGCCAAGGTCTCTCTCAGGTCTTTACTTCCCAAATTCTGGTACAGTGCTTTTTGGACATGCCAGCTGTGGCTCAAGAAGCTTTAGGTGTGAATTGACCTGTCACTCAAGAAGATGAGAACCATAGGCCTTAATGGCATCCATATGATGCCATTATAATTCTTCAGGTTTGCAGAAAGCGAGAGCTGTGGAGATGTGGGGTCTCCACCTAGATGTCAAAGGATTTTTGCTGAAAGCCTGGGTCCAGGCAAAGGCTTGTAACAAGGGCAGAGCACTTCAGAGAGCTCCAACTAAGGCAATGTTAAGCAGAATTGTAGGGTCAGAGCTGCTGCAGAGAGTTTCCAACAGAGCAATGCCTAGTGGAGCTGTGGGAACAGGGCCACTACCAGAACCCCAGAACTGTGGAGTCACCAACAGCATGCAACATCTACTTGAGAAAGCTTCAGGCACCAGGCTCCAACCTGTATGGGCAGCTGTATGGGCTGTACCCAGCAAAGCCATAGACGTGGGGCTGTCTAAGGCCTTGTGGGCCCAACTGTTGCTCTAGTGTGTCCAAGAGGCAGCATGTGGAGTCAAAAAAGATTATTCGGCCGGGCGCGGTGGCTCACGCCTGTAATCCCAGCACTTTGGGAGGCCGAGGCGGGCGGATCACGAGGTCAGGAGATCGAGACCATCCCGGCTAAAACGGTGAAACCCCGTATCTACTAAAAATACAAAAAATTAGCCGGGCGTAGTGGCGGGCGCCTGTAGTCCCAGCTACTTGGGAGGCTGAGGCAGGAGAATGGCGTGAACCCGGGAGGCGGAGCTTGCAGTGAGCCGAGATCCCGCCACTGCACTCCAGCCTGGGCGACAGAGCGAGACTCCGTCTCAAAAAAAAAAAAAAAAAAAAAAAAAAAGATTATTCTCCAGCTTTAAGATGTAATGTCTGCCCTGCTAGGTTTTGGACTTTCTTGGGGCATGCTGCTTTATTCTTTTTGTTTATTCCTTCCTTTTGGAATGGGAATGTCTGTTTTATGCCTATACCATTATTGTATCTTGAAAGTGGATAATTTGCTTTGATTTCACAGGAAGATGAAATTCTGGACTTTGGACTTCTGAGTTGGTGCTGAAACAAGTTAAGACTTTGGGGCTATCAGAATGAAATAAATGTATTTGTATGTGAGAAGGACATAAGTTTGGGGGGGCAGGGACAGAATGCTATGGTTGAATGTTTGTACTCACTTGAAATTCACGTTGAAACAATCCCCAGTGTGGCAGTATTGAGAGGTAGTTGGATCATGAAAGCTCGTCCCTCATAAATAGACTAAATCATTCGTGGATTAATGGGTATCATGGGAATGAGACTGTTGGCTTTATGACAAAAGGAAGAGAGTCCTGAGCTAGCATACTCAGCCCCTTTGCCATGCGATGCCTTGTGCCGTCTTCAGCCTGCAGAGTTTCCACCAGCAAGAAGGCACTCACCAAATGTGTGTCCTCAACTTTGGACTTCCCAGCCTCCAGAACTACAATAAATAAATTTCATTTATTTGTATATTACCCCAGGTTCAGGTATTCTGTTATAAGCCACAGAAAACAGACTAAGACACTATCTACTACCCAATAATATTTTATTGAAAGTTGCTACCAACAGCACAAATATTCCTATCTACAAGAAAACAAGAACCAAAGCCCAAGAGTTTATATATATATTTAAATTTATATATGTATAAATTTTTTAATCCTAATTTTTCTAATTTTTATAGAATAAAACTTCTGTTGTTTGACAATACAGCCAGACAGGAGCTGTTACACTCAAATTTTTCTAGAGAAATGCCAGTTTAAGACTAAAAAAGAAATAAAAAAACATTTTTCTAAGTACAACATGTATGGAGGGTCTGGAAACCCAAAGGATTTTGCAAAATTTCAACACATCTCTCTATAACCACATTCCATGTATACAGAATGTGGACAGTAAAGCTCAACCAATTATATTTCAAAGCAAAGAATATTTTTTCTCCTTACCGAATGTGTACAACAGCTCTGGATGTTTAAATTTAAACACACAAAAAGTGGATCTTGACGAATTTCCTAAACATTTTTCTCATGCTTGGGTAACTCAGAAATGGCTGAACAGATAGGTTCCACATCCCAGGAAAGAATTTGCTTCTGAATTGATATGAAACATGTGAAATTTCAGCCTAAAGGGTTACAGGAGAGGGAGAAATTTGTAAGACATTGAAAATAGAGATGCCATATGAATATAAAGATGATAAATATAAAGAAGAAGTTATGAGTGAGAGCCACTCTCTCAAAGAGTGAGGGGTGTATACTCACTGCCATAAATCTAACAGTACTGGTCATAATTTCAAAGGTTTCATATATTTATCTGAGATGAGTACATAGCTCAACCTCTTTGTCCTTACTCAGCTTTTTTCTTCAATTTATGTGGTACATTTCAGAAAACACTGTACACATGACAAGATATCCTACCCCATATGTCTAAAATTACATGTTAAAATAAATAAAACAATTGCAGTGCTTTGAAAACTTGATAATCTGGTGCGTGTCCTTCCAAATTTGATTTACCTAAACTAGACTACATGCAACCATCCTTTTCTTGGGGTTGCAGTATGTCCAATGAGCGCATAGTGAAGGCAGTACTGCTAATGCCTACGCAACACACCCGCATCAACTAGAGGTTTGCTTTTACCTTGGTGCAATTTTTGGAAAAATGAAAACCCACTTTTCCATGTCAAAAAAAAAGGTAAAAAAAAAAGGCAGCCGGGCATGGTGGCTCATCCTGTAATCCCAGCACTTTGGGAGGCCGAGGCAGGCAAATCACCTGAGGTCAGGAGTTCAAGACCAGCCTGGCCAACTTGGTGAAACCCTGTCTCTACAAAAAATAGCTGGGCATGGTGGCAAGCGCCTGTAATCCCAGCTACTCGGGAGGCCGAGGCAGGAGAATAGGAGAATCATTTGAACCGGGATAGCCGAGATTGCGCCACTGCACTCCAGCCTGAGAGACAGTGCAAGACTCTGTCTCAAACAAACAAACAAAAACACTATAAGCAAGAGTTGGAGTGAGGACTCCATGGTGCCACTGGCTCACCATTTTCTCTAGGATGTTTTTAGCATCCCTGCTAAATTCCAATATTCCTTAAGAACCTTTTCTTCACCAATACAGGACACAGGTACCTTCCAGAGCTCTCTTAACTGAAGCATATATTGTGACAGAAGCAAACCATATAGTTTAACGGTGATTTGCCTCCCAACTCAATAATATCAACTATTATAAAAAGAAATTGCAAATTCCTAAGAGAAAATAGTGAGGTAGCGTTAAGAGAGCTTAACAAAGTTTTATTGGGTTCTTATCACAAATCAGTCATAGGGTTTAAAATTACACCTTACTTAATGCTTTCTAGTGGGGGTAGGTATTTATTATCTCTATTTATGGGTGGATGTTGGTGAGTGAGAGTAACTAAATTCCAAAGTTAAGTAATGTCCCTGTTTTAGTCTGTTTTGTGTTTCTGTAACAGAATACCACATATTGGGTAATTTATAAAGAAAAGAAACTTGTTTCTCACCATTCTGGAGGCTGTGAAGTCAAATATCAAGGTGCCAGCATCTTTCAAGACCTTTTTGCTGTGTCCTCCCATGGTGCAGAAGGTGAGAGCAAGAGAGGGTAAGAAGGTCAAATTCATCCTTTTATCAGGAACCCATTGCAGCATTTATCAGGAACCCATTGCAGCAATTATGGCATTAATCCATGCATAAGGGCTCTGCCCTCACGACCAAATCACTTCTTAAAAGTCCCCTCTCGACATTGTTGAATAGGGGATTAAGTTTCCAACACATGAACTTTGGGGGACACAAGTACAGAAGCTAGAACTGAACTTGTATCTACCAGTCAAAGCCATGTTCTTAACATTTACTTCATATTGTCTTAATATCAGATCCAGTGCTATTCACATTCATAGTCATATAGGCATTACAGTTTTTGATGAACAGTTTATAACTCCTTTTCATAAATATAAACTTTATATATTTATTGTATATTTATAGTTACAAGAGGGGGCTTCATGAGGTTCTATTATCTGTCACAAGTTGGGCTCTCTGGGAAGCAGACTCCAGTATGGGGTTCACATACAGGATGCTTACTAAGGAGTGCCCCAAACTGGGGAGAAGGGAGGTGAAGGAAGCAAGATGGGATGGAGATGGAGGGAGAAGCCATGCTGTGATGCAGGGCTGAGAGCAGCCTTGTCTGACCTCTAAAGTGGCCTTTATTACTTCCCTATTGCAGCTGTTAACAAATTAACACAACACAAATTTATTATCTTAACATGAAACATATTTATTATTGTACAGTTCTGGAGGGCGTAAATCAAAAATCAGTCTGAGTTAAACTGAAGGTGTTGGCAGGACCATGTTTTTTTCTGGAGATTGTGGCAGAGAATCACCTCTTTGCCTTTTCCAGCTGCTGGAGGCTGTTTGCCTTCTCTGACTCATGGTTCCTTCCTCCATCTTCAAAGCCAGCTGAATAGCATTTTTAAATCTCTCTCTGACTTGTTTCCCTTTTAAAATAACATTTTTAAATCTCTCTCTGACTTGATGCCCTTTTCTACCTCCCTCTGGATTATACTGGGCCCTCCTAGGTAATCCAGGATAACTTCTTTGTCTTAAATTCAGCTGATTAGCAACCATAATTCTATCAATAGCCTTAATTCTCCATTGCCACATAATATAATATACTCACAGGTTCCAGGGATCAGACTGTGGTTATATTTGGGAGAAGGTATTATTCTGCCTAACAATATCAGACTGTCCTTTACTGAAATGAAATGGCTCGGCTTATATACCTCTGCCTCAGTCACCCATTGAATATAGGACCCCATCCTACTGGATCCACGACCCAGGAAGGTTGTGACTGTGGGTAAGGTAACTGCAGCTGAGACAAAATCTGATAGACTGACAGCTGCAGGTTATCTTCTGAGAGCACTCCTAGCAGCTGGGCAACAAGTCCATTTTTTCTCTTAAATTAATTTGTTTATTTTACTTTTTTTATTTTTTATTTGTGGGTGGATAGTAGATATAGATTTATTTACTTATTTGTGAAGTGCATGACATATTTTGTTACAGGCATACAATATATAATAATCACATCAAGGTAAATGAGGTATCCATAACTTCAAGCATTTATCCTTTCTTTGTGCTACAAATGATCCAATTATGCTCTTTTAGTTACTTTTAAATATACAATAAATTATCACTGATTGTAGTCACCCTGTTATGCTATCACATACTAGATCATATTCATTTTATCTAACTATATTTTTGTACCCATTAATTATCCCCACTTACCCTACCCCCAACTATCCTTCCCAGCCTCTGGTAACCATCATTCTGCTCTCTATCTCCATGAATTAAATTGTTTTGATATTTAGCTCTCAAAAATACGTGAGAACACATGAAGTTTGTCTTTCTGTGCCTGGCATCTTTCACTTAACATCATGTTGTTAATTCATGTTCCGTCCATATTATTGCATATGACAGGATCTCATTCTATTTTATGGCTAAATAGCACTCTACTGTGTATATGGACCACATTTTCTTTATCCATTTATCTGTTGATGGACACTTAGATTGCTTCCAAATCTTGGCTATTGTGACTAGTGCCATAGTAAGCATGGGAGTGCAGATATCTCTTTGATATACTGATTTCCTTTCTTTTGGGTATGTACCCAGCAGTGGGATTGCTGGAACATATGGTAGTTCTATTTTTATTGATTTTAGGAACTTCCAAGCTGTTCTCCATTGTAGTTTTACTAATTTACATTCCCACCAAAAGTGTATGACGGTTCCCTTTTCTCTATATTCTCACCAGCATTCATTATTGCCTGTCTTTTGAATAGAAGCCATTTAACTGTGGTGAGATGATATCTCATTGTAGTTTTCATTTGCATTTCTCTGATGATCAGTGATGTTAAGCACCTTTTAATATACCTGTTTGCCATTTGTATGTCTTCTTTTGTAAGATATCTATTCACACCTTTGGCTATTTTTAAATAGGATCATTAGTTTTTTTCCCTATTGAGTTGTTTGAGCTCCTTATATATTCTGGTTATTAACCTCTTGTCAGATGGCTAGTTTGCATATTTTCTCCCATTCTGTGGATTGTCTTTACCCTTTGTTGATTGTTTCCTTTGCCACGCAGAAGTCTTTTAATTTGATATGATCCCATTTGTCCATTTTTGCTCTGGTTGCCTGTGCTTGTGGGGTATTACTCAATAAATCTTTGCCCAGATCAATGTCTTCGAGAGTTTCCCAACATTTTCTTTTAGGAGTTTCATAGTTGGAGGTCTTAGATTTAAGTCTGTAAGCCATTTTGATTTGATTTTTGTATATGGTAAAACATAAGGGTCTAGTTTCATTCTTCTGCATATGGATATCCAGTTTTCCCAGCACAATTTATTGAAGAGACTGTCTTTTCCCCAAAGTATATTCTTGGCATCTTTGTCGAAACTGAGTTCACTGTAGATGTATGGATTTATTTCTCACTTCTCGATTCTGTTCCACTGATCTACATGTCTCTTTTTATATTAGTACCATGCTATTTGGTTACTACAGCTCTGTAGTATACTTTGAAGTCAGGTAATGTAATTCATCCAGTTTTGTTCCTTTTGCCCAGGATAGCTTTGGCTATTCTGGATCTTTTATGGTTCCATATATATTTTAGGATTGTTTTTTCTATTTCTGTGAAGAATGCCATTGGTATTGTGATAGGGATTGCATTGAATCTGTAGATTGTTTTGGGTAGTATGGACATTTTAACAACATTGATTATTCCAATCCATGAACATGAAATATCTTTCCATTTTTGGTGCCGTCTTCAATTTCTTTTTTCAATGTTTTATAGTTTTCATTGTAGAGATTCTTCACTTCTTTGGTTACGTTTATTCCTAGGTATTTTATTTGTAGTTATTGTATATAGGATTACTTTTAAAATTTATTTTTCAGATCGTTCATTGTTGGCATATAGAAATGCTATTGATTTTTGTATGTTGATTTTGTATCCTGCAACTTTACTGAATTTTTTTCATCAGTTCTAATAGGTTTTTGTGGAGCCTTTAGGCTTTTCCAAATACAAGATTATATTATCTGCAAACAAGGATAATTTGACTTCTTCCTTTCCAATTTGGATGCCCTTTATTTCTTTCTCTTGTCTGATTCCTCTAGCTAGGACTTCTAGGACTGTGTTGAATAACAGTGGTGACAGTGGGCATACTTGTTTTGTTCCAGATCTTACAGGAAGGGCTTTCAGTATTCTCCATTCAGTGTGATATTAGCTGTGGGTCTGTTGTATACGGCTTTTCTTATGTTGAAGTATGTTCCTTCTATTCTGTTTTTCAAGGTTTTTTTTTTATCATAAAAGGATGTTGAATTTTATCAAATGCTTTTTCATCATCAGTTGAAATGATCACATGGTTTTTGTCCTTCATTCTGTTGATATGATGTACTACATTGATTGACTTGCAAATGTTCAACCATCCTTGCATCTTGGGATAAATACTGCTTGGTCATGATGAATGAACTTTTTGATGTGTTGCTGAATTTAATATGCTAGTATTTTGTTCAGGATTTTTGCATCAATGTTCATCAGGGATATTGGCCTGCAGTTTTCCTTTTTTGATGTCTTTGTCTGGTTTTGGTATCAGAGTAATACTGGCTTTGTAGAATGAGTTTGGAAGTATTCCCTCCTCTTTCTTTTTTCAGAATAGTTTGTGTAGGATTGGTATTAGTTCTTTAAATGTTTGGTACAATTCTGCTCTGAACCCATTGGGTCCTGGGCTTTTCTTTAATGATAGACTTTTTATTATGGCTTAAATGTTATTACCTGTTGGTTATTGGTTTGCTTAGGTTTGCAGTTTCTTCATGGTTGAATCTTAGCAGTTGCATGTGTCTAGGAATTTATCCATTTCTCCTACATTTTCCAATTTTTTCGCATATAGTTGTTCATGGTAGCCTCTAATGAGCCTTTGAATTTCTGCAGTGTTGGTAATAATCTCTGATTTTATTTATTTGAGTCTTCTCTCTTTTTCTTAGTCTGGCTAAAGGTTTGTTGATGTTGTTTATCTTTTCAAAAAACCAACTTTTTGTTTGTTGATCTTTTGTATTTTTTTTGTTTCAGTTTCATGTATTTCTGCTCTGATCTTTATGATTTATTTTCTTCTACTAAGTTAGGGTTTTATTTACTCTTGCTTTTCTAGCTCTTTAAGATATATTGTTAGGTTGTTTATTTGAAGTTTTTCCAGTTTTTTGATGTAGGTGCTTATTGCTATATACTTTCCTCTTAGTACCACTTTCCCTGTATCCCACAGGTTTTGGTATGCTGTGTTTCCATTTACATTTGTTTCAAGAAATTTTAAAAATGTCCTTCTTAAATTATTCACTGACCCACTGATCATTCAAGAGCATATTGTTTGATTTCCAATCATTTGTATAGTTTCCAAAATTCCTCTTGTTATTGATTTCTGGTTTTATTCCATTGTGGTCAGAGAAGATATTTGATATAATTTAATATCCATGAATTTTTAAAGACTACTTTTGTGGCCTAACATATAGTCTATCCATGAGAATGATTCCTGGGGTGAGGAGAAGGATGTATATTCTGCAGCCATTAGATGAAATGTTCTCTAAATATCTATTAGGTCCATTTGGTCTATACTGCAGATTAAGTCCAATGCTTCTTTGTTGATTTTCTGTCTAGATGATCTGTCCAATCCTAAAAGTGGGGTGTTGAAGTCTCTAGCTATTATGGTATTTGGGTCTCTCTCTCCCTCTCTCACACACACACTCTCTCTCTCAAGCTCTAATAGTATTTGCTTTATCTATCTGGGTGCTCCAGTATTGGGTGTACATATATTTACAATTGTTGTATCCTCTTGCTGAATTGGCCCCCTTGTCATAATATAATGACCTTCTTTGTGTTCTTACAGTTTTTGTCTTGAAATCTATTTTGCCTTATATAAGTATAGCTACTTCTGCTTTTTTTGTTTGTTTGTTTCCATTGGCATGAAATATCTTTTCTATCCATTTATTCTCAGTCTATGGGTGTCTTTATAAGTGAAGTGTGTTTCCTGTAGGCAACAGATCATTGGATCTTCTTTTTTTTTTATCCATTTGGCCACTCTATGTCTTTTGAATGGAAGGTTTAGTCCATTTATATTCAATGTTATTATTGATATGTAAGGACTTACTCCTGCCATTTCATTATTTGTTTTCTGGTTGATTTTGGTCTTGTCTAGCTTCTTTCTTTCCTCTCTATCTTCCTTTTAGTGCACGTGATTTTCTCTGGTGGTATATTTTAATTTCTTGCTTTTACTTTTTGTATATCTGCTGTATGTCTTTCAGTTTAAGGTTACCATAAGGCTTGCAAATAATATCTTATAACCCATTATTTTAAACTGTTGACAACTTTGACTGCATAAACAAACTTACAAATAAGCAAAGCAAAAACTAATAAAAACTCTATACTTTAATCCCCTGCTTTTTAACTTTTTTGCTGCTTCTATTTATATCTTGTTATACTGTCTGTGCCTTAAAAAGTCATAGTTATTATTTCTGATAGGTTCATCTTTTAGTCTTTCTACTCAAAACATGAGTACTTTACACACTACAATTACAGTGTTTTAATATTCTGTTTTTCTGTGTACTTACTATTACCAGTGAGTTTTGTAATACTTCAGATGATTTCTCATTGTTCATTAATATCCTTTTCTTTCAGATTGAAGAACTCCCTTTACCGTTTCTTCTAGGACATGTTTTGTGTTTTAATGAAATCCCTCAGCTTCTGTTTGTCTCAGAGAGTCTTTATTTCTCCTTCATGTTTTACTGGATATACTATTGTAGGACAACAATTTTTATCCTTCAGCAGTCATGTCACTCTCTCCTGGCCTGTAAGGTGTCCACTGAGAAGTCTGTTGCCAGACATATTGGACTCCATTGTATGTTATTTGTTTCTTTTCTCTTGCTGCTTTTAGGATCCTTTCTTTATCCTTAACCTTTGGGAGTTTAATTATTAAATGCCTTCAGGTAGTCTTCTTTGGGTTAAATCGGCTAGATGTTCTACAACATTCTTGTATTTGAATGTTAATATCTTTCTCTAGGTTTGGGAAATTCACTGTTATTATCCTTGTGAATAAACTCGTTACCCCAATATCTCTCTCTCTCTTTCTATACCTTCTCTTTAAGGCCAATAACTTTTAGATTTTCCCTTTTGAGGCTATTTTCTATATCCTGTAAATGTTCTCCATCATTTCTTATTCTTTTTTATTTTGTCTCCTTGGACTGTGTATCTTCAAATAGTTCTGTCTTCAAGCTCACTAATTTTTTCTTCTACTTGATCAATTTTGCTAGTAAGAGACTCTGATATAGTCTTCAGTATGTCAATTGCTTTTTTCAACTCCAGAATGTCTGCTTGTTTTTAATTATCTTAATCTCTTTGTTAACTTATCGGATAGGATTCTGAATTCCTTCTCTGTGTTACCTTGTATTTTGCTGAGCTTCCTCAAAACAGCTATTGTGAATTCTCTTTTTGAAAGGTCACATATCCCTGTCTCTCTGGGACTGGTCCTTGGTGCCTTATTTAGTTAATTTCGTGAGGTTATGTTTTCCTGCATGATGCTTGTGGATGTTCATCAGTATCTGAGAATGAAGAGTTAGGCATTTATTGTAGTCTTCAGAGTCTGGGCTGGTTTATACCTGTTCTTGGGAAGGCTTTCCAAGTATTCAAAGGGATTTTGGTGTTGTTATCTAAGTCTTTCGTCACTGCAGCCATATTTGCATTAGGATGCACCCCAGTGCTCAGTAGCACTGTGACTCTTGCAGACTCACAGCAGACTCACAGAGGTACTGCCTTGGTGGTCTTGGGTAAGATCCAGGAGAATTCTTGGATTACCAGGCAGAGAGTCTTGTTTTCTTCCTTTAATTTCCCCCAAACAAATAAGAGTCTGTCTCTGTGCTGAGCTGTCTGGAGCTGAGGGAGAGGTGACACAAGCACCACTGCGGCCACAACCACTGGGACTGCACTGGGTCAGACCCACAGCACAGGGTCTCACCCAAGGCCCGCAGGGACCATTGCCTGGCTACCACACATGTTCACTCAAGGCCCAAGGGCTCTACAGTCAGTAGGCGGCAAATACAGCTAGGCTTGTGTCCTTCAGTGCAGCAAGTTCCACTCAGCCCCAGGTGGGTCCAGAGATGCCATCTGTGAACCAGGGCCTGGAACCAGGAACCTTAGGAATCTACCTGGTGCTCTATTCTACTGTAGCTGAGCTGGCACCCAGGTCATAAGACAAAGTCCTTCCTACTCTTCCCTCCCCTTTCCTCAAGCAGAGGAGTCTCTCCCCATGGCCACCACCACCCAGGCCCATAAGGAGTACTGCCTGGCTACCACAAGTTTTCATTCACGGCCCAAGGGCTCTTGAGTTAGCTTGTGATAAATGCTGCCAGGCCTAGGTGTCTCCCTTCAGGGAAGTGGCTTCCCTCTGGCCCAGGGCACATCCAAAAAATCCTGTCCAAGAGTCAAGACTTGGAATCAGGGACCCTGGGTATCTGCTTGCTGTATGCCACTATGGCTGAGCTGGTACCCAAGCTATATGACAAGGTCCTCTTATTATTCCCATTCCTTTCCTCAGACAAAAGGAGTCTCTCCTTTAGCTACCACAGCTGGGAAGGTGCTGGGTCACACCTGAAGCCAGCATGGTTCTGAGTCTCACCTAAGGCCCATGGCAAGTACAACCTGGCCACTACTGCTGATTTAGTCAGCCGGTGTTGAATCCTGCCAGGACTGGTAACTTCCCTTCAAGGCAGCAGGTCCCTTCTGTCCCAGGGTATATCTAGAAATGTCATCCAGGAGCTAGGGGGCCTCACAACTCTGCCTGGTGCTCTACCCTACTGTGGCTGAGCTAGTGTTGAGGTTGCAAGACAAGGTCTTCTTTACTGTTCCCTCTCCTCTCCCCAAGAAGGAGTCTCTCTTGAAGCTGTGAGCTGTGCCTCCTAAGGTTGGGGAGGGGTGATGCAAGCACTCCCTTGGTCATCCCAACTGTCTCACTAGGTCATGTATAACCCAAGTCCACTGGCTGTGAGCCCAGGTCAGCACCAAGATCTGCCCAGGAATTGCCATCCTTGTGGCTTATGTTGCCTTTCAAATTTATTTAGGGCCCCAGAGCTTTAGCCTGCAGTGATGGGGCTAGCTGGAACTCAGGTTCCAACTGCCGGAAGGGGTGATTCCCCCTGGCTAGGGTTGATCTAAATGCTCCCTCCAAGTATGCTAGCTGAGTTCTGCCCCATGTTTCCACAAAAAATAGGCATTCCCGTGACAAGGCAGCACTGAGTTCCGAAAGAAAGTCCCACTATCACTGCACTCTCCCTTCTCCAAATACACAGATTCTCTCTCCACACCAAATAGCTGCTGCCATGCAATGAGGGAGGGGTGGTGTAAGGGATTCAAGACTGTCTTTCTTTTCCTCTTAACAGTGCATGTTTCCTTAATATGATGTTAAAATCAGTTACTGCAATTACTCATCTGATTTTTGGTTCTTATGAAGTTACTTTTTTTGTGTAGGTAGTTGTTCAATTTGATGTTTCTGTGGAGGTGACAATTGCTAAAGGCTTCTAATCAGCCATCATGCTCTACCTACCCCAAAAAGTCCATTCTTGAAGGGAGAACTTGGTGGTGCACCTTAATGTTCATCACAGTTCATCTTGAGCTATTTGAATCCACTTCTTTGTGTATGTCTGGGAAGCAGCTCCTCTGTGATTCCAGTGGGCCTCTCTTTCTGGGGCACTCTTTTATTTTCATTTTTTTCTTTTCTTTTTAAATAGAGACAGGGTCTTGCTATGTTGCCCAGATTGGTCTCGAACTCCTGGGCTCAAGTGACCCTTCCACTTCAGCCTCTCAAAGTGCTGAGATTACAGGTGTGAGCCACTGCTCCTGGCCTCAGGGGCACTCTTAGAAGAGGAAGTTTATTGGGAAAAATAACAATCTCCATCACTGCTGTAGGTCTTAGGGCCCCAACTGATACTCATTGTTTCCCTCTTCCACTTGTAAAATGGGGGTAGTAGTATCACTTATTTCATAGAGGTATTACTAAATTCCAGGAAATAATGCAAAGCACACTGGACCACTGGGAAGAGCCCAGTGAAACATAGCCATTATAATTTTTAGTATTATAAAACTGGATAAGGCTGTACATCATGATATTTTTAAGACATTTATTGCTGGATATCAGATAACATCAGATCCTCCTTTTTAAATGTTTTCTATTTCTCTTTCTGGGTTCAGATATAGGAAGTTAGCCATACAGGGTTTAGATTCAAATCTCTGGAGAGGGGGCCTGGTATTTTCTTTGCGTACACAGCACCTCTTATTTTTAATGTGCTTGCATTTCTTCTTGGAACTAAAGGATGTGGCAAACACAATAGGGACTACATGAAGCAGGCTGAGTGTGTGCGGGGACATGCATCATCATCACTCTCTCAGTACCTCACATGATGATAGGCTTTCCAGCCACCTCTACCCTAGCTCTAGTAGGTGGGGCTGGCTATAAAGAGGAGTCTTATGCCTGTCAGGTGTTATATGTTGGTTGACTTTACATAATCCCTAGCTAAATATCATCTCTTGTAATGAACATAGGTATCTTGGATTTAAACTGAGCAACCATACTTTGTGAAGGATCAAACGGGTTTCTAATGAAGGAAACAGTGAGGCCAAGAACTCCAGAGAAAAGAGCTCCTTTCCAGCATCTTATGCCAAATCTTTAGGGCAGTGGTTTTCAGACTGCAGTTTGCAACCCATCAGTGAGTTGCAAAATTATTTTAGTAAGTGGTAGCCAGGCCTTTAAAAACATGAACTAGAGAAGAAAAATAAAACATGAACTAGAGAAACAGAAAATATCTGCATATATTTAACTTAGTACAATACTCCTTCCTTATCTGCAGTTTTGCTTTCCATGGTCAGCCATGGTCCACAAATCTTAAATGGAAAATTACAGAAATAAACAATTCGTAAGTTTTAAATTGTGCACAGTTCTGATGATGAAATCTTGCACTGCCCTGCTCTGTCCTGCCTGAGAAGTGAATCCTCCCTTTGTCAGGGTATCCACATTGTATACACTACTCACCCATTAGTCACTTAGCCGTCTAGGTTATCAGATCGACTGTCATGGTATCACAGTGCTTGTGTTCAAGCAATCCTTATTTTATTTAATAATGGCCCCAAAGTGCAAGAATAGGGATGCTGGCAATTTGGATATGCCAAAGTGAAGCGGTAAAGTGCTTCGTTTAAGTGAAAAGGTAAAAGTTCTCAATTTAGGGAATGAAAACAAAAATCATATGCTGAGGTTGCAAAGATCTACAGTAAAAATGAATCTTCTATTCATGAAATTGTGAATAGTATACTGTTATTGTTGTTTTATTTTATTACTAGTTATTGCTGTTAATCTTTTACTGTGTCTGATTTATAAATTAAACTTTATCATAGGTATGTATTTATAGAAAAAGCAAAATGTATATGGGTTCAATACTATCCTCAGTCTTAGGCATCCACTGGGGCTCTTGGAATGTTATCCTCACAGGACTTGCAGTGTCACATATTGTTTCATAAAACCTTTTCATTTATGCATGTATTTTTTCTGGACACAATAAAAACAGTGTATATCTGGTTGTGTATCTGTCTAACACGCACTGCTCTAGGGGAAAGATACTTATAGCAAGAACAATCACCTTGACACTCTTAGCTCAGAAGCTTTATTTTTCTTTCCTTACTTTTGATCAGGAATGACTTGCCCTTATTTCTCTCTATTTCATTCACCTTCTATTCAGTATACTTGGGGTGATTGGGAAGGAATCCATTTTATTTCTGTACCTCCCATTCTCTTTCTTATTTCCAGGGTGTTCTCCTGGTGGACCAAGAAGGCTAACCTGCTTCATTTATCTCCTCTACCAGGCAAAGCAGTCAGAGTGAGTTAGGCTGCTGAGTTCTGGGAGGGGATTGGAGCAGGGTTTTTATCTTAGATGGGTGGAGCCAGTGAATAAACTATTGGAAATCTCATTTGGATTCTCAAATCTAAGAAGTCAGGTAGACATCTGGAGTCAATGTGCAGAGGCAAACAGTGTCAGAGACAAATGTGGCTTGATCTTCCAGTGCTGAGATGGGATGAGGGGAGGCACAAGGGAAGAATTTCTCAAGTGAGGAACACCCCCAAGAATGCCTCGTGATTTGAAAATGAGAACAGCTGAAAAGTTGTAAGTTATTTCATTATCTACTGACTTATATATATTTTAAGTATACCCAAAAGGAGACAATAGGAGTGTGGGCTACACAGGGTATCCAGTTCTGAATTGTATAGCTAACAATTGTGCATTTCAATGTATATACATTTTACTTTAAAATGATAATAATTGAGTAAGGGTGGGAAGCATGTGGAGGTACACCTGGGTCAAGGATGGCAGACTGTTGAGGCTAGATGATGGGTACATGGAGATTCATTATCCTCTTTTTTTTTTTTTTTTTTTTGAGACAGAGTCTTGCTTTGCTACCCAGGCTGGAATGTAGTGGCACGATCTCGGCTCACTGCAACCTCCACCGCCCGAGTTCAAGTGATTCTCCTGCCTCAGCCTCGCGAGTAGCTGGGATTACAGGCATGAGCCACCATGGCCGACAAATTATTGTATTTTTAGTAGAGACAGGGTTTCACCATGTTGGCCAGGCTGGTCTTGAACTCCTGACCTCAGATGATCCACCCACCTCAGTGTCCCAAAGTGCTGGGATTACAGGCATGAGCCACCGCACCCGGCCACTATTCTCTTTACTTGAGATTGGAAATTTTCCAAAGTGCAAACTTGAAGAAAAGTCTCAAAATAGCTTTAATGCTCTTCCTTGTTATTAATCCAACCATGGACTGATAGTACCTTTTTTCCCATAATCTCAGACCAACATGGAAGCAATAAATGAGCTACACTGTTTCCACATTCTTGGCTCCTCTCAGCAGCCAAGTCCTGAAGTTGCAAGAACCATGATCTCCACACTGGGCAATCAGAAGGGATCCAAGAGATAGATACAGCGGCTTTGTATCTTAAGTATTTATTAAATCTAGCATTTGTCCATTGACCCCATAAATCTCTCTAATGTCAGGGACCTTCTCAAGAGTCTGCAAAGGTAAGAGACTGGTGCTTGTTTTATCAGTTGTGTGTTGATCGTTATGGAGACAATAAGATTGAACCTACCTAGAGGTTGCCTACATTTGTGAATTAATACAAAAGGTAGGGTGGTAACAGTTGGCAATTCAGTATATGTGACTTATTTGAAAAGGAAGCCACAAACCAATTTTTGAGACCCAACACAGCATGAAATGTGCAAAAGTGGTTGCCTAAGTCTCATAAATTAAAGAGTTGCTGGTGAGGAAGTGGCTTGCTTGACCACCTCTTTGCTAACTGGTCTAGACTGAGGGTGTGCTGCCAGAAGCTGATCTTGATATCTAATGATATGGGGCAGAACTGGAGCAATGATGTGAAATAGTGTCATAAAAAGTATTCTAGTCTTTGATCTTCATGTAACTATACAGTATTGGGCAATACACCCAGCCAAGGTATACTTTCACTTCCTCATTTGTAAAGTGATCCAGTTGAATTTCAAAGATTCCTTCTATTTCTAAAATTCTATCATTTATTTGCCATAGTTAAAATTTCACTTGCTCATTACTTTGGAGAATAAGCAATAAGTCAAAACTATCCTCTGCTCATGTGCTACCTAAGTCTTGACAAGGATTAGTCTCACAAACAGAGAGTAGTGGCCACTTCCATGCAGTGATTCAGGTCATAATGAGATGGAATCCCATTTGCAAACTCCTCACTAGCTATAGCATTTCCAGAAATTACATTACAAGAGCTTTATTTCTTTGCATTTTGGAGGTTCCTCTTTAAGACTCCTGTGTTAAAGTGGAAATGTCCCTGGAAGACTACTCAGTCCTTAGTATTGACTGAAAACTTTGTGGGAACAGTCTGTTAAATAGGTCTTATGGGCCAGAGGAGAGGAAGGGGCTGAAGAAGAGTGTGGAGGCATCAATGTGACTCCAGTGCACCTCTTGGGGCCCCATTACCCTGTGTGATGGACCAGTCATTACAGGGAAGGGAAGATGATGGGATTAAGTTTGGGGAATAGATTGGGGAGACTTGAGTCAGGTGGTGTCCACATGCATCTTAGCACATAACTCTGAAGTCCCTGACATCTCTGTTATGAATGTTTGTGTCCCCACCCCCCTAATTCATATATTAAAGACCTAACCTCCAATGTGAAGGTACTTGAGCATGGGAAGGTAATTAGTGCTAGTTGAGAGACTCAAGTTGAGACACTTGAGTGTGCGGGACACTCAAGACAGGATTGGTGCCCTTTTAAGAGAAGACATGAGAGAGTAAGCTGTCTGAGTGCAAGCACTAAGAAAAGGCCATGTAAGCACACAGCAAGTGGGCAGCCATCTGCAAGCCAGGAAAAGGGCTCTCTATAGAAAATGAACTTTCCCAGACTTTGGTCTTGGACTTTTCAGCCCTCAGAACTGCTGAAAATAAATTTCTGTTGTTTTAAGCCACCCAGTCTATGGTATTTTGTCATGGCAGCCTGAGGTGACTAATATAATCTTCTTTTAATCATGTGGTCTCTTTCCTTTTCAGTGTTAGTTGTGAGTCAATTTGCCAAATTAAACATGAAAGAAATGTCCCCAAAACATCTGCCAAGGGAGTATTCCTGAACAGTATTCCTCCCTGACCAAATGCCAGTCTGGTTTTTCTTTGTTGCTGTTGCTGGAGTTGACTACTTTTGGATGATCCAATCAAACCAGGTAGTTGCATGTCCTGAAAGAACACTTCTTTCTTAACCTATCCCAAATGCGTAAGTAGGTTTACTAACTTGATACAGTTTGGGGCTAGAAAGACTCTTAACGATTTTTTTAAAAAATTGTCAACATTTTCAAACATACCCCAAAGTAAAAAGAATAGTATAAAGAAGACCAGTATAACCATCACAACAATTCAGTGATTACCACAATTTTGCTTGTGAATATTTTGAAGAAAAATATCAGTAAGAAATAAAGTACTATATTTACGAAATACTAAGTGTGCCCTGGGGAAAATAAAATCCTTATTTTGTGGGATATGAATACACTGTCAAGCAACGGAAAAATGTATTCAATTCCTCTTTAGCTATCTGCATGGGTAAATTTTGCCTATGGTTTAAAAACTGAATCCTTTCATAAAACAGAAACATTAAATATTTAGCAATAATCTTTTTGTTTTCAGTGGGTTTTTGATGTTCTCTTCAGAGGGTCCCAGGAGACAACTCCATGAATAGACTCTCCCTCTTCGTCTCTGAGTTCTTCTTAAAAGTCTCCTGAAGGAGAAACTTAGGGGTCTTCATTCTCCCAGTTCTGCAGCGTCCTCTCATAAATTCTCACCTGATTCTTTTTACTACTACAGTTAAATTCTTTAAAGTGTCATCATTTCTACTCTTGATTTTTAAAATCCTACTCTTGATGCATCCCAAGGGCATGGTTTCCTTAAAATTCCATAAGGACATATGCCAACGGACAAATTTATATCCCTCCTGTCTTCAAAACCATGCAATGGTTCCACTTCCCAGTAGGTAAATTTCCTCTGCTATCTGACCATAGACTAGATCCACATTGATCATTTAGTGTCACTGCTTTCTTCTTTGGTCCCTTCAACCTGCCTTTCCATGTTCTCAATGAGGGGCTTTCGAGATTGTGACATGCTACTTTCTCTTATATACTACTCCTTTGCTTAGAAAATTCTTTCCCGTGGGCTGGGCGTGGTGGTTCATGCCTGTAATACCAGCACTTTGGGAGGCCGAGGCTGGTGGATCACAAGGTCAGGAGATCGAGACCATCCTGGCTAACACAGTGAAACCCTGTCTTTACTAAAAATACAAAAAAATTAGCTGGATGTGGTGGCAGGCACCTGTAGTCCTTGTTGCTTGGGAGGCTGAGGCAGGAGAATGGCATGAACCCAGGAGATGGAGCTTGCAGTGAGCTGTGATGGCACCACTGCACTCCAGCCTGGGCAACAGAGCAAGACTCTGTTTCAAAAAAAAAAAAAAGTTCTTCCCTGTGAGCTTTTCCAAACCTTTTCTTCCTATTTTCCTAAGCAATCCTTTAAATTGCATCTCCTTTATAAATCAAATAAGCAAGACGTCCTGGAAGAGATGGTTTTCCTCCTCTTCTCAGTCATCCCCAACATAAGATAGCAATTGCTCAGTGAGTTACACAATGTATTTGCTGACCTACTGTGTTCACATTTTTGGACTGAGCTTTTAGTGTTTGGGAGATGGTTTAAGGATGTTCTAGACGTTTTTGAGGCACATTCTGTAAAAACAGTCATTTAAATTTTAAGCTCCAAGATCTAACAGACTATTTCTATTTACATTTTTTATTTATGGATGTTGAATAAATTAGTGTTTGATATTTTTTGTAGTGATTGGGATATCCTATCACATGAGAGTGGGTAAGAAGAGCAAGAATAAAAACTAGTTGATAGCCTGTTCCAGAGAGTCTTATTTTTATTATTTTAAAATATGAACATTGCCTCCTATTAACCTCATTGCTGCCATCTCCCTTATTAAAATGAAAATGTCCCTGGAAGGGATTACTACTGTTAATACAATACTTCATAGAAGCCGTTTATGAAAATCAATGACGGTCAAGACCTAGAACCATAAGCAAAAGATAGCTTTCTAGTGTCACCTTGTGGCTAACCATATTAATATACATTGAAGCTGATTAATGTGTAGACAGGTAGACACATATACAGGGTATAGAAAAATACCAATTTTTGGCATCTATATTATGATATGTATATAAAATGATAGCGCTGGAAGTAGTTTTACAATTACTTAAGTACAAATTTTATTCCATAGATTTAGATATGAAAGAACTTAGTTTCTCTGTAATTAACCTCAGTTAATTCAGGGGCTGCCACTCTTGCCTAGGCTTGCTTTTAAGTTCTGGGGGACTTACGGAGTATCAAGGCATCAGTAAGTGTGGGAAAGAGTTTCTGATCCTTGGTGGTCAAACAACATAAGTCACCGTTAAGTCATTCATTGCTTATTCTCAACTGTGCGATTCCTTCAGGTCTGGCATATCTCTGCCAATTCTGGACACCTCTTGGGCACCAGGAACCCTTTGCTGCTCTATACCACACTGCGCCTCACCTGCCTAGGCACACCACACTACCTTCTTTCCTGAGCTGCCTCTCTGGCCTTCCCTTGGGAAAGTAGCACAGGCCATTCTGTTCCAGGATCTCCCACACCATTCAGGGTTTTTGTTTTGTTCTCCCCAAGAGAAGCAGGGCTCAGGATCCTTTTTGGCAACTTACTGGTGTATTACTATGTGACTTTTTCCAGTTCCAGAGAACCGAAACCAACTTAAGACAATATTTCCCCAAATAATAACCCCTAAATGACCTGGCTGAACAAGAGAGAAAGGGATGGAGGGCTGGCAAAGTAGGGGTGATGAGGGGGCAAAGGGTGGGAGGAAATATCCCTAGCATCAATAATAAAATCATGTTGGTTATATTTTAAGACTTTATTACTCTACCAGGTCAATTTTATAGATGAGAAGAGAGCAGTCTCCAGACCACTGTGCTGTGGCATGCTCGTATGCCACAAGTTGTTTACAGGCATATCAAGATGTTGATGACCCCAGTTCTTAGGCAACTGGGTACAAACTGGAACGGGTGAAGCTAGTTCTTTCAGCCTAGTCACTTATGCCCAAGATCAGCCTTATCATTGTACAAATATATTAGTCAGAATAAGCTAACTCTTTGTATCAGTTATCTACTGCTGTGTAAGAAACCCAACCTAAAACTTAGTGGCTTACAGCAATATTCATTTTATTTGTTTATGTGTTCTGTGGGTCAACAGTTTGGACTATGTTTAGCTAGGTGGTTTTGCTAATCTTGCTTTGGGTTGCTTACAGAGTTGTGGTCATCCAGCAGCTTTTCTAAGACTAGACTTTCCATTATGGCCTTTTTCACGTCTTGCCCTTGGTGCTGGTGGATGATTGGGCCATAGTTGTCAGTGGGCTAGCCTAAGCTTCTTTACTTTGTGGAAGAAGAATTCTCAGCAGCAAAACAGGCTAAGCCTTAATGCACAAACACCTTTCAAGCCCCTGCTTATCTCGTATTTGCTGATGTCCCAATGGCCAAAGCAAGTTACATAGCCAAAGACAGAGTCCATGTGGGAAGGAAGAATACAAGGGTGTGAACAGAGGAATGTGTGATTCATCAAAGGCCATACCTTTGATGAATTCAACAATTTACCATAATGTTACAAAAAAAAATCTTCCCAAATCTCAGCAGTTTACCACAACTAAGAATTATTTCTTACCCATGTCATATTCCAATGTGGGTTGGTGAGGACACTCTATCACACTCGTTCAGGGAATCGGGAACCTGTTATCTATCTAGTGGTTCCACCGTTGTCTAAGAACTTCCAGAAGACCAGGAAAGACAGAGAAGGGAAGATTCAAGGAAGGTGTTATAGACCAATCCTGGAAGTGGTATACATCAGTTCCAGCAACATTCCAATGGCCGGAACTCAGCCATGTGGCCCCCAGCTAACTGCAGGAGAGTTGGGAAATATAATGCCTAGGAAGAAAAGATACTTCTTGTCACCAAATATTCCGCCCCCTTCTTACCACACACAGAATACACATATACCCTCCCCAGACACCTGGAATTCTATCTAGTCACTGCATCCAGGATCTGTTGTTGATACACAGTCCTCTTTATTAGATCCAGATGTATATCCTCATTGCCAGGTAACTCATGAACTATGTAAATATGTACTACATACCTGCCCCCACTCAGCTACCCTGTGTAGCGTGATAGAGCAAGGGTGGCATACTTGCATTAAAATCTCCCATTCAGAAAAGGGAAGAATGCAAGACACACAACAGTGGCTCATTCTTTAGTATATGTATTTTTTATGATATTTTTCCAAATATTGCATGGGAAATATATACACTAAAAATTATTCGTTTATCTGAAATGCAAATTATTAAGCATTCTGTATTTTTATTTGCTAAATCTGGCAACCCTCCTCCCACTAAAATATAAACTCCATGAAGGTAGGAACCTTGGCTCTCTGGTTCTCCAATGTACATCGAAGGCGTGGCATAATGCCAGGTCCACAGTAGAAGCCCATACATGCTTACTGCAGGAATTAATGAAGGACTAAACGAAGTAGCAAGTGAGTGAATAAGAAGATGAGGAGCGACCCTTGGTGGGCGGCGCGGGAAGAGAACCGCACCATAGCTCCGCAGACAGCCTCCTTTAGGCGCGCAGCGGCGGCCGCGCTGAGGTCACGGGCGCCGGCCCTGGTGACGTCATTACGCCCGCGCTCCTCGCCTGGCCGTGATATCAATGGCGCAGGCTTCACTTCTGCTGTGGCGGTGACTGAGGCCTTTCTGGTGACCTCAGCCCAACACAGGCCGTCTCCGGAGCTTCCCGGTAGTGGCCCCGGATTCCCACGGTCTTTGTCATTGGCTGTCAGCTAGCAGGCCTGGCCGCTCCCGTGCGGAGAGACCATCTCTTCAGGGCAATGTCCAGGCCGAGCAGCGTCTCCCCGCGGCAGCCGGCTCCTGGCGGTGGCGGAGGCGGCGGCCCCTCGCCTTGTGGCCCTGGGGGCGGCGGCCGGGCCAAGGGGCTGAAGGACATTCGCATTGATGAGGAGGTGAAGATCGCAGTCAATATCGCGCTGGAGCGCTTCCGATACGGGGACCAGAGAGGTGAGGTTCCGGACAGGGACCATGCTGGCAGTCAGGATACCCCCCTCACCCCAGCGCCCCCCAAACGGCGGCCCACCGAGTGATGGGGGTGCCTCCGAAGAGGGAGGGAAGACCCGGGCCACCGTCCGGGGCGGGCCTCAGCGGCGGCACCCGGGTCTGGAACGCGGCTGTTGGCCCTGCGGTGGAATGCGAGGTGCTCTGCGGATCAATGGGGTTATGGGCACTTTGCTCCCTAGCTGAAAGTGTTTTTCCCCCGCGTCTTTCAGCAGCCTTGGGCGGTTAAGCCACCGTGTTTCAGATATTGGTTAGCCCTAACCCTTTTTAAGGGGGTGTCACCTAATTGTGGCACGTTTAAGCTACAGATGTAGAAGAGCAGAAAGAAATCAAACATATAAATAAATGCACCAGCAATACGTTTGGACCCTGAAGCATCACGCTACCCACTTAAATTAAACTTGTTTGGCACACGAAGCATCTTCCACACCTCTTGAGGTTAGATAGCCACTTGTCTTGGGTCATATAATGCAGAACCAGCAACTGACCTGCGGTGACCTGTGCAGTCTGTTGAGGGCTCATTCGGACCTGCTGGCTTAGTTAGGGGACCTCTTACTCTGGAATCTTATAGTCCAAAACGGGGAATGTTCTAGACAGAGAGATTCTAAATTCACATTAAAAAAAGAGAAAGCCTCAGCAATATATAACAAATCCCTCTGAAATAGTGAAATACGAATTCTGTACAGTTTTGAAAGCAAAGACAATGGAGTTTCATGTTGAGAATTCATAATATTTGAACATATCTCATCATTGAAGAAAATAAACATTTTGTTAACTAAACAAGTAGGGACCAAGTTAAATATGTTCAGTCATTATACCAACTCAAAATTCCAGAACAAGTAAGAGGAGTCGTTTTTGGTGAATATCAGAGGCCTTTATCACATTTAGGTTTAATACATAGCTGTCTTTTTATTAATATCAGAATTCTGATAGACATTCAGTAGTTATTGAATTAATAAAATATCTTAATTTTATTAATTTACATAAATAGAATATGAAATATAAAGTTAACCTCAAATAAAGTATAATAAATTTGATTGTCTATGTATGTTTTTCATATTTTGTATCTGTGTGTTTTACTTGAGAGAAAATTGCCTATCTACAAATTTTACTACTTTGTTTTTTTTCCGTGTAGAAATGGAATTTCCTTCTTCTTTGACCAGTACTGAAAGAGCCTTTATTCATCGACTCAGTCAGTCTCTTGGTTTGGTCTCTAAAAGTAAAGGGTAAGCTGGTAGCTTTTCTTATTTTTTTTAAAAAAGATTATTTGCCCAAAAAAGGGAGAAACGTTTCTGAGTACATTTAAGTACTTATTACTGTTTTAACTTCACATTCTTAATTGTATCATATGTAGATAAAAGATTCAGGTCTGTACCAAATTCAACTCTTTCCTCTTCCCTCTGTCTACCTCTTCCCCCCTTTTTTGTTTTGTTTTGTTTTTCCCTAGGAAAATGCTTTTTCTTCTACCCAGCTTAGGTTCCTTGGCTGGGACCCTGCAAATTAGACTGATAAAAGACATATTAACAAGAGAAAAACATAAGCTTATTAAGACATGCATCATGCATACATAGGGGAGAACTCGATAGTAACTCAAACATGGGGCTTATGTGGCATCTTAATAAAGAACAATGAATTTATTTAAAAAATGACAAGACAAAGGAAAAGGACTTTGAACTTGTAGGTGCAGTAAATTGTGGGAAGGTATATGTGGGGAAACTAATGGAAGATATGTGTTCTTTTAGCAAGGTTGGTTATGTAGGTTCCCCTGGTGCTGTCTCTATTAAGAGTCTAGAGTGGTTTCTCTTGTTAAGAATAGTCCTTCCCTTTCTGGTAAAGCAGGGGAAGGCGGAGTTTTTCTTATGTCTGCTTCTTCTCGATTGCCTTCAGCTCAAAATAATCCTTATGGCAGAGTGACATATTTTTGGGTGGCATACCGTGAACTCTTTCAAAGGTAAATTTTAAGATGTAAGAAAAAAATAGTTTAAAAGTTGAAGTTGATTGCTTGAGAAAAATATTTTTATTTTTTGATAGAAATCTCATTTGAAAAATGGATGTACAAAAGATAGTTGCAATTATTTATGGAACTTACTTCTTTTACTGTTACTGCAATATAATAATAAGCTTTAGAGCATATGTTCATTGTTTTCTTTCCTACCAAGTCAAGGATCTGATGATTAGAAATGATTTTAAAAAGTGGTACAGGAGGAAATTGTTTTGTTTTGTTGGGAGGATCACAGAGTTACATTGAGGGAAAAGTCATTTGAGCCATCCAAATTGAAAAACTCTAAAATTCTGTGGCGCTATTTCATTTTGTTAATAAGGATGGTGGGATCAATGTAAAGGAAGCTTTCTCACTGTTGGTGCTATTGACATTTTGGACTGGATAATTCTTTATTCTGTTTTGTGTACTGTAGGGTGTTTAACAGCATCCATAGCCATTACTACTACATGCCACTAACACTCCTAACCCCAGTTGTGACAACCAGAGATGCTTCTAGAGGTTGCCAAATGTCCTCTGGAGAGCAAAATTGCTCAGGTTGAGAACTACTGACATAGAGGGAAGAAAAGGATAAAATTTCAGCTTACCGGTATGTTTTTAGGTTAGGAAGAGGGAAAACAAAACTTTATTAAGTAAATATATTAATAAATATTCAGATGGTCCCAAAGTGAAAGCAGCTGATGTAGGAATGTCTTGCATATGACTGCCTACTACAGTGATAAATTACTGAGACACGGGATTTAGTTTAGGTGAATGTGCGTTTTGAACATCACTAAGGCCAGTGCTGGAACAGTGGTTAGATTCCTGAATGTGCCCATCTTATAGTCCACTAGGTAGGTAAAAATACTGCACCTGAAAATAAAAATATAGTTCAGTGCCACAATACTTTATCCAGAAACACTTGGGCTAAATATATTTGAGATTCAGATTTTTTAGACTTTAGAAAGGTATTTGGGTATATTTGCAATATGTTGTATAATCTACCTAATAAAATATGGCCATCACCTTTAGTCACATTTATATTTTTGCTGGAAATTCTATGAATATTCACACTGAGACTATTAATAACCTCATGTCAGTTTAATCACGTGATCACATTTGATGTCAAATGAGGTTACTGCAAACTTAAAAGTTTCCAGTTTTTGGCACTGTTTGGGTTTACTAGTTGCAGGTAAGAGGTTTTGGGCCTGTGCTTGGAAACACATGTTATAAATGTACAGTTCTGTAGCTACATCATTTCTATGGTTACATGGGTCTTGCATTCTAAACAGCTAACTTAGAAAAGCAGTCCATTAGAGTAGACTTCCTGTCCTTCTCTTCAGTAGCATAGTCATGTAAGAGCTGATCTGGAATGAATAGATATCTTGGGAAGGAGAATTCAAGAAGGAAGTTATGGAGACAAAAATGGGGAATGCGGAAACATTGAAGAGCCAGAGAAAGAAGAAAAAGGAAAGAGATGCTAAGGGAAGCAAGGCAATCCTGCCTATTTATCCAGTCCCTAATACCTATAACCTTAATGCTTTCAAACCTTCTTACGAAATACCCTAGCTCCTTCTCTCTTTTTTTCATCTTTGAGTAAACTTTGTACTATATTTTCTTAGTGGTCCTTGTGATTTTCAAATGCCTTTTCTTCTTTTCACAAAAAGAAAGAAATCACTTTGAATCTACTTCTCAAATCCTTTCTTTTCATTTGTATGAGAATTTGTACCTGACTTATCCATGAAATTTTCTGTTCACCCTTTGACTTTATTTTATTTTATTTTATTTTTTTGAGATGGAGTCTTGCTCTGTCACCCAGGCTGGAGTGCAGTGGTACAATCTCGGCTCACTGCAAGCTCCACCTCCCGGGTTCACGCCATTCTCCTGCCTCAGCCTCCCAAGTAGCTAGGACTACAGGCGCCCACCACCACGCCCGGCTAATTTTTTGTATTTTCAGTAGAGATGGGGTTTCACTGTGTTAGCCAGGATTGTCTAGATCTCCTGACCTCGTGATCTGCCCGCCTTGGCCTCCCAAAGTGCTGGGATTACAGGCGTGAGCCACTGCACCTGGCGTTTTTTTGTTTTTTTTTTTTTTTGGAGACAAGGTCTTGCTCTGTCACCCAGGCTTTAGTGCAGTGGAATGATGACGGCTCGCTGCTCACTGCAGCCTCCATCTCCCAGGCCCAATCAATCCTCTCACCTCAGCCTCTTGAGTAGCTGGTACTACAGGCATATGCTACCACACCCAACTAATTTTTCTATTTTTTGTAGAGGACAGCATCTCATTATGTTGCTCAGGATGGTCTTGAACTACTGGGCTCAAGCAATCCTCCCTCATTGGCCTCCCAAAGTACTAAGATTACAGACATGAGCCACTGGGCCCAGCCGATTTTTAAAAAAATAATCTATCGTTAACTTTATTGATTCAGTAAGTTAGTTTTCGTGTGTGTGTGTGTGTGTGTGTGTGTGTGTGTGTGTGTGTGTGTATCTGTAGGTGTCTGATATTATAGTTTCTTAGTACCTATTTGAGAGGCCACCTGGTGTAAAGTGCAGAAAGCCTGGATTCTATTTCCAGTCTCTCATTGACTCATTCTCTTATTTGGGCTTTTTATATAAGTTTTAAAAAATAGATTCCAGACTTATTGTGTGATAGCTTTCAATTTTTTTCTGGTCAATTTTTTCTTTTTGATACTCTTTCTTTCAAAATTATGTCATTTGTGATGGATTTTGTTTTTCATCTTCTAAATAATTGAATTTTACCTGCTTTGATTATTTTTATTTTTTAGAGACAGAGTCTTCCTCTGTTGTCCAGGCTGGAGTACAGTGGCACAATCATAGCTCAGTATGGCCTCAAACGCCTAGGCTCAGGCTTTCCTCGCAAGTAGATAGGACCACAGGCATGCACCACCATGCCTGGCTAATTTAAGATTTTTTTTTTTTTAGAGATGGGGTCTTGCTATGTTGCCCAGCCTGGTCTCAAACTCCTGGGCTCAAGTGATCCTCCTGCCTAGGCCGCCCAAAGTATTGGGATTATAGGCCTGAACTAGTGTGCCTTGGCGCTGTTTTGATTATTTTTTGTAATTGCTCATCTTTTAGTGAAAACATTCTTGGAGTAAAAGCCCCATTTTGTGATTTTTAATATATCCTAAAGTTTTCTTTGAAATTCTAGTCAGGTTTCACATACCAAAAATTTCACATCATTATTTACTTTTTTTCCTCAACTTTAAAGGTTGTGTTTAAAGTCACGCTGAGGTCAGTGTGTTTTAGTCCTAAAGGCTCACTTTTCTAAGTCTTTGGCTTGTTTATAATGAAAACAAAATCCCATCTCGATTTTTCTCAGTCCAAGTTAGACAAAAATGGATTTTACAAAATGAACTTTGTTAAAAATCTGTAGAATGGGAAAATATGAAGTATATGAAAGTAGATTTTCCAAGTACAAGTTTCTTCTGTGACTGCTAAGGTCACTGCCTAACAGGTACCAAATAGAGTACCAAAGTACAGTTCTGGAGGTCAGAAGTCCAACAACAGAGGTCCCATGGACTTAAAATCAAGATATCGGCAGGGCTGCATTCCTTGAGGAGGCAGGAGCAAACATTTACTAAGTGTTGTTGTATACTTGTGCTAGGTGCTTTAAATGGATTATCATTTAATCCTAACAATGGTTTTTTAAAAAATTCATTATATAAATTTAATCAAGATTAGAAATTTACTCACACAAATGCCATTCAGAGGTAATTTAAATCAAAGAGTCAATACACATAATTTCTTTTCTTTTTAATTTTATTTTACTTTAAGTTCTGGGATACATGTGCTGAATGTGCAGGTTTGTTACATAGGTATACATGTGCCCTGGTGGTTTGCTGCACCTATCAACTCATCAGCTAGGTTTTAAGCCCTGCATGCATTAGATATTAGTCCTAATGCTCTTCCTTTCCTTTCCCCCTAATCCCTGACAGGCCCCTGTGTGTGATGTTCCCCCGCTATGTCCATGTGTTCTCATTTTTCAACTGCCAGTTATGAGTGAGAACATGTAGTGTTTGGTTTTCTGTTCCTGTGTTAGTTTGCTGAGGATGATGGTTTCCAGCTTCATCGATGTCCCCGCAAAGGACATGAACTTACTCTTTTTTTATGGCTGCACAATAAACATAATTTTATTTTTACTTCAGTTTTTCCTGGAGAATCAAAGAGAGGGACACCTCCTGTTTTTTATGAAACTAGTATAACTTCGCTACCTAACTCAGATAAAGAAGATATTAGAAATGAAAATTATGGGTTTATCTTACTTATGATCATAGATGTAATATGCTAAATAAAATAAAAAATTAGGTCACATTTAAACTGGGTTTTCCCAAGAATAAAGGATTATTGAAAATAAAAGAATCTCTTTTTTTTTTTTTTCTTTAAATGAGAAGGAGTCAGCATTCTCATATTTGGATGAGGGCCTTTGGTTTGGTGCTGATTCATCTCTGGCCTGGTATTTACCACAAGGGAAAGGATAGACCTTGACCTGAAAGTGGATGACTCCCATGGCCTTAGTGCACTTTTTGTTCACAGAAGTGAGCAACAAGGACCAATGGTTCTTTCTTATACATTAAATGCAGCAGGATGTATGACAGAGCATGCCTCCATTTGTGTACTAGTGTGGATATAGTTTATTTTTCAACTTTTGAGTTCAGAGGTACATGTGCAGGTTTGTTACATAGGTAAGCATGAGTCAAGGGGGTTTGTTGTACAGATTATTTCATCACCCAGGATTAATCCTAGTACCCATTATTTTTCTTAATCCTCTCCCTCCTCCCATCCTTTACCCTCTGATAGACCCCAGTGCCTGTTGTTCACCTCTATGTGTCCATGTGTTTTCATCATTTAGCTCCTACTTACAAATGTGAGCATGCAGTATTTGGATTTCTGTTCTTGGGTTAGTTTGCTAAGGATAATGGCCTTCAGCTCCATCTGTGTTCCTGCAAAGGACATGGTCTCATTCTTTTGTATGGCTGCATAGTATTCCATGGTGTATATGTAGTACCACATTTTATTTATCCAGTCTACCATGGATCATAACAAGTTTTATAAGGCAGAGTCTATTTTAACACCTGGCACCTATATAACAGATGAGGCAATTAAAGCCTAGAGATGTTAAGTAATTTTCCTGAGATCACACAGCTAGCAAGTGGCAGAGCCAGGATTTGAACACAGTTAATACTTAACTAATTATTTTTTGATGTTCACATCAAGTTCATAGCAGTGTAGTAGGTGCTCTGAGGAGTTAGAACAGAAATATTGGATAGATCTCATCTTCAATTTAGCTTATAGTTCATTAAGACCAGAAAAATAGGCTGGGCGCAGTGGCTCATGCTGGTAATCCCAGCACTTTGGGAGGCCGAGGTGGGTGGATCACCTGAGGTCAGGAGTTCCAGACCAGCCTGACTAATATGGTGAAACCCCATCTCTCCTAAAAATACAAAAATTAGCCATGCATGGTGGCGGGCGGCTGTAGTCCCAGCTACTGGGGAGACTGAGACAGGAGAACTGCTTGAACCCAGGAGGCGGAGGTTGCAGTGAGCCGAGATCGTGCCACTGCACTCCAGCCTGGGTAGCAAAGCAAGACTCTGTCTCAAAAAAAAAAAAAGAAAAAAAACCCAGAAAAATAAATTTACTGTAGGCATAGTGACCATGCCTTGAAAGCAAAAAGCAAGACTCTGTCTCAAAAAAAAAAAAAAAAAGAAAAACCCAGAAAAATAAATTTACTATAGGCATAGTGACCATACCTTGAAAGCAGCTGTGCTCAGTTTGGCGACAACATGAAGTGAACTGGTTGGTTTATTAGTTTTTAGGTAATCATAAAAAAGTACAAATTAGTATGATGCAAACTTTACTACATTTCCAATTCTGTATTACAGTATTGGGGAGAAAGTGGTTTGGAGCTAGATCTTTGCATCTGTCTGCCTAATGGAAATATAAATTAAGGGAATATAAAATTAAGTACTTATTAGGCATCAAATGAATGCCTGTTTTTTTTGTTTTTTGTTTTTTTTTTTTTTGGTGGTGGTTGTTGTTTGTTTTTAAGAGACTCCTGGTGTCTGTGAGCTTTTTAAGCAGTCATTTGAGATTTGGGCTCTTCAGCTGATCTTTTAAACTGTTCTTAGATTTACAAGTAGGGAATATTGAAGCATATGTTTGTATTTGATTTAAATGTTTAGTAACATCCTTTTAAATTAGTAAATTGATTAATGTTAACATTGTGTCAAATTTGATTACTTATAGCATCATTTTTCTTTCAAAGGAAGAAGCCATTGAAATGCCAAAATGCATCGGTTACTTTTATTTTTCGAAAGTTAGGTGTTATGATGCTCTCAACTGTAATTTTATTACATTTACTTTTATATTTCAAAATTGCATATGGGGTTTACCTTTTATTTAAAAAACTCTTGTGAATTTCACTTAGCTAGCATCTTTTCCACATGTGCAGCTAGTTTTTAGTTAATTTTGCTTTGTATAAAAGATTCCTGTGTTTATCATCAAACCATAGTTTCGGTTATCTTGGAATGAAAGCATAATAAGGAGTTCTCAATTTGTTAGTTTACGTAGTATGACAAATTTCTACTGTATTTAATGTTTCCATCCTCACAACAATGAGGTGAATATTTTACCAAAAATTTCATTAATCCTTTTATGATATATCAGTGTCACTGTGGTGCTGACTGTGGTAGGAATAATCAGTAAAAGCACAAGTAGACTCCTTTACTAAAACATAAAAATGATCAAGTTGATATTATCTTTCCATTCTACCATATGTGCTCAAACTGAATTCAGTAAATTTTAAATGGTAATGGCTAAGTAGTCCCACCTGCTTATTATGAGGTTTTTTTTAATACCTAAATGCTATATTAGGTAACCTATGTTAGGAAGGTTTCAATCTAACTTATTATTTCAGTTGTGAGCTTGTTGAGAAAGGGTATATTTTACTCCATTTTGTATTCCTGGCTTCTACCACAGTGCCTGGCATAAAGTCAGTGTTTAGTTAATAGATGATAAATGATTGAGTGAATGAATAAAATACAATTAAAGGTGAAATATAGCAAAACCTTTCTGAGATGATTTTTAAGAAAATTAAAGCATCTTTGAGTTCTTAAAAATATGAAGTTTTTAAAATTAACAATTGTACAGTGTCAGAGAAGTAAAATGATTTGCCGTTGATCATGTAACTGCTTGAAAGTTTATTACTAGCTGAATACTAGCCTCCTACCATTTGCTCTGGTGCTCAGTTCAGCTCACTTCCTGCCTTTTGTAGTTAAAATTTTATGAAAT
Source organism: Homo sapiens (assembly GCF_000001405.40). Lineage (NCBI taxonomy): Eukaryota > Metazoa > Chordata > Mammalia > Primates > Hominidae > Homo > Homo sapiens. Next base: position 113,523,423 of record NC_000005.10, read on the forward strand.
GAACATCACAGAAGGGGAATGAATTATTGAGTCTATAATGACTGTCCTTTAGTTTCAGAAAGGTCCGTGGGAAAAGAACCTATTATAGAGAACATTTATGGAATTCAATAATTTGAATTTATCATGGAAATAAGTAAAACTTCTAGATCAGGTTAAATTTTATTTCATCTTTATAGCATCATTTTAAGTACCACCAAGTACTTTTTAAGGAGTAAATAACAACCTAGAAAGCTTAAAATTCATTGAAATATTCAATAAGGAGTTTCCAGAAATCAAAAACCTTGATAAATTGGAAGCCTCACTTAGAAAACTTATATGCTAAAACTGTATAGGTTAATCCCCAGTTTGATATCACTCTTATGGTGAAGATACTGTTGATAAAATTTACATCTAATGAAAATTAGAAAAATTATAAAATTTGCTTTGTAAATTATAAATTTTTCATTGTATTTATGGCTCTGTTGATTATTTCTATAATAGTGACATTAACAAATGGCAAAACATTTTATGAAATATTTTGGGTAACTTAAAATTTAAGAAATAGTATTGTTTCTGACTATAATAATAGTTTTCATTTATTTAGAGTCTACTCTGCAACAGATACTGCACTTTGCATGTATTATCTTAATCATATGAATAATCCTTTGAGATATATATTACTATTGTGTTGGGCTCAGAGCCATTAAGTAGTTTACCTGTAGTGCCACAACTAGTAAGTGGTAGAAGTGGGATTCAAGCTGAGGTCTGTGTGCCTTTGGAGCCTGAGCTCTTAATCAGTATTACACTGCTACATTATAGGCATGTATTATGAAATCATTCAAAACACATCTGGGAAATTCCTGGTATATAACACTATACCTACTACTCTTAGAGCCGCAGAAGTCATGAAAGATATGCTCAGTCCTGGACCAGTTGAGGAAACAATATACCTACAGTAAATAACTTGAACAGTTACAAATCATCATTACCTTATAATTGAAGAGTAGAACCAGAAGCTTTGAAAAATATTTTATTAAAAATGCATCTGAAATTATTTATCAGTAATGCTGATTTATGCTTTTTTGGTCCAACCATGAAACTTGGCTCTCTTAACAGGTTTTCATGGGAGTGTCTCATTACCAACATACTGTGGAAGCATTCACTGGGACATATTAGTCTGAACTATAGACCATAACTTTTTCATTATCATTTTTAGGTTCTATTGTTCAGATTGATTTTCCCCCTCTGTATGCTTCCCAGCATGTATCATATTAACTGGTGATGTTTCATCTACCATGAAGTCTGCTAAAGACAAACTTTAACACTTAAGGGTAAGTAAGCCTTTTTAGTGGACTTAAAATTGGATTTACAGCACTTGAAATTTTAATTGAAAATAGTTTTATGGCCACTTTAGCCCAAATCTTTCTTTACTGAATTTTTTTGGACTTTCAGCATCTTCTCCCAAAGCATTTTGATTTTTTTCAGTGTTTTGCTTGAGACATATTTTCTAAGTGGGCATACATCATATGTGAACAAGTTGACTTTATATAGTAAATAAATGATTTTTATTAATATTCAGAAAGGGAGCAAATAGATACCTAACTGTGAAGAAGAAAGATGGATCAGAAACAGCTCATGCAATGATGACCTGTAATTTGACTCATAATACAAAACATGCTGTTAGGAGCCTAATTCAAAGATTTCCTGTCACCAATAAAGAGCGTACAGAACTTCTGCCTAAAACAGAAAGAGGAAATGTGTTTGCAGTTGAAGCTGGTATGTATTTTCTGGGGAGCTTCCTCATTTACCCTATTATTTGATGACTGTTCTTTTTCCATTTTAGATTTATTTTCGAAAACCAAGATGAAATAAGATTTCTCAATTGGAATAGTTTGTTAGAAATGATTAAGAGTTGTAAAAATTTGAAACAAAGTGCAGTGTTAAAGCATGTCATTAAGTTGAACCAAGTTTTTTTTTTTAGTATTAATAATAATATCAATAGCTACCATTTACTGAGCATTAACTGTGTATGAGGCAGTATACAAAACCCTTTATATGGGGCCTCCTAGCAACCTTTGCAAGGTAAGAATTTCCCCTATTTCACAGGTGAAGAAACTGAGGCTTAGAGGAATTAAATAATTCATTCGAGGACACCAAACCAGCCAATAAACTGCAGAGCGGGTATTTGACTCCAGGGACTAGACTTTCCTATATTATGCTGCCATAACACACTAATAAGTGAGATTTTGAACTGGGGCTTTAGCTCTGGTAAGAGATTGGACAGAGTCTTCAGTACATTAAGTTGCTCAAAAGTAGGTAGATAATGTATTTGGGTTATAAAATAAAGATGTAATTTTACTATTTGGAAAGATCACTTCCCTATTAAGAAAACTATTTATTGCCTATAGTGATAAAATTTACATAGTTATTATTGTCTATTGGAATAGATCAGCAGAATATAGAAAATATGTGGTCCTAGATATCAAAGAACTTTCACTTTAAATATAGGCACACAAACATATTTTGAGCTACATGAATATAAAACATTTCATACCTCTTCTTTATTCCTATCTGTTTAGTTAAATGTGGATGTTGGCTAAAATACGCCATTAGGAAATTTGTTAACATTAGGACCTTTATATTTAACACATAATTATTCTATTTGATCACTTAATCTTACATGTATAGCATTAAACATATATGGGATATTTTCTTTTTTTTGTAATATGTTTTCGTAATGTACGTGACAGATCTTATAAGTATAATGTACATTATTTCCTACTACAAAAATTTAATTTTCCATGAAATTATTGATAGAAATTTATAACAAGCCTAAAAATCATCTAGATTATCAAGATTGTTTTATTTTTAATGGTTATTGAATGATTTATTTTTATCAATTTTTAAACATTATGTACCAGAAATATGTCTGAGGTTCACTTTCTAATTGATATTGAAATTTTGTAACATGTTCAATGAGAATATTATGTGTAAGAGTACAATTGAGATATTGCTTGACAACTTTATGTAGACTGAGTAGAGAAGAAAACATTTGAAAGGAATTATGTTAGAAATTATGTCTTTTGGCATGTTTTTCTAGGTTTGGCAAAAAAAATTACTTATTTTTAACACTTCTTTTTCCGTGTTGATCATACATTTTTTGTTCTTTTATTCATTTTCAAAGAAAACCGGGAAATGAGCAAGACAAGTGGGCGACTCAACAATGGCATACCTCAGATTCCAGTGAAAAGAGGAGAATCCGAATTTGATTCTTTTAGGCAGTCTTTACCAGTGTTTGAGAAACAGGAAGAAATTGTTAAAATAATTAAGGAAAATAAAGTAGTTTTGATTGTAGGAGAAACTGGGTCTGGAAAGACCACACAGGTTTGTTTCTTTTTTGTTGTTTATAGAAAAAAAAAAAAAAAATATATATATATATATATATATAGTCCCATATTATAATTTTATATCAAATTTACACTGCATATGTTTAAAAAAACAGAAAAAGAAACTTGTGGTTATTATAGTAATGGTTATTTCAGAAGTAAATTACTACTGGAATATATTTGGAGAATTTGTAGAAAGAAAATGTTTTAAATAATTTACTTATTTTTAAACTAGTGCATTAGGCCTTTATTTAAACAGAGTTGGGAAACTGATTTGGTATCATGGAAAGAAGATGGGCTTTGGCCTTGAATTTAGATTCCAGTTCCCTCAGTTATTGAAGTTCCAGGCTCTTTTTGTAACCTCTGTGAGCCAGAGTTCTCATTTATAAAATGGGACTAATCATTGCTACCTTTCACAGTGAGGTGTAGAGATTATCTCTGTAAAGTGCCTAGCATAGCATTTTGCATATAGGAACCAAAGTAAAAGCAGTAATAACAAATATTAATATAAAGTTGACTGTAGAATGGAATTAATATGATAGGTTTGACTTGCATTTTTAGAATCAAAGTACCTCCTTATGAAGTTTTACTCATAGGATAACAGATTGGAAGTAGTAAGTATGACATCATATGACTCTTGTGTACATTCTTGCGGCATTTCAGCTTAAAATTACTAAAATTAGTTTGCTTTTAATAGAGGTTCAGATAAAATAATAAATAGAATATTTGTAGGTTTTCTTCTTTTAGGGACATAATTTTGCTTTTGACAATTGCCTAAAATTTCCTGTGATTATATTGGTTAGTTTAATAGGCTTAGTAGATAAGGCAAGGTGGGAGGAGAAGTTGAGTATAAACTTTACCAGTTTTTTACTTGAAGGACTTAAACATTTTTACAGAATTATATCTGTTTATCCTTAAAACTTGATCCTGTAAAACTGAATAATTAAAAACATGATGAAATTTTTTTCTGAAGACTATACAAGATCTTTCTTTAGCATGAGTTTGTTTTTTATTTTTTTGAGACCAAGTCTCTGTCTGTCACCCAGGCTGGAGTGCAGTGGTGCTATCTCGGCTTACTGCAACCTCAGTGCCTCCCAGGTTCAAGCGATTCTCCTGGCTCAGCCTCCTGAGTAACTGGGATTACAGGCACCCGCCACCACGCCTGACCCAGCATGAGTGCTTTTATGATTAAGTGAAATTCCATGGAGTTACTCCAGAGAATTTGTTTAGCTGTCTTAGATTGTTATAATTTTTTTAGGGTGAGTAATTTTGCCATTAAGTATTAATTGTAGCAGTTCTAATTATATAGAATAGAGATTATGGAAGTTTCGATAAAATGTAATAAATAGGTCTTTGTTTAAATTATTTGAATGTCCTTGCTAATGATATCTATATATGAGAATTATGGATGCCTGTTTTCAACAGTTATGTGTATCATTTTACTAGATATGAAAGGATACTTGTGAATTTAATTCGTAAATATTATACTCTTTGCTTTTTAAGAAGAAACTGTTAATTTAATGAGTTCAAACCTGAGAAATAATTTTGTCCTATTTAAAGAGTTAATTAAAATACTAATGTTTTTATTCTTTGAAATATAAAACAGAATGTAAGTAGTATTTTATCTTGCCTTTAATGGTATTAGGAAGTTAAGTGCTTTTTGAATATTTTTTCTTATTTGTGTTCGTTGTGTGAAACTTGAACATTGTGGAAAATATTTTATAGAAGGTGGAAGATTTTTTTTTTTTCTTTTGCGACAGCGCTTCACTCTGTCGCCCAGGCTGGAGTGCAATGGCGTGCAGCCTCCACCTCCTGAGCTCCAGCAATTCTCCTCCCTCTGCCTCCCAAGTAGCTAGGACTATAGGTGCATGCCACTATGCCCAGCAAATTTTTAAATTTTTTGTAGAGACGAGGTTTCAACATGTTGCCGAGGCTGGTCTTTGACTCCTGGGCTCAAGCGATCCACCTGCCTTGGCCTCCCAAAGTACTGGGATTACAGGCATAAGCCACCATGCCTGGCCAGAAAATGAAAGATTTTAAATTCTCCTGCCACCCTGTGTCACTGCATTACTGTCAGAATCTCCAAATATATGCTCGTGGGTTTTTGTTTGTTTGTTTGTTTGTTTTTGGTGGTAGTGGTGGTGGGGGGTTTGTATGTTTTGTTTTTGTTCTCTTTACAGCATTGTTATATATTGGTTTTTTAACATAGGCTAAGAACACATAATTTTGCATCTTGATTTTTTTTTCACTTAACAGATTTGGATATTTTTCCAAGTCAGTGCCTATAGATATGCCTCATTGTCTAAACAACTGCATAGTATTCGTGAACATTTTTGTTATGATAATAAACATTGGTGAAAAATGACACTTTACTGTTTGCTGAGTTATGTAAGAGTTGTCTCATTTCAGCTTCTCAATAATTTCAAGACATGGAGGTTTTATCTTTTTACAGATGAGGAATACAAATTAAAATTTACGGATGTTAATCTACTCTAGTTAACATGGCTAAGAAGTGATAGAGTAGGAATCTTTCTCTTATATTGTACTTACTTGTATCCTAATATTTCTTTGCTTATTTGTAGGAATGTTTCAATAGGATAAATTTCCTAGAAGTGGAAATGCCAGATCAAGGATATGGCAGTTAAAAATTTTGATAGCTAGATTCACTGGTTATTGTTCCATCACTCTAAAAAAGAGTTAACATCTTTCTGTACTGAAAGTATTGAAAGTTCTTGTTTCTCTAAAGCTTGGGCAAGAATGGATATAATTATTTAAACATTTATCAAGCTGATAAGCTTGATAAATCATATTTTAACTTGCATTTTGTTGATTCTTAGTTATCTTTTATTTGCCTCTTATCTGTTTATCTTCTATGAGTTCCTTATTTTTATTCTTTTTGGCTTATTAATTTTTGATTTATTTTTTAGAGTGCTTTATTATATATTATAGATGCATGTCTGTTGACTGTTAAACATCTTAAAAATAATTTCTCCCAATTTTTTGTTTACTTTTTACCTTTGTTTATGGTATCTTGTTCAGTAGTTTTACATTTTTATTTAGTCAGATCTGTCAATATTTTTCTAGGGCTTTGGGGCATGTTAAGAGAGGCATTTCCTACCCTAAGATTAATGGACATTTTCTGTATTTATTTATGTAGAGGTGGGGTATCACTATGTTTCCCAGGCTGGAGTGCAGTGGCTATTCACAGAGTTGATTATAGCTCACTGTAGCCTTGAACTCTTGGCCTCAAGGGATCCTCCTGCTTCTGCCTCCTAAGTAGCTGGAACTATAGGTGCATACCACCACACCTGGCTCTTCCTATAAATATTTTATTCTAATAGTTTTATATTGTTTAAAAAATTCATCTGAAATTTATTTTATTGTATTATATCAGGTAGGAATTTTACTTTTTCTTCATGTTATTTCCAGCTCAAATATAACTTTTATTTAAAAATCTGTCCTTCCCCCGACCTCCCCTACCCAATTTAAGAGGCTATTTTTGACCAAATACTGTCTATAGTACCAGTGTCTATTTCTAAAATTTTTCTTATGTATCTTTAATCTCATTATCTCTTCCTGCACTAGGATTCTGCTTTTTGTTGTTTACAGTGTGAGCATAATATTCTTCTTCATTATATTTTACCTTTTTTAGTGGTTGCCCTAGAGTTTGCAGTATACATTCACAACTAAACCAAGTCCACTTTCAAATAACACTATACCACCTTACAGGTAGTGCGAGTACCTTAAATAACAAAATAACCCTAATTCCTCCCTCCTGTCCCTTGTATCATTGCTGTCATTCATTTCACTTATATGTAACCATACATAAACATACATGTACACACACATAAGATATATACATAATCAGCTACATTGTTGCTATTACTATTTTGAACCAATTGTTATGTGTTAGATCAATTAAGACTACAAAAAATAAAAGTTAAAAAAATTTTTTTTTTTTACCTCCATTTATTCCTTCTTTAGTGTTCTTTCTTTCATTATGAAGATTCAAGTTTCTGGCCTATGTTATTTTTCTTTCTCTGTAAAGAACTTAAAAAAAACATTTCTTGCAAGGCTGTAGTCTACTGACAACAAATTCCCTCAATTTGTATTCATCTGAGAAAGTCTTCATTTCTTCTTCATTTTTGAAGGATAGTTTTGCAAGGTACAGAATTCTAGGATGGTGTTTTTCTTCCCGCCCCCCAACTCCTTCTCTCCGCTCTTTTCTTGCATAGTGTCTGAGGAAAACTTGGATGTAATTCTTACCTTGGCTCCTTTGTAGGTAAGGGTTTTCCCCCCACTCTGGCTTCTTTTAGGATTTTTCAGAAGATCTCTTTGATTTTCTGTAGTTTGAAAATGATACACTTATCTTCTCTTTTAAAATATTTGTTGGTGGTACTTACGCATTTATGCTTCTGTATGCTGGGTTCTGACCCGCAGATCCTGACCCAGTGATGGATGAGAGACATACACTGACACAGATATTTTGCCTGTCAGTTAGGCTGAGGGGCTGGGCCACTCACAGACACTGAGGAAGGTGCTGTAAAGAGTTGTAGCTGCGGTCCCATCAGCCAGCGAAGCTCACATTTATTCAGTATAGATTAAATGACAAAGGTCTTGAGTAGACACCACTAGAGGGTAATTGACATTGCCTACCTCCTGAGTAGAGAGCAATTATGTGGTCCTAAGACCAATTAAAGGTTGGTCTTAGGACCACATGAGTAAACAAGCTGTTTAGATAAACTCCTCTGTGTCTACGAGCTCAGCTTTTAAGAGAATTCAGCTGCCTTCAGCCAAACACTTTATGCAACCCCCAGGCATTCCAAGAGGGTTTTTGTTTATTTCCTATAATTTTACAATTTCTCTCATCATCCTGACCGAGCCCCCACATCTGGATGAACTAGTCAAGTTTAAAAAAAAAAATCCTAGGGGCCAGCACATGTATGAAAAGATGTTTTCTTTTACTCACAGTTTAAAAAATGAAAATAAAAACAGTTATATTTTTTAACTATAAGATTGGCAGAAATTAAAAAATTGATGGTACCAAGTATTTGTATGGGTGTTGGAAGGCAGCTCTTCTGCTTTGTTGGTAGGAGTATAAATTGTTTTGGGGAGCAATTTGATAATTTTTTTACTCTAAATTAAAAATTTATTTACTCCATGACTCAGCATTTTCACTACTAGTGATTTCACTGCTACTACATATATCTTTCTAAAACTCTGGAGATAGGTGTTTACTGCAGTGTTGTTTATAATATCAAGCAACAACATCAATAACAAACCTAGAAAACTGGAAATTACTTAAATGTTTAATCATTTGTTAAATTATAGCATATCCATGAGATGGAATATGCAGCTGTTAAAATGGGCTAGGTAGATCTGGTATGTTATGTGAAAACTGCAAATTACGGACATTAAGTACAGTCATCACTTTGCATGGATAAAAATCATGCTTATATACACAAATATTCTGGGTTGTGTAAAACTTTTTTTTTCTTGAAAGATTTCATAAGTAACAGTAGTTACTTTTTTGGAGAAGATATAAGGGCATTGGTGGCAGGGAGTAGGTAAGATTTTGATTTTAAATCGTTCCAACCTGTTTGAATTTTATTTATAAAAAGGTATCTACAATCCTGGATTATAGACTATTTTTGTTTTTTAACGCTTTTCATTATTTAAAAAATCCCAGTGGAATTTTAATTTTTATTTTATTGACTTTATGGAATAATTTGGGGAGAAGTTAACATTTTTACAGCATTGATTATCCCCATCCATGAATATGGCATATTTTCTTTATATATTCAGGTCTTCTTTTATGTTTTTCCAGTAGCATTTTATAATCTTCATGTAAACCTTAAATATTCCTGGATATATTTGATTTTAGATATTTTAGCTTTAGTTTCTATTGTGAGCAAGATCTTTTCAAATTACATTTTTTAGCTGATTACTAGTTACATGAATGTTGTTGATTTTATGATTATATTTGGACTTGTTATAGAACTTCAATTCTAGTGGTTTTTCAGTTGATTCACTTAGATTTTTTGTATTATGTGATCATGTCATCTTACAGTTTTTAAAACTTTTGTTTCAGATTCCTCAGTTCCTTTTAGATGATTGCTTTAAAAATGGTATCCCCTGCCGTATATTTTGTACTCAACCAAGACGATTGGCAGCTATCGCTGTGGCTGAAAGAGTTGCCGCAGAGAGACGGGAAAGGATTGGTCAAACAATTGGTTATCAGATCCGATTAGAAAGCAGGTAAAAACAGTTCTCATGTATCTTCTCTTTTATCATGCTTAAAAAAGACTATGTATATTTCACTAAAAATAGAGGATGTGTTCGTTGAAAAGTTAGGTGATCATTTTGCTCCAAGTAAGTCTACATCAAGATATTAAAGTCATGTCTAAATCTAGAGTAGTATTGAATGAAGAGTTTGAAAAAGACTTTGAACCATAGATAAAAATTCCATTTCAGGCGGGACGCGGTGGCTCATGCCTGTAGTCCCAGTACTTTGGGAGGCCGAGGCGGGTGGATCACCTGCGGTCAGGAGTTCGAGACCAGCCTGACCAACATGGAGAAACCCTGTCTCTACTAAAAAAAAAAAATACAAAATTATCCGGGCTTGGTGGTGCATGCCTGTAATCCCAGCTACTCGGGAGGCTGAGGCAGGAGAATCGTTTGAACCCGGAAGGCGGAGGTTGTGGTGAGCTGAGATCGCACCATGGCACTCCAGCCTGGGCAACAAGAGCGAAACCGTCTCAAAAAAAAAAAAAAATTCCGTTTCCTAGTTTCATGATCATAGTTATTTTACCTCTTTGAGCCTCAGTGTTCTTATCTATAAAATGAGTCAAAGAAAAGCATCTAGAGTACAGGTTTGATGTGAAGTTTATAGTGAACACTCAATAACTGTTAGTGAATTTATTATCAGTAGTAGTATAAATTGAGCATCTTAAATCCAAAAATCTGAAATCCAAGATGCTAAAAAATCTAAAACTTTTTGAGTGCCAACATGACACTCAAAGGAAATGTTCATCAGAGGATTCTGGATTTACGATTTTCAGATTTGGGATGCTCAACTGGAGGTATTCTAAAATCTGGAAAAATCTGAAACCTAAAACCCTTTCTGTCTCGAGCATTTTGGATAAGGAATACTCAGTATATGTAGTATTAGTAATGCCTTCTTGACAAGTAGTACTTTTTTTATTCTCAGTGGTGATTAAAAAATCTGATTCCATTTGTAACATACTTTAGCTGCAAGCAAAAAGTATTTAAGGTTTTGTTTTGTTTTTAGAGCAGCTTAGGTTCTTTAACAAAATACATCATTTAATATAAAAGGCTATTGTCAGGCAGTCTCACATAACTGCAAAACCTCATAGCTTTACTAATAAACTGTACATACCGGTACACTATTAGTAATATTTATTAAAATGTGTACGAGGCCAGCATTTAATGTGATTATATTTTAGTTACATGAAAAACTTGCAATTGTGCACTTTGTTTTGCTTTTTTTTTAAAAGGGTTTCTCCAAAGACACTTCTGACATTTTGTACTAATGGGGTATTGCTTCGTACATTGATGGCAGGAGATAGTACGTTGTCGACTGTGACACATGTTATCGTGGTAAGAATATTGCTGAATTTGTCATATGTAACTCAGATTGCTTAAAATTTAAATACATATGCCGTTTCAGGATAGTCTCAAAAAATTTAAATACATAATTACATTTTTGGAATAGGGTAGAAAAGAGAACCAACTTATTCTTTTGAACAGGCTGTAATGATCAATTTATTTTTTGTCTATAATTATTAGAAATATTTTGTATTACAAAAATAATAAAGCCATTAGGCTTTATTGAGGGAAAATAAAATAAGCAGGTAGTTTTAAAAAATGTGCTTTTCATATATGAAAATGATGCATGCACTTAGAGTTCTCAAAAAAAAGGGAGATTTCTTTTATCTCTATACTTGGTTGTTTGATCCCTTCATTAATATCATATATTTCCCAATGATAGGGGTATACTAATAAACTCCATGATTAAGCTGCTAAATTAACTAACTGCTGATGAACTAAGTTGATGAGTTTACCCCTTTGTTAAGGAATTCTAAGCTTTTACCTAGTTTGTGTCAAAAAAAATTAGATTAAGTTTTATAAACTTGGAATAAGCAGCTTTTAGAAACTTACCCAAACCAAAGGATGCACTTCATAAGCTCTGATGCTAAAAGAAACGTATTTACATAGATTTTTTATGTATTAAAAGCACATTAAATTGGACTTTACTTATAATTTTTTGTAGTTTTATATTTTGTGGGAAAAAAGGGCAATATAGACAGCTCTCTGTATCTGTGGGTTCCATGACTATGGATTCAAACAACTGCAGGTTGAAAACATTTAAAGAAATATTGTGTGTCTGTTGAACATGTACAGACTTTTCTTGTTGTTATTCCCTAAAGAATACAGTGTAACTATTTACCTAGCATTACACTGTACTAGGTAATATAGGTAGTCTAGAGATGATTTAAAGTATATGGAAGGATTTGCATAGGATATGTGCAAATACTATGCCATTTTTTTTTTTAATCAGGGACTTGAGCATCCATGAATTTTGGCATGGGGGAAGGCCCTGGAACCATTCACCCACAGATGCCAGGGGACAACTTTACTTTGTCATCTGCATTTCATTGTTAATGTCTAATTATTTCTGAAATTCCTGTAATACAAAATTTTCATGAATATTGATTGGCCTTGTCCACATTTAATTTGAATTAGTGTAAAACCCAGTGGTGCCATTGTTTTTAAAGACTTAGTCATCAATAATGTTTTAACTGTTCCATGGTTTTATTTCTGTTTACTATAGGATGAAGTGCATGAAAGGGATCGATTTAGTGATTTTTTACTTACAAAGTTAAGAGATTTGTTGCAAAAGCACCCAACTTTGAAACTAATTCTTTCTAGTGCTGCCTTGGATGTAAATCTCTTTATAAGATATTTTGGAAGTTGTCCAGTGATATATAGTAAGTTAAATTGTCAGATTTCTTCTATAATTTTTATGAAAGAACACTTTTGGACATTATTTATCCTAACAGAAACTGGGGAATGTTCTGAAGTAGAGGCCATCTATTACCGTTCCACCTGAGATAGGCTTAATTGTCACTTCTTTCTGTTTTCAACTTCTCCTTTTCTATCAACAGCTCTTTGGTATTGTGTAGTGAGCCTAATTCTCTTACCTTAAAAGGAAATATGCTTTATTTTCACTTTGTGTTCCTTCTTAAATTGTCCTATAACTATTTCCCTTTATTGGTAGATATCTTTGAAAAGTAGTCTATACTCCCATGTTTTACTTCACATTCACTTCTGAAAATGCTAAAACAACTTTTGCCCTTGTCCTTTATTAAAAACGGATTTTGCCACCAGTCTTTAAAAAAATGATAAATTCCTCTTCAAAAAATACAAAAGTTAGGCCGGGCGTGGGGGCTCACGCCTGTAATCCCAGCACTTTGGGAGGCCAAGGCAGGTGGATCACGAGTTCAGGAGATGGAGACCATCCTGGCTAACACAGTGAAACCCTGTCTCTACTAAAAATACAAAAAATTAGCCAGGCGTGGTGGCACGCACTTGCAGTCCCAGCTACTCGGGAGGCTAAGGCAGGAGAATGGCGTGAACCCAGGAGGCGGAGCTTGCAGTGAGCTGAGATTGTGCCACTGCACTCCAGCCTGGGTGACAGAGCAAGACTCCGTCTCAAAAAAAATAAATAAATAAAAATACAAAAGTTCTGTTTACTTCAGTGAAATAATACAAAAATATATATAGAAAAAGTTCACAATTGCCCCTATCCTTGTTCCATGTCCTACTTTTCTGATTTATGGATGTTAACAGTGTTATATATATTCGTTTTTACTTAATGTAAGAACACAAATGTATGCAAATATATACGTATTTATAACATTTACAAAAATTGGCTTTATGGATTTATGATTTATGGATGTTAACAGTGTTTTATATATATTTGTTCTTCATCTTCACAAAAATGTATGCAAATATATACACATTTATAACGTTTACAAAAATTGGTTTTATAAACATGAGCACATGGCTAATACATTATTTGCAATTTGCTTTATCATGAACAGTTTTCCAGTTTAGTAACCCTGGATCTAGTTCTTTATTTTAAGCACCTGCATAATAAAGTATTTCATAATATTGATGTACTATATTTATTTTACCATTTCTTTATTTTTGGATATTCAAGTTGGTTCTAGATCCCCCGCCTCGCCCCTGCCAACAATGTTATAATGAACATCCTTTTATGTATATCCTGATGTACTGGATTTCTAGGGATAGATTTCTGAAAGTGAATTTGCTAAATAAGAGTATATCTATTTTTAATTTTAACAGCTTTTGCCATTTTACTTTTCAAAAGGCTGAAATGATTTACATTTCTGAAGTGTATAAGGCTATTTATTTGAATTTTTACCGGTGTCGTTTGACATTAACCTAATTGCCAATCTGATATTCAAATTTTAGGCAAAAATCTTACTTAACTTTTCTGTGGTATGTTTTATGGTTGGCTCTCTCTCTTTTTTTTTTTTTTTTTTGTGAAATGCTCAGATGCTGTAGTTTGTTTGATAACATTGCTGCTTGCTAAACCTCATTCTTCATTATATCCCATGCTTTCTCAGTCTCCCCTGTGGGCTTCTCTTCTTTTACATGATGCTTAAATAGTGGTATTCTCTAGAATTATTCCCTTGATCCGTTTCCTTTTTTTTTTTTCTGTTCGTTCCGTCTTCCTTCCTTCCTTTCCCACTATTCCCATCCTCTTGTTTCCTGCCCTATGCTATACTCTACTAGGTATTGGAGATGCATAGTTTTCCTGGAAGCTCTCATTCATGCCCTGGGCTTCTATTTTTTCTTTTATACTGATGACTTCTGAATCTTTATTTTCAGTTGTTCTCCAGAGCTTTGGATTTAGATATTTCTAGTATGCCCCAAACTGAATACTTCATCTCTTTTGCAAAACCCTTTTCTCTTCTTGTGTTACCTGTCTTAGTTAATCATACTACTATTGACCTAATCACCTGAATCACAAACCTATAAGTTCTTAACTCCTTGTAATAATCTTGGGTGATCAGGGACATCAGATCTGTACATATGCTAATCGAAAGCTCATTTTTCATTTTACATGCCTAAAACCAAACCCCATTTCCCACCAGCAAACCTGTTCTTTTCAGGTTTCTTTGTTACCTCAGAGAATGACATTATCATTCAGATTTGCAAGCCAGACATCAAAGGACTATATTTGACACTTTATTTTTTTTCCATATCCAATATAATGCTGAGTTCTACGGATTTTACCTCCCGCCTAGCTCTAGAATTTGTCTGCTTCTTTTTTGGTTTTCACTATTATTAATCTCATTCAGGTTAACCTGAACTATTGCAGTAGCTGCTACTTGGCTTGACGTAGCATTCTGCTGTCTTTAAATCCATTCTCCATATTGCAGTCAGAGTGGTCTTCTTTGAAGTAGAATTCTGATGATGTCAAGCACTTTACTGAGCTTAAATCTTTGAATGACTTTTACCTCAGGATAAAGACATAAACCCTTAGTAAGACTTATCTTTTCCTCTTACCTCATCTTGAACGATATCCCTCTCCATTCCCACACTCCCACCATTTTTCAAGTAAGTTAGCCTTTTAGTTCCTTGAAACACCTTTAGGTCCTTGAAACTCCTTTCTAGCACAGGGACTTTGCACATGCTGTTTTTCATCATCATTATACACTTTTTATTCTTTTCATATGGCTTTGTTATTTTGTTTATCTTCTTGTTTCTCATTTTCTTAGTGAGGATACTTTCTTGATGTTGTCAAATCCCCCGTTACATACTGTCATGGTGTCTTGTACTTGTATCTCAGGACTCTTCACAACTCTATATTTACCTTCATATTCTGGATTTTTGGATTGATTTCTGTCTCTTCCACTAGCTTGCCTCCAGGGAACAGGAAATAGCTCTGTTTCCTCTTACAATTTCTACTTATAATACAAATGATATTGATGCCAGACACATGATAAGTAGGTAGTAAACACTAGAGGAAAAAACCCAAGCACACAAACAGTTGTCTAATAGTTGTTTGTAAGTCAAAGTTATAGTTAAAGGACAATATTATAAGAGTCACTTGAACTATGAAATTGCTTTTGGATATTATACTGAGATTCATTAACTTGGGATTTTCATGTTTTTATGTGAATTTTCTCCAAGATGCAAGTTGAGTATTTAATTTTTTTTTATTATTTAGTACAGGGAAGACCATTTGAAGTAAAAGAAATGTTTCTGGAAGATATTTTAAGAACAACTGGATATACAAACAAAGAAATGTTAAAATATAAAAAGGAAAAACAGCAAGGTAAATTTTTTAATAAAAGAAATATAAAAGAAATTACTATTGATAATGACTTTGGAGTACTCCATCCTTACATTGTGGAGGTACAAGGACACTTGAAAGTGTTTTTCTCTTGTATATAATTGTATAACCTTATATTGGAATATTGTCCCAAATATTCCTTTGCTTTCTGGTTTGTGTCCAGAAGTTATAATCTGTGGAGAGAAACTGAAAGTGGGTGCCAGAGTTGAGGAGGTGTCTATATCCAAACATTCAGCCACCTTTTAAGGAGATAGAAGAATATATGCTGGCTGCCCACAGCATATCTCATAGGGAAGGACTGGGAAGTGAATGGGAGGGAGTGAAAAAAGTAGTATGTGATTAATAACAAACTTTGATAAAAATGTTGAGTTTTCCAAATCTTGATGATGTTACAGGATTTCATTGATACTTTGAATTTAGCATTATTTTCCTGTTAATACGTCTCTTGTAATGACATATTTCAGCTTTTGAATTAGGGTTCAGATTTCTTTTTCTTAATTTTAACTTCATTATTCATCATAGAAGACTTGGCTTCAAGCTTTGATACCTTGTTTATTCTGTATGCCCTTGGACAAAAATCTGAACTCCTTTGGATTTTCCCCTTGAAAAATGTAATCAGCAATGCTGATTTCATTGGGAAGCACTGAATTACTGATATGTAAGTTGTAAAACTCCTAGATCTTGAAACTTAAAAAAAAAAATTAAAAAAAAATTTTTTTAGAGACAGGTTCTTGTTCTATTACTCAGGCTGGAGTGCATTGGTGCAATCATGGCTCACTGCAGCCTCGACCTCCTCATCTCAAGGGATCCTCCCACCTCAGCCTCTTGAGATGTAGACCACTGTGCCCAACTAATTTTTAAAATATTTTGTAGATACGCAGTCTAGTTACATCGCCCAGGCTGGTCTTGAACTCCTGGCCTCAAGCAATCCTCTTGCCTCAGTGTCCTAAAGTGGAACTACAGGCATGAGCCACCATGTCCAGCTGAAACATTTGAAGATGAAAATTATATATAATTGTATCTCAGAAAACTAGCGTGGTGGTAGAACTTCAACAAATGGTTTTCTACAAAGTGCTGTATGAATATTGGTCATTGATTTAAACAATAGTTATAACATGGATAAAAATACTCTTAATTCTGGACTTACTTAGAAGTAAACTTATTAGTAGGACTTGGAACAATAGGTGAATGCATGAATGTATTAGCCCATTTTCACACTGCTGTAAAGATACTACCTGAGACTTGGAAATTTATAAAGAAAAGAGGTTTAATTCACTCACAGTTCTGCATGGCTGGGGAGGCCTCAGGAAACTTAGTCATGATGGAAGGCAAAGGGGAAGCAAGGACCTTCTTTACATGGCAGCAAGAGAGAGAAGTGCAAGCAAGGGAAATACCAGATGCTTATAAAACCATCAGATCTCGTGAGAACTCACTATCATGAGAACAGCATGGGGGAAACTGCCCCCATGATCCAATCACCTCCCACCAGGTCTTTCCCTCAACACCTGCGAATTATAATTCAAGATGAGATGTGGGTGGAGACATAAAGCCTAACCATATCAATGAAGTTTTCAAGCAGTTTCATGTGTCTTTTTGTTTCAGCATAACACATTTTTATTGAATATTCTTAATATATTTTTTAAAAGTAACTACAGAATAAGACCAACTTTTAAGAGATACCAGATTCCCATAATTTATTTAAACAAAGGAATACATTTCAAAAAGGAAATGATTTGTCTACATATTCTTTCTTTGATAATTAATTTAGAAGAGAAACAACAAACCACACTTACAGAATGGTACTCAGCTCAAGAAAATAGTTTCAAGCCTGAATCTCAGAGGCAGAGAACTGTTCTAAATGTGACTGATGAGTATGACTTACTGGATGATGGTGGTGATGCTGTCTTCAGTCAGCTGGTATGACCTCCCTGGTTTCCCACTCATATTTTGTGTGAAAATTGTGTAGGTTAAAGAACATTTTATGAGCTTATAATTTTTTTTTTTTTTTTTGAGATGGAGTCTGGCTCTGTGGCCCAGGCTGGAGTGGAGTGGCGTGATCTCGGCTCACTGCAAGCTCCGCGTTCCGGGTTCACGCCATTCTCCTGCCTCAGCCTCCCAAGTAGCTGGGACTATAGGCGCCCGCCACCATGTCCAGCTAAATTTTTGTATTTTTAGTAGAGACGGGATTTCACTGTGTTAGCCAGGGTGGTCTTGATCTCCTGATCTCGTGATCCACCCGCCTCGGCCTCCCAAAGTGCTGGGATTACAGGAGTGAGCCACTGCACCCAGCCAAGAGATTGTAATTTTTTACTGCATAATTGAATGGTAATTCTCTTGGTTTATTTTAGACCACAACCAATTTTTCAGAGCAACTTTCTACTCTTTAAAAAAATAATTTACCCTTTTTTTGAGCATGTGATAGTATGTAATGCAGATATGTTTGCAGTTTTCTACTAGTGTTTAAAGTTGTAATGTATCCAAATGAACTGTACATGAGTTTTTAAAAATACTTTTAAAGAATATTTAAAAATTGGTAATAAAAATTGTTATTTAACATCTTTATAGATATGCACGCTAAATATACTATATATATAATGATATATATCCTATATGTTTATAGGATTATAACACATGCTATATAAAAAAACATATAGTATAGACTTATTTGGGTCATGGAACAGCATTTTGACCATGTATATTTGTGGTTCTTAAGACTGGCTGTATATTTTGTCACCTGAGGAGCTTTTAAAGCCCTATGGAATCTAGCACCCTACCAACAAGAGATTCTGATGCACTTGCTCTGGGGTGGGACCTGGCATCAGTATTAAAAAGCTCCAGGTGATACTTCCCTTGATGTGCAGTTGGGAGAGAGAACTACT
This sequence comes from Homo sapiens, assembly GCF_000001405.40. NCBI lineage: Eukaryota > Metazoa > Chordata > Mammalia > Primates > Hominidae > Homo > Homo sapiens. Next base: position 113,542,079 of record NC_000005.10, read on the forward strand.
GATCTGTATGTGCATTTAACAACATCATATTGGAAGCACAATTAACATCGTGACTAGATCATAGTCCTTTGTTGACAAACTCATTCTCAGATAAAAGTTGAGTATAAGGACTAGATACTGTATTGTGAGTGATAATGTTTGTGATGAAAGGAGAAATTTTTTATGTCAAAGCATTTGCTATATTATCATAGGATTAGTAGTCCTGATGGCCATTGTGGCCATCTTATGTTCTTTGCAAGCAAATGTTAGGTAATTTATGATAATTTATGATTTTTACTGTTTTTTGTAGACTGAAAAAGATGTGAATTGCCTTGAACCATGGTTAATAAAGGAAATGGATGCTTGCCTTTCTGATATATGGCTACATAAAGATATTGATGCCTTTGCTCAGGTCTTTCATCTCATTTTAACTGAAAATGTTAGTGGTAAGTTTATTTTAATTTTAAAAAATTACCCTTACAGTTATTTATGGTGGAAGTATAGTTTAATTCAAAACGTATGTACTACCAATAATTGCACAACCAAAAATTTTATTTTTTAAAAGTATTTATTTTATTTCAAATGTACAAATCAGGATCTTCTTGCTAGCACAGCATAGTAGAAATAAATATTGTGTTAAATCAGATTCTTAAGCTAATGTCTCCATTGCAGTTTGAAGAGCTGTGTGATTACATGACAATTATGTGCAAAAATGCTGTTATGTGTATGTGTTGTGTATATACTCTTGTCTTTCCCTTCCTTGGAAAGGATTTAGATGTCAAGTATTTATTATTTCACCTGAAGCCCTCAGCATTATAATTGTAATTATTATTGATTACTTTCTTCTTGAAATATTTTACTCAGTTAACTTCCAGTATTTCATACTTGGCTTATTTTCTTCATATTTCCCTGGCTCTAACTTCTTGGTTTTCTTGGCAAGATCTTTTTCTTTTTTTCTGACCTGTAAATATGAAATCTCCTAGGTCTCAATCCTTAAGACCTTAATTCTATTTATACTTAATCCTTAAGTGGATCTCAAATAGTCATTGCTTTAAATATCTATTTTAAATGACCCCTAACTTTACATCTCCAGACCTCATCTACCCCCAGATTTAAATATACCTTATCACTTGTTATCTCCAGTTGGATGTCTGTTAGGTGAATAAAATTGGATACTCCTCAAACAACTTCTGATCCCCTCCCTACGTACCTTCCTCTCAACCTGCACTTTTCTTGTGTTTCCCTTTTCAGTAAATGGTCACTATCATTCACCTAGTTGCTAAGGCAGCAAAGCATACAGAAAGTCTGCTGTCATATTGCACATATAATTCATTAGCAAATCCTATTTACTTTGCATTCTAAAATAAATCCTGAATATGACCACTTTTCACTTCCCCTACTGTACATTTCACTCCCCCTACTGTACATTTCACTCCCCTAGTCCAAGCTAGCCTCTCTTCTGGACTATTGCAGTAGCCCGTTAACCATTTCTGTTTTTATGTTACTGCAGTCTGTTCTCCGCAGAAAAATAAGACTGATCCTTTCATAAAGGAAATTGGATCATTCCACTTGCTTGTTCTCAACTCTCGCAGGCTTCCAGTTACACTGTGGATAAAAATCAAAGTCCTTTCCATGATTAGGCCTCTGGCTTCCTCCTTGATCTTATTTTTTGCCACTTGCCTCCTTGTTCACTGTGCCTAGACACACTTATCTCCTTGATATTCTTCATGTATGCCAACACATTCCCTTTGGGACTTTGTTTTGTTGTTTCATATGCCTAGAATACTATCTCCACTGGTAATCACATGGCCCAATGCCTACTTATTTAGGTCTCTGCTTACACATTGCCTTCTCTTTTCTGACCACCTTACTAAAGTTGTACCATTTTCTCACGATATTTCCTTACTCTCCTTTATTATTCTTTATTGTACTTTCATTACCTGTCATGTATTTTTTATTTTTCATTACTTATTTCATCTACTAGAATGAAAACTACATGAGGGCAGAAACTTTGTCAGTTTTACTTATCTCTGTGTCACCAGAGATTCATCGTTTATTAAGTGCTGAAAAATCTTTGTTGAATAATGATATTATTATTATTGTTATTTTTGAGACAAAGTCTCTCTCTGTCATCAGGCTGGAGTGCAGTGGTGTGATCTTGACTCACTGCAACCTCTGCCTCCCGGGTTCAAGTGATTCTTCTGGCTCAGCCTCCTGAGTAGCTGGGACTACAGGTGTGCGTCACCATGCCCAGCTAATTTTTTTGTATTTTTAGTAGAGACGGAGTTTCACCATGTTGGCCAGGATGGTCTCAATCTCTTGACCTTGTGATCCGCCTGCCTCAGCCTCCCAAAGTGCTAGAATTACAGGCATGAGTCACCACACCCAGCCCAAATAATGATATTACTTTTAAGCATCTTTACCACATGATAATCTGTTGGAACATGTTTAGTGACAGGAAGTTCACTACCTTTCTTTTGAATTTGAATTGTTTTAGTAGTTAACTTTTTAGTATGTTGATGTGAAATCTAACTACATAGCATCTCCCTTTTTCTGCTTCTGGAGTGAACATATGTATTTATGCCTGACAGACTTCTAGGTATATGAAGATGATTATTCTTTTTCTTTTAAATTTTTTGTTTTTTTTTTGGGCTGACTGTACCTATTACTTCAACTGTTCTTTAATATAACATGATATCTGGTCCCCTCCTTCCCTGGTCTGCCTTCTCTGGATATGTTCTATTTTATCCCTTTTGAAAAGCATAGTATCCAGTTCTGAGTGTTAATCTCTTAGTAACCATCTTAGCCTAAAACCTTCTACTCTTTACTGGTATTAATTCAGCCAACCCCATTGTCATATTGATTCATATTGTTTTTGAAATTTTTAGTTCTTTTTTTAAACTTACGATTTTATTGAATTAAATTATTTAATCATCATGTACTTGTTTTGAATTTTTTTGAGCTTGAGATATTCTGTTTATTCATTATAAATTTTATCTTAAAGTTAGATTTGGCCCGTTGTTTCTGCCTAACAATTTTTTAAAAAATTCTAATTGTTATCTATTGCATTAATAAGCTTTCTCTGTTTGTCAATTTGAGGTGTCTGGGTCAATTACCAAGCATGTGGTATGCTGCAAGGGACTAGGTCAATATTTGGGTGTGGTTGTTCAAGCAGTTATAATCCTACACATCTTCTAGTCTAACTTCTTAAAAAATAAGTGAGGGTTTTTTGACTTTTTTTTTCTCTTTGTAAATGTGTGTTGGCTCCTATTGATTTATTTTTTAAAGCTCATTATTCTTTTTTGTTTTGTTTTGTTTTGTTTTGTTTTGTTTTGTTTTGTTTTGAAACAGGGTCTCACTTTGTCACCCAGGCTGGAGTGCAGTGGTGCTATTGTGGCTCACTGCAGCCTTGACTTCTGGGCTCAGGTGATTCTCCCACCTCAGCCTCCAGAGCTTTGGATTTAGATACTTCTAATATGCCCCAGACTGAATACTTCATCTCTTCTGCAAAACCTGTTTCTCTTCTTTTGTTGAAGAGCTGGCCAGGCTGGCTTTGAACTTCTGGGCTCAAGCGACCTGCCCACCTTTGCCTCCCAAAGTGCTGGGATTACAGACATGAGCCACTGTGCTGGGCCCTCATTATTGATTTTTTGAAAAATAATTGATCTCCATTTTTTTTTTTTTTTTTTTTTTTTTTTTTTGAGACGGAGTCTCGCTCTGTTGCCCAGGCTGGAGTGCAGTGGCGGGATCTCGGCTCACTGCAAGCTCCGCCTCCCGGGTTCACGCCATTCTCCTGCCTCAGCCTCCCAAGTAGCTGGGACTACAGGCGCCCGCCACTACGCCCGGCTAATTTTTTGTATTTTTAGTAGAGACGGGGTTTCACCGTTTTAGCCGGGATGGTCTCGATCTCCTGACCTCGTGATCCGCCCGCCTCGGCCTCCCAAAGTGCTGGGATTACAGGCGTGAGCCACCGCGCCCGGCCTGATCTCCATTTTTAAAAGTAACTTTTTGGATTTGAAAGTGTAGATATTTGTTCATCTGCAGTTTTCTTGCGTTCTTTCTTTTTCCATTATTTTAAAAAATATTTACTCTGAAGAGTTTAGCAATCTTACTTGAAAGTTAAGGAATTTAAATTCTGAAAACAGTGACTTTAAAATATTTATGATGCATTTTAAGTATTTAAGTATTATCCTTAGCTTTCTTCCTGATATTTCTTTAGTGAATACTAGACTGTTAATTTGATTATGGTCATCCTGTGTAGACTCAGGTCTCTCCTCTGCTCTTATGTACAGTTTGTACATTTCCCAGAGTCCAGTATTCTAATGTTTTAAGCCATGTGAGGAAAACTAAAATGTTACAGTAGCTCAATCATTCACTTCTCATCTTTTTGTTTCATTTCTAAAATCTCAACCCTCAATTTGCACCAGAACTGAAAATATGTCATATGATTTAGGAAACTCTGGGCTTCATAGATTTCTTTTTAGTAGCATCATTTTCCCCATGATCATGTAGAAGCAGCTAATAATCAGTTAAGACTTGACATTCTCTGTCATACTTACTGTATCTATTGCTGCATTACAGATGATTCTAACACTTAGAAGCCTGAAACATTTATTATCTCCATAGTTTCTGAGAGTCAAGAATCTGGGAGTGGTTTAGCTGAGTGGTCTGGCTCCAAGTCTCTCATGAGGTTGCGGTTAAACTGTTCGTAGGGACTACATTCATCTGAAGGTTTTTGGGGCTGGAGAGTATGCTTTCAAGAAGCCTCACTTACATAGCTTTTGGCAGGAGTCCTCAGTTTGTTGCTGGCTGTTGGCAGAATAGCCATGAGTTCTTGTCAACTGTCCTTCTCAATAGGGCTGCCTTATTCTACCTGTGAGGTGCAGCTGGCTTCTCTGAGAGTGATTCAAGAGAGAAAGAAAAAGAGCAGGAGGAAGTTGTAGTTACTTTTTATGACCTAGTTTCCAGACTTGCACACCACCTCTTTCACGTTATTCTGTTCATTAGAATGAGTCACTTAGTCCAGTTTATATTCAGGGAGAAGGGAATTAGGCTCCACCTCTTGAAGGGAGGAGTGTTAAAAATGTTTTAAATGTTTCACATTTATTCATACCCTTCTGCTCAAAATACACACAGTTTGATGCTGTTCTCCAAGGCCATGAATTGAATATTCAGTTGAAGAAGTAATTTGCATACAATGAGTACAGATCAGAATAAATTGATCTTTTAAAATGCCTGACCATCCCAGACTTATTGAATCTGAATCTCTGAGTAAGGTATGGCTATCTGTGCTTTTAAAAATACAAAGCAGAAACAACAACAACAAACCCACCTCAAAAAACAAACCCCAAAGCAAAATAAAAATACATGCCATTATATATTTGTCCAAATCCGTAAAATGCACAAAACCAAGAGTGAATCCTAATGTAAACTATGGACTTTGGTTGATGTGTCAGTGCAAGTTCATCAGTTGTAAAAAATGTTCCACTCTGGTGGGGGATGTTGATAATGGGGGAGGCTATACATGTGTGAGGCAAGGGACATATGGGATATACTTTTTATTTTCCTCTCAGTTTTGCTGTGAATCTAAAACTTGTTCTAAAAAAATAGTCTTAAAAAGAAAGCCTGAGGCAATTTTCTTGTCTCTGCCTCACTTTAAAAGAACACTGATGTATATTGATAATGGATACCATGTTTCAGAGTGTTTATTAAATAGAAGATAATTGGGTATACATACTGTATATGAAAGATTAAAATTTTCCTTTTGTAGTTATCTTAAATTTTACTGTTGAGGGTTTTTTAAATGAAATCTTTCTGAAATTACCAATTTTGTAATTTAAGCAAATTAATGCTAAGCAATTATATTGAATTGCTTGAGAAATATATTCTAGGAAGAAACTTCAATAGAACTTTAATTATTTTTCTAATGTAAGGGTTTTATGGGAAATAAACTTTCTGTCAGTGTTAATCCCATTAAGTGTCTTATCAAATAGCCTTGAATGGGGGATTAAAAGCAAAGTAAAATAACAACCAAACATTGTCTCAAACTTTGCATTTGAAGCTTTTAAGTATTCATTACTAGTTACTGATGAAAATTAACTTTTAAATTATTTAATTATGTCTTGTCATTTGGTGAACAAGGTAATATCTAGATTTAGGAAGATTATTTAAGGTTATGCAAGTTAATAGCTTTCCTTTTCTGTTGAAATAATATAGATGAGCTTAAAACAGTTTAACATCGATCTTTCCTTCTCCTACCTTCCAACCAACAGTCTTTATTCAATTTACACTAGACATATCATAACAGATTGCTGTAAGTGATCTAAGTTAAGGGTTATGTAGTGCTGTCATTATGTAGTTAAGGAGCAACTCTCAGGCTAATTATCCTGAAACTCAGTTCTGCTATTTCAGATTTTTTAAAGAATGAAAATGGTTTGAAGTACTTTGGAAATTTAAGTTTTATTTATCTTTTCCTTTTTTTAGTTGATTACAGACATAGTGAAACCAGTGCAACAGCTCTGATGGTTGCTGCAGGACGTGGCTTTGCAAGTCAAGTAGAACAGTTAATCAGTATGGGAGCCAATGTCCATAGTAAAGCATCAAATGGCTGGTAATTTTAAACTACGTTGATTCTTCATATATCTTTGTATAGCTACACATATCTTTTTTTGTTTTCTTATGTTTGTCTTTATATTAAAAACTATTGTGTAATAATTGCTGGTGAATTTCTGTTTTAATGGGTTAATAATTTTGAATGACTTGTTTTTTAACTATAATTTATCTTATTTTTTATTTAAAAATTTTTTTGAAAAGACAGGGTCTTGATGTTGCCCAGGCTCATCATGAACTAGTTTTACAATTTTGATGACATCTTATATATCCTTTGAATTTTGGCAGGATGGCATTGGATTGGGCTAAACACTTTGGGCAGACTGAAATTGTGGATCTTCTAGAATCTTACAGGTAAAACTTTGTACTATTTTAAATTAATTCTACCGTCTCTTAAAAAAGAGCTTCACCATATAAATTATGGGCTATTCAAATGTAGACCATTTATAGTCTTTTATCCAGAGATTTTTTTTTGTGATTCTAAGGAAATTTTCTGTCTGATCTACCATGGTATAATATTTGTCTTATTTTAAGAAATCAGTAGAGGGATTTCCAATTAAACATGGTAGGTACAACATAAGTATCTCTGCATTTTCTCAAACCTTTTACATTTCTCAAAACCTCACTAAAATGACAATGAAGCAATATAAAGAAATTTAAAAGGTGTAAACCAAAGTCAAAGAGAATGGAAGAGGACAGGGCAACTGATAGAAGATGTTAATTTTGGGATGATAGATAGCTGATTGATTGACTTAGCAGAACTAAGAAAACTCACAGTGCCAATGAGAAACACTCATTTTAGCTTTGAAACTCCTTAGAGGCTTGTTCAGTGGCCTTTGAGTGAAGCAGTAAAAAAAGAGTTAGTTATCAAAGAGAAAACTTAGAATACAAAACTATAATAAAAGATATTGCATTCATGCAATAAAAAGTGTGCTATCAAAAAGGAACAGAACACAAATCTTTGTTCAGATTTTGTCTTCATGAGGCCTACCCAAATTTGCCGTATCTGATATTACAATCTACCCCCCACGCAATGTCCATCCTCTTTAACCTGTTCTACGTATTCTTTTTTTCTCCAGAAGCCCTACCACCCTCTGATACACTATGTAATATACTTGTTCACTGTTCTATTGATTTATTGTCTATCTCTTCTCCCTACCAGAATGTAGTAAGCTTATTGTCTGCTTGTTCAAGAACAGCAACTAGATGTAGTAGATGTGCAGTGAGTGTTTGTTGAATGAATGAATAAATAAATAATTCTTGTAAATTAAAAATATGATAGCAGAAAAAAAGAAGAGTTACAAGATAAAGTTTAGAAAATTGCTTTCAGAGCAGGAAAATTGTAGAAAAAACATAAGAAAATTTGCTTCCTATGTACTCCTTTATTAGGAAACTGTTGGAGAATGTGCTTCACAAAAAAGAAGTAAAAAGAAAAACAAAAATTGGGGGAGAAAAAAAAAACGGGTAAAACCGGGCAGGTACAGCACAGGGGATAGGTGAAAGGAATGCTCAGGATGCTGGTACAGAGGATTGTTTTGATGACACCTGTGTCTAGTAGGCCTGATCGCATAGGAACAGAAGATGTGGGGCTCTAGAGGGAGGTCTCTGTGGGGGAAAAATTTACCTGGCATTGTCAATCATATTAAAAAGCTTTATGAATCTGTTAGATAATTTGGGAAGAATTACTATCAGATCACAGAAAACTAAGCAAATAAAAATTAGACAGTTGTTACTCTAGGAAAAACAAAAAGTTACACAAGAAAGGAGGTATAATCATAGTATATTATTAGGCTAAGCAGTAAATGTTTACCAGTCATAGTAAAGTAAAGGCTGAATGAAGATTTAACAAAAATTGTAGGAACTGGTGTGGGTGGAAAGTGTAGGGAAGTGGAAGTGGTAACCTCATTTTTCATTAGTTGGAGGTTCGCAGATAATGACTACGTTGTTAAAACAATAAATAGCAGAAAATGAATGTTGCTTAGAAATATGACAGCAAATACTAAAAAGGAATGGCTAAAACAATAGAATAGTCCTAAGCAGTGTGACTAGGAGTTTTTGTTATAACTTCTATAAAACCATTTACCACCACTATGTATATGTATTGCTTTGATTTAGCAAAAAAAGAAAAATCACAAGGGAATCCTGTAAAACCAATCGAATTAATTGTCTTTTAGATAGAAATTTTAGATAAATTTACATTAGATATTTAAATAAATTATGAAGCTTTCAGATTAGATATTTAAAGAAAATTTTGAATATATGTTTTATAATACATTGAAAGCTTCTGTTTTCAACCTTTAGAGACTCAAAAAAGAAAACAATGGAGCCTGAAGTTAAAATATATTAAAATATCTGTTATTCAAGAGCATATAAAATGTTTTATTTGACCTGGGTTTTTGTACTTAATTTTATAGATGTAAAATTGGAAATGTAGTCTCAGACATTTGAAATTAGTTGTGACATTGAGTCTCAAAATTCTTGGTAGGTTTAAATGCTATTTCTGATATGGTAGGTTTAGTTGTCATTTCAATAGTAGCACCCAGAACTTGCAGTCCTTTTATTGTTAACACTTTGAATGTTCCAGACATTCTTATGGTGTTAAGTAAAGCTCACTAGATACTGCAGGTTACCAGGTAAAGCGTTTATCTGGATAATATTTTAATTATCCTGGCTAACTGGGCTTTCTTTTTATTTGATAGATCATATTATCAATTATAAATTTCAGGTATTTAAAATTGAATATATTATTATGTTTACTGGATTATTGATAATTTATATCCAAAAGTTATAGCTTTAAACAGAATATAATGTCTTCTTCATTTATGTGTTAAAAATTAAAAAACAATAAACTTACAGTGTTTTAAAGTAGATCTTAAAATTTATAAGAGCTGAGAACACATGGACACAGGGAGGGGAACATCACACACCAGGGCCTCTTGAGGGGTTCCGGGATAGGGGAGGGATAGCATTAGGAGAAATACCTAATGTAAATGAAGGGTTGATGGGTGCAGCAAACTACCATGGCACGTGTATACCTATGTAACAAACCTGCATGTTGTGCACATGTATCCCAGAACTTAAAGTATAATAAAACATTTACAAGAGCCAATTATTAAGTTGTAGAAGTTTAATATTTTTCCCATTGAAAATAGTCTTACGTTATTTTTCTGCTAAATTCTTTAAGAGAGATTGGATTTATTTGAACTTCCTAGAAATTCTGTTGATAATTGCTAGTGATAGCAGTAGTTTACATTTTTACATATAAGATGAAGAAGCAAGGCATTTATTTCAGTAATTTATGTTGATTCTTGCTTTTGGAAAATAGCATAATCAACTTGCTTTTAGTATAGAATTTTCTAATTAACAGTCATGTTAAGTTGGTACCTACTGAGTTTTTTAAAAATGTGAACTATACATCAGAATATTGTTTATAGTAGTAAACAATTAGATACAACCTATTAAGAAAATATAAATGATAGCTGAAAGTTTGTGGTTTTTAACAGTTTTATTGAGATATAATTAATATACCATATAATTCACCCATTTAGGTGACCAATTCAATGGTTTTTCATATGTTCACAGACTTATGCAATCATCACCACAATCAATTTTAGAACAGTTTCATCACCACAAAAAGAAACTTGTACCCATTAGGTGTCTCTCCCTATTCCGCCCCAACTCTCCTAGGCCTCCTCCAGCTTTAGACCAACCACTAATCTACTTCCAGTTTCTATAGATTTGTCTATTTTGGACATTTTATATAAATGAAATCATGTGATATGTGGTTTTTGTGATTGGCTTTTTTCAGTTAGCATAAAATATCCATGTTGTAGCACTATTTTTATGACTAATACATATTCTATGGATATACCAAGGTTTGTTTGTATATTTGTCAATTGATGAACACTTAGGTTGTTTCCACTTTCTGACTATGAATAATACTGGTATGAATATTTGTGTACAGATTTTTATGTGGATATATTTTTTTCATTTCTCTTATATATACACCTAGGAGTGGAATTGCTGGGGCATATGGTAACTCTATGTTTAACCTTTTGAAGAACTGCCACATTGTTTTCCAAAGCAGCTTTACCATTTTACATTTCCACCAGCAATGCATGAGGGTTTAAATTTCTCCACACCCTCTCCAACACTTGTTATTGTCTGTCTTTTTGATTGTAGTCATCCTAGTTGGTGTGAAGTGGTATTTCATTGTGGTTTTGATTTGCATTTCCCTGATAGCTAATGATGTTGAACATCTTTTCATGTGCTTATAGGCCATTTGTATATTTACTTTGGAGAAATGCCTTCAGATTGTGCTTTTCTAAAAGCATTCATTGCCAAATTTTACTTTGAATAATGTGCTTGAAATCAAAACATGAATCATATTATAGCTAGGACATTAAGTGTCACTTACCTTACCTTCCTTAGGGAATATTGGAAATTTGAAGGACATAAGGATTACTTTTGTTAATGGAAATTGACTTTGTCTTTTTTTTTTTTTTTTTTTTCAGTGCTACACTGGAATTTGGAAATCTAGATGAAAGTTCTCTGGTTCAAACAAATGGAAGTGACCTCAGTGCTGAAGACAGAGAGCTCCTGAAAGCTTATCATCATAGTTTCGATGATGAAAAAGTAGACTTGGATTTGATCATGCATCTTCTATACAATATCTGCCATAGTTGTGATGCTGGTAAATACGTGTTGTCTAAAAGAACTGGAGCAAAATATATACTTTAAGAATTAATATTTTAAGTGTACAAATTTTTATATAATTGCACTGATAGTAGTAAGTGAATAATCTCCTGTCATCTTATGATAGTTTACCAGTACTTGAAAACATGTGATACAGATTTTTATAATTCTGTTGATTGCCTCTGATTCACAATGAGATTTAATATTAAAAAGTCATTCTTCTCCAAGGTGCAGTACTAATTTTTCTGCCTGGATATGACGAAATTGTTGGACTGAGAGATCGCATCCTGTTTGATGACAAGCGGTTTGCTGACAGTACACATAGGTAAGGGCTAAAGCCTTATATCTGTTGCTTAAAATAACGGACAGGTCTTATAGTATGTTTTCTCTTTCAATTGTCTGCAGATACCAAGTCTTTATGCTTCATTCAAATATGCAAACATCCGATCAAAAGAAAGTATTAAAAAACCCACCTGCAGGTGTTCGAAAAATAGTAAGCTTCATAAAATCTTCTTTTTAACACTTTCATTAGTTATTTTTTCTGTTTTTTTATTAACTTTAAAGTAATATCTTGTTGCAGATTCTTTCCACCAATATTGCTGAAACCAGCATCACAGTCAATGATGTTGTCTTTGTTATTGATTCTGGTAAGGTGAAAGAGGTATGTATGGGTAAGTTGTAGTTTTACTTAAATGAAGAAGATTAAGTTCTACTTCAACAAATACTTTTATTTATTATTTAGTTGTTTTTCTTTTAATTTTACCTCTACTCAAGACAGCTTGGACCAGCGCATGCTTTTATAAGCAGAATTTACGAAAAATGTCTGGTTCTAGATAAATTTAACATACTAAATATTGATTTTACTAAATATTCTGCCTTAAATAATTCAGTATATAGAATCAATTTTTGTTATTTTAACAAAGTATACAAAAATGTAGCTCTGCTCACCAAATACTAGGAAGAAAGTAAAGGGTTTGGTTAGTTATAGTGAAAATGTTGTCACACAGTATGGGAATTTGATTACATATTTTTTATGTTTTCCTTCTACATATGCACATGGATTATGTCTTTGTTCACTGTTAAATCTTTAGTGCCTCACCTATAGCAGGTGTTCAAAAGATACTCAGTTCAAGAGAACCATGCTGAAAGAAAGCAAAGAAATAGATAAACCATGGGATAACCAGCAGCTAAATTGGACTTAACACTTGCTTTTGTAAAAAAAAAGTTTCATTGGAACTCAGCTAGTCTACTTTTACCTTTTCTCTATGGTTGCTGCCTTCATACTGCAAGGCAGATTGGAGTATTTGTAACAGAGACCCTCTCAAAGCCTAAAATATTTACTATTTGAAAGTCCTTTTCAAAAACAGCCAACCTTTGTTATAAAAAAAAAAAAGCCATTTATTTCCTTTTAGTACTGGAATGCCCAGCAGTTGTCCATGTTCCTAACTTTTGGTAGATAACATTCGCTGAAAAAATGAAAGTGGTAAAGATAATTGATTTTTCAAGGGAAGACATATTACTCATGTGTGGAAAGCAAATTATATCTATTTAGTGGATAAAAATGATCGTTTTTAATGTGAAAAAAGTAATTGCCTTATGTTTTCAATGTAATTTTAAGGAATATTTTATAGAAAATAAAATTTTATTATAAAAATTGGCCATATGCTTTATAATTGAATAAAGGTGGGATAAATTTTATTTTTATATAATAGTACATTAATGAGTATTATCACTAAAAATCTTAATGGTGAGCCAATGAAAATTCAGATTTTATTGCCCTAAAATTACCTAAAGTGGATAAAGTGGGTTTTGAATATTTTAGAAAGTTCCTTTAGGTGTTACTTATTTATTAAGTAACTGAAATTTAAAACATGGGTAGTGTCAAAAGTTATTTAACATACAAAATTGACAAATGTAATGTCATATTAAAAACCAAATAAGCTGTTTTCTAAAAATTTTATAAACTATTATGCAAACATTTTTATTTGCTCTATGCAGTTATTTTATGAAAGGGAAAGTATAAGTACCGAGTGACTGAAATACATGTTCTAGTTAGGCTTGTATTTCTTTAAAATATTTCTCTACAATAAATTTTCACTGTAGGTTATTTGAATAAGTATGTGGATAACAATGGTTCTTTTTTACTTTCTTCATTGTAACGTTCGGGAAAGGCTAACTTTGTTAGTAGCTCAGCAGGAAGTAAAGTGGAAGTGGTTAAAAATATTTCTCTTTGGGATAAGATTATTGATTGTTATTCTTACTCCACAAGGTTAGGTCCCTGAAAAGTATTTCAGAAAATGTCTTTCCTTGATCTTCTTATTCTGCACAGTGATGCAAATCTGATAGGAAAGTGACCTCAAGGGAATAGATCCGTTCTCTCCAATCTTGATGTCTTATGAGAACTGGCTGCCATTATCCAGCTGTGGCAGAGAGCAACAAATAGCTCAGCAGAGCACAGAATGGAGAAGTTTTACGCTCTTCTGAGTTTAGTTTTTAAATCCTTTTTTCTTAGTATGTTTGTAACCAGAAAATCAGGGTTTATTAAAAATCAGTACTGCTGTTTTAATTATTTAATCAAGAGAGGACTTTGAATTAAACTTTTGGCATGTTAAAATATGTTGATAACATTCTTGCTATTACCTTTTAAATACCTTTTATATTCTAACATAAAGATGGTTTAAATATTACAGAAATCCTTTGATGCTCTGAATTTTGTTACAATGTTAAAAATGGTATGGATTTCCAAAGCTAGTGCCATACAGCGGAAAGGCAGGTAATGTATATTTAATGTATATTCATTCAATTGCCTGTAAAATGGAAACGTTTTTATATGCATTACACATTTATCATATATTCCATGTTCAATAAAATAGTAGTTTTCATGTTAAAATTTTTATATTATTTTTGCAAAGCAAGCCATTTTGATACTTCCTTAAAAGTTGAATGTAGGTTATGTTAAAATTAAAAACTTTTGCCTAGTTAAATGTACATTCAGATGTAAGAAGCTTAAAAAACAAAACCAAAAATTCTAAACATATGCAATGTAGGACAAAGAGCTAATTTCCTTATTATATAAAGAAGCTCTTTGAAATCAACTAAAGGCCAATAATCCAGTTAAAATGGATAAAGGGCACAAATAGGCAATTTACCAAAATAAAAAATATGCATGTCCTACTAATACATTAACCTCACATATACTACCTAATATGTATCTAAATAAATGCAAATTAATGAGGTATTATTTTTTGAATCTCAGATGGGCATTGATGAAAATGTTTAACAGTATGTACAACATAGAGGAAAAACATGGGCCAATAGTCTTTCATATTTTACTGATGGGAGTATAGATTGGTGTGACTTCTTCAGAGTGCAATTTGAAACTATTTATCCAAATCTACTCTTTGACCATAGATTCCACTTGTCATAATTTATCCTGAGTATGCTTGCACACGTGTGCAAAGATGTATGTTTAAGACTGTTCTTTGAAGCATTGTTTATAATAATGTAAAGTCTGGGAACAGTGTGATGTCCATCAATACTGAAGTGATTAAATAAATTATAGCCACACAGTGGCTTTCTGGGTAGCTGTTAAAAGGAAAAATGTAGATCTGTGTGTTCTTATATGGAATGAGTTTTCAGGATGCATTGTTAATTGAAAGGATACAGAACATGCATCTAGTAGTCTTTTGTGGTAAGAAAAATATATGTGTGTTTGTGTATGTATTTTGACACAAATGCATCGAGAAGTCTGGGAGAAACATTAAAAAACAATGAATGATTGTTAACTCTGAGAAGGAGGATTTGTGGGGTTCTTGGAGTAAGGAGACAATTTTATTTTTTTTGTAATTTGGTTATTTTACTAAGTGTTTGGGTTACTTTTTAATTTTCAAAAGATAACATTAAAAAGTATCATTTTCAGTAAATATTTATCTTGCATTTTATTATAATTAGCAGGAAAACATGAAATGCTGACTTTCAAAGAATGCCTCATATACTGAAGACTCATGTGCATTATTTCTTTACTTTGTAACTTCATAGAATGCCCATGAGGGCTTTGTTGTTGTTATGTCAGTTGTTTTCTTATGACCAATAGTGGCTTGATACATTAAGCTGGATGTCCCTGCTATTAATAGTATATTATTGTGGGTAAGGCTGGGTGTAGTGGCTTATGCTTGTAATCCCAGCACTTTGGGAGCCTGAGGTGGAAGGATCACTTGAGTCTAAGAGTCTGAGACTAGCCTGGGCATCATAGTGAGACCTTGTCTCTACAAAAAATTAAAAAATCAGCTAGGTGTGGTGGCACAGGCCTGTGGGCCTAGCTACTTGGGAGGCTAAGGTGGGAGGATCATCTGATCCTGGGAGGTCGAGGCTGCAGCTGCCGTGAGCTGTGATCATACCACTCTACTCCAGCCGGAGCGACAGAGCCAGACACTGTCTCAAAAAAAATAAAATAACAAATAGTATATTATTGGAGATGAAGGCCAGAACTGCAAAAATTTTCATTGCCATTTTTCAACAAATGTTTATCAAAAGTCTTCCCTGTGCACATGTTACGGATAGTGATAAATAAACCATAGCCTGATAGGTAAAGCTGGAGGTAGGGCAAATGTTGCAGTCCATGTGGGAGTCCAGTAAATTAAGCAATTTTAATACAGTGTTATTTGTGCTACAACTGGATGTTTCCAGAGTTGTTAAGAATGAATCTGAGACAATTGTGAATAAAGGGGGAGGCATTTCTAAAAGGCAGAGGGAAAGTATAACCAGGTATACTTATTTGCCTAAAGGCAAGAGTGAATAGGGAGGATGTTTGGATAGAATTTAGTTTAGAGAATAGTGAAAAATGAGCTGAAAGTTGGGGACAAGTTTTTAAGGACCATTTTGAGTTTTCTCTCTTTTTTAAAAAAATAAACAGTGGGATGACATGAGTATAGTATTCTTTCAGCTCTCTGAAGAATGGATTGGCAGGAACAAAAATGATGGTAGGAGGACCCAGTAGGAGGCTTCTTCATTAATACTTTCCTATAATAAGGGAGAGATGAAAGTAGTCTGGATTGTTTTAGTGGTGGTGGAAATAAAAATAAATAGATAATTAATTCAAGAGATACTAAAGAAAGTAATGTTGGTGATTGATTGTGTATGTAGGGGGTGAGGGGTAAGGAAGAGAGTGGAGTTAAGGATGTCATCCAGGTTTCTGTCTTAAAAAATCGGACAGTAGTGCCATAGTCAGATAGGGAAAATTGGAAGAGTGTTTTCACTGGAGAGAATAATTAATTTTTGGTTATTTTGAGTTTGAGTTGCCTGTAGAAAATCGAAGTGGATTGGGAGGCTGAGGCGGGCAGATCACAAGGTTAGGAGTTCAAGACCAGCCTGGCCAACATGGTGAAACCCTGTCTCTAATAAAAATACAAAAATTAGCCAGGTGTGGGGGTGGGCACCTATAATCCCAGCTACTCAGGAGGCTGAAGCAGGAGAATCGCTTGAACCTGGGAGGCAGAGGCTGCATTGAGCCGAGACCACGCCATTGCACTCCAGCCTGGGTGACAGAGCAAGACTCCGTCTCAAAAAAAAAAAAAAAAGAAAATCTAAGTAGAGCTGTCTAAGAAGTTTCTCAAGTATAGGCCTAGAATTAGGATAAGAAGATATAATACAGATGGAAATTGAGGTTATGAATATAATTAAAGTTCCTTCAGGGGAGAGGGTAGTGTAAGAAGAGCAGATGGCTAAGGGTTCAATCTCAGAGGACCATAAACATTTAAGGACTAGGCAAATATAGAAATCTCTTAGAGGAGCCTGGAGGTAAGTCAGAGGCTGAAGGGTGGGTATAGTGTAGGGAAGTATAAGGGGTCTTCAAAAACTTTATGGAAAATGCATCTTATGAAAAAAATTATGCATGGAGTTCAAAAATTTTTTGCACCAAAATAAACTCATATTAACTTGTTATAACGTATCTGAACAGGATCTCATTTGAGGCACTAAGAAAGATAAGACATCAGTTTGAAAAAAGCCCCTACCAGAGCAACATGAATTCTTCTAAAATTGAAGTAAGAGCAAATATCACATTTATGGTGACAGTGCCCTGAAGAAATCAACAGTTTACAAATGGATAACTCATTTTAAGAAGGGATGAGATGATGTTAAAGATAAAGCCCATAGCACCAGACTGTCCATGTCAATTTGTGAGGAAAAAGAAATCTCATTTGTGCCCTAGTTGAAGAGGACCAACAATTAACAGCACAAAAATAGCCAACACTGTAGATATCACAGTTGGTTCAGGTTACCCAATTCTGACTGAAAAATTAAAAACTGAGCAGACTTTCCACTTGATGGGTGCCAAAACCATTGCTTCTAGATCAACTGCAGACAAGAGCAGAGCTTTCAATGGAAATTTTAAACAATTGGAATCAAGGTCCTGAAGCATTTCTTGGAAGAATTGTAACAGAAGATGAACCATGGCTTTACCAGTATGATCCTGAACACAAAGAACAACCAAAACTGACTACCAAGAGGTAGAAGTGGTCCAGTCAAAGCAAAAGCGGACTGGAGGTCATGGCAACAGTTTTTTGGGATGCGTAAGGCATTTTGCTTATCGAGTTTCTGGAGGGCCAAAGAACAGTAACTTCTGCTTATTATGACAGTGTTTTGAGAAGAGTTAGCTAAAGCTTTAGCAGAAAAACCCATAGGAAAGCTTCACTAGAAAGTCCTTCTCCACCACAGCAATGCTCCTGCTCATTCCTTTCATCAAACAAGGGCAATTTTATGAAAGTTTTTGTGGGAAATCATTAGGCATCCACCTTATAGTCCTGGCTTGGCTCCTTCTGAATTATTTTATTTTCTAATCTTAAAATACCTATAAAGGACTCCCATTTTTCTTAGGGTAATAATGTAAAACTGCATTGACATGATGACATTCCCTGGACCCTCAGTTCTTTAGGGAGGACTAAATGGCTGGTGTCATCACTTACAAAAGTGTCTTGAACTTAATGGTTGAGAAATTTTATTTTTTTCTCTTTTAATTCCATTTTTCCACAAACTTTTTGAAGTCCTCTTGTATTTGATGAAGGAAAGAGTTGATCAATAATGTCAGATTTTATAGCTCTTATAATGTGTTATAGTGATGATTGCCTATCTGGGTTGTGAGCTCCATGAAGACAAGAATATTTCTATATCTCTATCCCTAAGCATAGCTAGCCCTGCCATTAGCTGATATAGTGACTTTGGGTGAATTTAGGAGACTGCTTTTCTTCCAGGTATTTTTCTGCTGCTTCATAGAAAATTATGCAAGTCTTTATGATGACAGGATAAATGGCATTCCCTTGGAGCTGTGTAATGCATAATTTGTATGACTCTAATCACTGGGCCTGAACACAGTGCTTGATATAAGCTCAGTAAAATTGATTGAATTTAAATTACCAATATTCATTCATGCTTTGTTTTTTGCTCACTTTTATATGTATGCTATTTCTTTTGATTTTTACCATAACCCTACAAGATGTATCAGGTAGGTGTCCTTCATGAATCTCACTGTCTGAAATAATTGAGACCCAGACTAGTGAAGTGCTTTCCAAAATGATTGATAAGAGGATAAGAAACAGAATAGGATTTAAACTCAGGTATCCTGATCCTGGATCATTTTTCTCTTTCCTAAATCACATTGCGTTTACAGTTTATTGTAGCCTTTATTCGTTGTTTGAGTCCTAATCTTGTACTTTATTTTTAAGGGCAGGGCGATGTAGACCTGGAATTTGTTTTCGTCTGTTCAGTAGACTCCGATTCCAGAATATGTTGGAATTTCAGACTCCGGAACTTTTGAGAATGCCATTACAGGTAAAAATTTATTTAAATATAAAAGGCATTTTTTTGGGTGAGGGAAGTGAGGGGCCATTTCAACTTCTATGGATTAGGCCTTTAAAAAATCAATTTGTAAAACAAAATTATTCAATATATATTATGGAGGGTGGCTATGTCTATAACAAATATTTTTTCTATATAAGAAAATTTAATTCATAAACCATCAAAATTTTAAAGAATCACTTGAATATTTAAATTATGGTACAGTTTTAAAGGATATATATATATTTTTTATCTATCTATCTATCTATCTATCTATCTATATTTTTTTTTTTTTGAGTCAGAGTCTTGCTTTGTTGCCCAGGCTAGAGTGCAGTGGCGCGATCTCGGCTCACTGCAACCTCCACCTCCCGGGTTCAAGCGATTCTCTGGCCTCAGCCTCCCGAGTAGCTGGGATTACAGGCGCCCACCACCGTGCCCAGCTAATTTTTATATTTTCAGTAGAGACAGGGTTTCACCATCGTGACCAGCCTGGTCTCAAACTCTTGACCTCATGATTCACCCGCCTCAGCCTCCCAAAGTGCTGGGATTACAGGTGTGAGCCACCGCACCCAGCCATATTTTTTTAAATGCAGCATTTTATGAGTTTCAACTATATAGTGTTCACCTTTTAAGTTCTCAGAGGGATTAGCAAACAAATTATTTAAGGTCCAAAAGATAATATCCAAATCTCACTATAAGATGCTGAGATTATCTAGTAGTTTTAGAACTGAGTTCACTGAGATTTTCTGACCTCTATTAATTGTGGGTGTGTGTGTGTGTGTGTGTGTGTGTGTGTGTGTGTGTGTGTTTTAAGTTTTCTAACTTCATGGAACAGCCAGACCCTATAGCTTCTAGGGAAGATTAGCAGAATGCGTTTATTTGATTCTTTAGTGTGTTTGGCTAATGCTGGCTTCCCAACCCTTAAAGAGAGGCAGGATAATGTGTTAAACATCCATATACCTAAGATGATTTCCCACTTCCCAATGCTTATGTGTGATTTTCTGTTCCTCCTGGGAGAAAATTCAGAATCCTTAACAAGAGCATAAATTGCCTGTTCCTGCCTGTATTAATTGTGGGTGTGTGTGGGTGTGTGTGTGTGTTTTAAGTTTTCTAACTTCATGGAACAGCCAGACCCTATAGCTTCTAGGGAAGATTAGCAGAATGCATTTATTTGATTCTTTAGTGTGTTTGGCTAATGCTGGCTTCCAAACCCTTAAAGAGAGGCAGGATAATGTGTTAAACATCCATATATCTAAGATGATTTCCCACTTCCCAATGCTTATGTGTGATTTTCTGTTCCTCCTGGGAGAAAATTCACAATCCTTAACAAGAGCGTAAATTGCCTGTTCCTGCCTGTGTCTCCAGTCACAGGAAGGAAGGAACAGGTGATTTCTTGTTACTTATCCTCTCTTACACCATTGGTTTTAGTTTCTCAAGCACGTCTTTTTTCCTTCTGCCTTACAGCTTTCACAGGTATCTACTCTCTCCTTAGATTGTTTCCCCTTATTCCTTATATAGTTACTCCTACTCAATCTTTACATCTTAGTTTAAGTGTCTTTCTTCAGGAAAACTATCTGTAACTTCCCATGGTCTCCCTCTCCCACCCTTTTCTGAACTTGCTTAAATCATATTTACTTATTTAGCTCCCTATAGCCTTCATAGCACTGACGATAATCGTAATTAAGTAGTTAATTATATAATTAATTATTTAAAGTCTGCTTATTCATATTACAGTGTAAACTCAATGAGAATGGACACTTCCTTCTGTCCCCTTCTTTTTCTCCAATTTGCACAGGGCCTTGCACTTAGAAAGCACTTAAATATTTGCTGAGTAGATAAAATATTCTAGAATGTAGTAAGTATAAAGGGGGGAAAAGATTTTTTTTTTTTTGGACAGTGACTATGAATGTTATGTATACGAACAGTGTGAGGAGATGTTGCCAATGGGAGCAATGGCAATCTTGGTATAAGTTGATTGAAGAGGGTATTTATTAAGGTTCTGGCATCTAGGGCAAAGTATGAGCTCATCTTTTACAGAAAGACATTGTTCCTTCTACTGTTCATTCTAATCAGAGACTCTACTAGTCTGTGTTTGGGAACTGTAGTTCCCATGATTTCTTTAAATGTGTAGGTTAGTATTCTTTTTAATTTTAAAAAATTATTTACTGTTTTGGTTTATAGGAACTTTGCTTACATACCAAGCTGTTAGCCCCAGTTAATTGTCCCATTGCTGATTTTCTTATGAAAGCTCCTGAACCTCCACCAGCTTTAATTGTAAGAAATGCTGTACAAATGCTTAAGGTTGGTGTCTTCATAGTTTTATTTTACATGACATTTTTACTTGAAATTTTAAACTAAAAGGAAATATGTCTTAACTAATTTTGTATAATTATTTTTTATTTTTGTCCTCCTGCATGTGTCCAGATAAACTAATTTTGTACTTTTAAACAATTATCTTAAATGATCATGTACTTTAAATAATATTGTCATGTATGAAACAGTAGATATAGTTCTTTTATATAGTATAATAGAAACGAAATATATTTTTATGAGATGTAGTAGCAAAAGAAAATCTATATTCTTATTTCTCATTTAGGGGTTTTTAATTATGTGTTTTGATTAAACAGTTTGCTCACATCAAAGTCTGTTCTGTCTCCTTTTACTTAGACAATAGATGCAATGGATACATGGGAAGATCTGACTGAACTTGGGTATCATTTGGCTGACTTGCCAGTAGAACCACATCTTGGTAAAATGGTCTTGTGTGCTGTTGTTTTAAAGTGTCTGGACCCCATCCTTACAATTGCTTGCACACTAGCTTATCGAGATCCTTTTGTACTACCTACTCAGGCCTCTCAAAAACGTGCAGCTATGCTTTGTAGGAAACGTTTTACTGCAGGAGCTTTCAGTGACCATATGGCACTTCTCAGAGCATTCCAGGTACTATTACTGTCATTTTATTTCTGAAGACGTTGCTGGGTAAACACGTTTCTGGGGCAAATGTAGGAATTTTAAAAATAATTTATAAATTTTAAAATTGCATTAATTTTGTTTCATTATGAAGTCACATTAATAGTCCTGAAAAATATCTTCTTGCTGTTGTTATGTTAAAATTAAAACAGTTTTGCTCTTTTTTCCCATTTTCTCCTTATAGGAATATATGTGTGTATTTGTATATATATTTATTTGTGTTTATGCTTCTATTACCAGGTTTCTTTAAATCATGTCTTGGGCAAGGAATGTTCTAAAATTTCAGTTAAGAAATACTGTATACTATTTAAAGTACATAGAATAAAGCTTATAAGAAAATTATATTGATGTAATATCTATCGATTTTTCTTAGAGTTCAGCCTTTTTCTTGTTTGCTCAAGACACTATGCTGAGAACTTAATTTTGTAAAGCAAAATACAAAAATCACTTAAAAACCTTTTAAGATAATGGTAATGGCAAGTTGAGGAAAGAGGCAAATGGAAAAGAAAAGATGGGGAAAATAGGATCCTGGGGAAGACAAATTAAATGTAATTTAGAATTTCAGATATGTGGGGAAGAATATGTTATTTCTTGAAAACATAGGCATTGTATTTATTCTCAAATCTTCTTGAATGTCGACTGTGTCTATACATTTTTTTGTTGTTGTTTTTTGAGACAGTCTTGCTCTGTCACCCAGGCTGGAGTGCAGTGGCACAGTCTTGGCTCATTGCAACCTCAGCCTCCCAGGTTCAAGCAGTTCTCCTGCCTCAGCCTCCCGAGTAGCTGGGGTTACAGGCACCCACCACCATGCCCAGCTAATTTTTGTGTTTTTAGTAGAGACAGGGTTTCACCATGTGGGCCAGGCTGGTCTCGAACTTCTGACCTCAAGTGATCTGCCTGCTTTGGCCTCCCAAAGTGCTGGGATTACCATGTGTGAGCCACCATGCCCAGCCATATTTTTTAAAAATCTAACTTTGTTTATGCAGAAAGTACTCTTTTTCAGACACAGAAGATTTTTTCACCACATATAATTTTCAAAAATAATTACAAGCTCTTTTGTGAGTATTGATCAATGGATAACTCATTGTTATTAATTGGGTATATTAAATACCATATATTATAGTAGATAGTTGAGTGAGAAGTAGAGGGAGATTTAGAGTAGAATTTCTATCTGTTCTTTGCTTTTCCCCCAGCTCCTTCAAAAGCAGAGAGGATAAATTATTGCTTCAGTCTTTTAGTTATATATATACCAAAGCAAGAGAACCTATTCACAGAGGAGAGCTTTTTATACTGCATATAGATGATTTATAGAAATCCTACTTTCCATTCTTAGGTAGAGTCCAGGGTTGACATAGAGATTATTTTTTGGAGGACAAGAGTGGCACGATTCTTAGATATAAGTGTTAAGAAGTCTTAGTTGAAAACCTATACTTTTGTAGAGAGTAAAATTAGCAGATGCATCTGAGAAGGCAAATATTTTTACATTGTTAGTCATTTAGGCTACTTGACACTTAGTTCTCTTTGCGATTTTATAAACTCAATGGCTTTTTTAGCATTTGAGTATAAATTAATGATAAATATTATTTGATCATAAAGTCTTAGATTTTATAGAAAATTAGAATAAGGCAAATTCACGTCGAGGAATTCGTGTAGTGATTTGTAGTTACTTGTTGCCTCACTAAGAAGCGATTAGTAAATGTGTCTTGTTATGCAATTATTCTCTTTTTATAGGCCTGGCAAAAAGCACGAAGTGATGGGTGGGAGCGAGCCTTTTGTGAAAAGAATTTTCTTTCACAGGCTACTATGGAAATAATCATAGGCATGAGAACACAGTTGCTTGGTCAACTTAGAGCATCAGGTAAAGTTTTTCCCTCAAAGAGCCTATTTAAGTTACTGAGAGTACCCTGCCCATATTTCATAGTATTTCTTATGTTAACTGATGCCATCTATTATTTTTATGACATTATCATGTTGTGTATCTTATATTCATGCATGATTTGTAGACTTCGATATGTCTTCAACTTTTGCTTGTTGATGAAAAAATGCTATTGCAGGAGGTGTATTTGAGAAATCTAGGGACAGAATCTATATGCTTGTGATACTGTTGGCAATGAACAATTTGTATTGGTTGGCAGAGATCAATTTAGATCTTATAGTTATTTTCTTTTATCACCATTAATGAATACTTATTTAGTTCTGTGAAATAGAAATTTTAAAAAATTGATATGAATGCTGCTCTTCATATTTTTGGAACACAAAAACAGCTAGTAATACTTGAAGTCACCTTTTTTTTTTTTTTTTTTTGAAGAGGATGCTAGTATTGCTATTACCTTTTAGAATTGCCTTTTTGAGTAGCAAAAAAAAATTGATGTGGTAGTCAGAAGAATAGTACCAGAGCCTGGATTCATGGGTTAGCTGAAGTGCCAGAGTAATATAAGGAATGAACCAGAGGACTTAAGAGTTGACTTGAACATAAGGAAATATGAAGGACTTTTGAAACTCAAGCAAAAATTACCATATATTTACTTGACTTCATCTACAGAATTAGTATCTATCATAACCAAAATGTTGTTAATAACAGTCAGAAGAATGGTTTGGGTTTCCAGCTATGAATTTAGTTTGTTTCTGGCAGCAGATTATGAAGAACTTTATTGCAAGAATGTGGATCTAAAAAAATTTAAGCCCCAAGTGATTCTTATACTTAATCTAACCTGAGCAGATCTACACTTCCCTAGAATGTTGGTTCTGTATCTGTTTTAGGGTGGGGAGGGGTGGTTCATATTTTAAACAACTTTCCAGAGGAGATTCTATTAATTATCGTGAAATTTGAATATCACAAAATTTACATGAGTTGTACAAGTTTTTGGAAAAAATACACAAAAGTATCTTTTGCACAATAGAAAAATTGGTGTGGTTTTTTTCCCCTCTAGGTTTTGTTAGAGCACGAGGTGGTGGTGACATTCGGGACGTTAACACAAACTCTGAGAATTGGGCTGTCGTTAAAGCTGCATTGGTGGCAGGCATGTATCCTAATTTAGTCCACGTGGACAGAGAGAATCTAGTGTTGACAGGGCCAAAGGAGAAAAAAGTACGATTTCATCCTGCTTCAGTTCTCAGTCAGCCTCAATATAAAAAGGTAAAAGATTTTGAATGCTGTTGGGTTTTGAGGTGAAACTAATTTAGGTAGTTCACTATCAATGAAAAATGCTCCAAATACCTGCCTGCTTTAAGAAATTAATTAGTTATATATATATATATATATATATCATTAAATATTGGAACAAAACTTATAAATTTTAGAGTTGGAAAAGGTAACATGTTAAGTAATGAGTACTTTTGTACGAACTACATGAGCGATGACTTGTTTTAATTTTTGCTTACGTACTAATATACATCATCTATTTCATTGAGAGACTTTACATTTTAAAAGTATTTCCAATAAACTAGGTGATAAACACAATTAACAATTTTTAAAATTTATTTTCTTAATAGATTCCTCCAGCCAATGGTCAAGCTGCAGCAATTAAGGCACTGCCCACAGATTGGCTTATTTATGATGAAATGACCAGAGCCCATAGAATAGCTAATATTAGATGTTGTTCAGCAGTGACGCCTGTCACTATATTGGTATTCTGTGGACCAGCTAGATTGGCAAGTAATGCTCTTCAGGAACCTTCATCCTTTAGAGGTAAATGTATTAAGGAAATAAAAATCTATTTGAAATGAATTTTTTTTTTTTACCAAATAATGAAATTATTTTACTAAACCAAATAATGAAATTATAAAGATTTATATAGTAGCAGCTCTATTTTGATGTACTAAGACTAATTAGGAAATACTAAGGTATACTACTGTTTTTGAAATTTATTTATAAGGTAACTTGATGTTTATTTGTGCATTTTTTATTAATCTTGCTGTTGGGAAGAAATTTTTCTTTTCCACTTGAATTTAAATGATAGTTTAACGTAAATAAAGTTAATTGTAAAAGAAATAATAGCCACCCATAATCTCATTTTTCTCATGCTAACACTTTTTAATGTTATATTTTTTCTACATGTTTACATATTTTAAATTATTTCACCCAAACTGTTATTTTATATTTTGTTATTTTCATTACAGAGATATCAAAAATATTTTTAGTATTTTATATTAATGACTGCAAAATAGTATATCACATTGAAGTGGCATAATGCATTTTTTTCCTTCAACTTTTATTTTAAGTTCAGGGGTACATGTGCAAGATGTGCAGTTTTGTTGCATAGGTAAAGGTGTGCCATGGTGGTTTGCTGCACAGATCATGACATCATGTATCTATCAAGCCCAGTGTCCATTAGCTATTCTTCCTGATGTTCTCCCTACCCTCTACCACACACCCCCAGTAGGCCCCAGTGTGTGTTGTTCCCCTGTCTGTGTCCATGTGTTCTCATCATTCAGCTCCCACTTATAAGTGAGAACATGCGGTGTTTGGTTTTCCATTCCTGCATTAGTTTGCTGAGGATAATGGCTTCCAACTTCAGCCATGTCCCTGCAAAGGACATGATCTAATTCCTTTTTATGGCTGCATAGTATCCCATGGTGTATATGTACCATATTTTCTTTATCTAGCCTACCATTGATGGGCATTTGGGTTGATTCCATGTCTTTACTATTGTGAATAATGCTGCACTGAACATACAAATGTACTTATCTTTATAATAGAATGATTTATATTCCTTTGGGTATTTACCCAGAAATGGTATTTCTGCCTCCAGGTCTTTGAAGAATCACCATGCTGTCTCCCATGGTGGTTGAATTAATTTACACTAGTGTAATTTAATTACACAGTAGTGTAAAAGTGTTCCTTTTTCTCTACAACCTCACCAGCATGTTGTTTTTTGACTTTTTAATAATAGCAATTCTGATCTCATTGTGGTTTTGAATTGCATTCCAGTAATGATCAGTGACGTTGAGCTTTTTTTCATATGTTTGTTGGCCACATGTACATCTTTTGAAAAGTGTCTGTTCGTGTCCTTTGCCCACTTTTTAATGGGTTGTTTTTTCTTGTAAATTTGCTTAAGTTCCTTGTATACTCTGGATATTAGACCTTTGTCAGATGGATAGATTGCAAAAATTTTCTCCCATTCTGTAGGTTGTCTGTTTCCTCTGATGATAGTTGTTTCTTTTGCTGTGCAGAAACTTTAGTTTAATTAGATCCCATTTGTCAATTTTTGCTTTTGCTGCAATTGCTTTTGGCGTTTTTATCATGAAATCTTTGCCTGTGCCTATGTCCTGAATGGTATTGCCTAGATTTTCTTCGAGGGTTTTTATGGTTTAGAGTTTTACATTTAAGTCTTTAATCCATCTTGAGTTAATTTTTGTCGAAGGTGTTAGGAAGGGGCCCAGTTTCAGTTTTCTGCATATAGCTAACCAGTTCTTTCAGCACCATTTGTTAAATAAGGAGTCCTTTCCTCATTGCTTGTTTTTGTCAGGTTTGTTAAAAATCAGACGGTTGTAAGTGTGTGGTCTTATTTCTGAGTTCTCTATTCTGTTCCATCATTCTATGTGTTTGTTCTTATACCAGTACCATGCTGTCTTGGCTACTGTAGCCCTGTAGTATAGCTTGAAGTCGGGTAGCGTGATGCCTCAGCTTTGTTCTTTTTGCTTAGGATTGTCTTGGCTATATGGTCTCTTTTGGTTCCATAAGAATTTTGAAATCGTTTCTTCTAAGTCTGTGAAGACTGTCAGTATAATGGGAATAGCATTGAATCTGTAAATTTCTCTGGGCAGTATGGCCATTTTCATGATATTGATTGTTCCTATCCATGAGCATGGAACGTTTTTCCATTTGTTTATGTCCTCTCTGATTTCTTTGAGCAGTGATACGTAGTTCTCCTTGAAGAGGTCCTTCACTTCCCTTATTAGCTGTATTCCTAGGTATTTTATTTTACTTTATTTTATTTTATTTCATTTTTTTGAGATGGAGTCTTGCTCTGTCACCCAGGCTGGAGTGCAGTGGCACAATCTCAGCTCACTGTAACCTCCGCCTCCTGGGTTCAAGCAATTCTCCTGCCTGAGACTCCTGAGTAGCTGGGATTACAGGCACGCACCACAATTCCTGGCTAATTTTTGTATTTTTACTAGAGACAGGGTCTCACCATGTTGGGCAGGGTGATCTTGAACTCCAGACCTCAAGGTGATCCATCTGCCTGCCTTGGCCTCCCAAAGTGCTGCAATTACAGGCGTGAGCTATCATGCTTGGCCTTTTCCTATGTATTTTATTTTTGTTGCAATTGTGAATGTGAATTCATTCATGATTTGGCTCTCTGCTTGCCTGTTGTTGGTATATAGGAATGCTAGCAATTTTTGCACATTGATTTTATATCCTGAGACTTTGCTGAAGTTGCTTATCAGCTTAAGAAGCTTTTGGACTGAGATAATGGGTTTTCTAGATGTAGATCATATCAACTACAAACAAAGATAATTTGACTTCCTCTTTTCCTATTTGAATACTCTTTATTTCTTTATTTTGAGATGGAGTCTCACTTTGCCGCCCAGGTTGGAGTGCAGCGGTGTGATCTCAGCTCACTGCAACCTCCGCCTTCTGGGTTCAAGCAATTCTGCTGCCTCAGCCTCCGGAGTAGCTGGGATTACAGACGTCTGCCACCATACTCCACTAATTTTTTTTGTATTTTTAGTAGATTTGGCATTTCACCATGTTGGCCAGGCAGGTCTCAAACTCCTGACTTCAAGTGATCTACCACCTCGGCCTCCCAATGTGCTGGGATTATAGGCATGAGCCACTGCACCCACCCGACGTGAATACTCTTCATTTTTTTCTCTGGCCTGATTTCCTTGGCCTGAACTTCCAATCCTATGTTGAATAAGAGTGATGAGAGAGGACATCCTTGTACTGTGACAGTTTTCAAGGAGAATGCTTCCTGCTTTTGCCCATTCAGTATGATACTGGCTGTGGGTTTGTCATAAATAGCTCTTATTATTTTGAGATATGTTCCTTTACTACCTAGTTTATTGAGTTTTTAACACGAAGACATGTTGAATTTTATTGAAGGCCTTTTCTGCATCTATTGAGATAATCATTTGGTTTTTGTCTTTAGATCTGTTTATGTGATGAATTATGTTTATTGATTTGCATATGTTGAACCAGCCTTGCATCCCAGGGATGAAGCCAACTTGATTGTGGTGGACAAGCATTTAGATGTGCTGCTGTATTTGGTTTGCCCATATTTTATTGAGAATTTTTGCACTGATATTCATCAGGGATATTGGCCTGAAGTTTTCTTTTTTGTTGTATCTCTGTCAGGCTTTGGTATCAGTATGATGCTGGTCTTACAGTATGAGTTATGGAGGAGTCCCTCCTTTTCAGTTGTTTGGAATAGTTTCAAAAGAAAGGGTATCAGCTCTTCTATGTACTTCTGGTAGAATTCAGCTGTAAATCCATCTGGTTGGGCTTTTTTGGTTGGTAGGCTCTTTATTACTGCCTCAATTTCCAAACTTGTTATTGGTCTATTCAGGGATTCAGCTTCTTTCTGGTTCAGTCTCAGGAGTATGTATGTGTCCAGGAATCTACCTCTTTCTTCTAGATTTTCTAGTTTATTTGCATAGAGGTGTTTATAGTATCCTTTGATGGTAGTTTGTATTCCCATGGGGTCAGTGGTGAGATCCCTTGTATCATTTTTATTGTGTCTATTTGATTCTTCTCTCTTTTCTTCTTTATTAATCTAGCTAGCAGTCTGTTTTATTGATTTTTAAAAAGAACCAGCTTTTTGATTTGCTGATTTTTTTGGAGGGTTTTTCCTGTCTCTATCGCCTTCACTTCTGCTCTGATATTAGTTATTTCATGTCTTCTGCTAGCTTGGGTTTGTTTTCTCTTTGTTCTCTAATTTTTTAAATTGAGATGTTAGGTGGTTAACTTGAAATCTTTCTAGCTTTCTGATGTGTTCATTTAGTGCTATGAATTTCCGTCTTAACACTACTTTAGCTGTGTCCCAGAGATTGTGGTACATTGTCTCTTTGTTCTCATTACTTTCAAATAACTTCTTGATTTCTGCCTTAATTTTGTTATTTACCCAAGAGTCATTCAGGAGCAGGTTGTTCAGTTTCCATGTAGTTGTGTGGTATTGAGTGAATGTCTTAGTCTTGAGTTCTAATTTGATTGTGCTGTGGTCTGATAGACTGTTATGATTTTACTTCTTTTACATTTACTGAGGAGTGTTTTACTTCCAGTTATGTGATCAATTTTAGAATAAATGCCATGTGGCGATGAGAAGAATGTATATTCTCTTGTTTTTGGGTAGAGAGTTCTGTAGATATCTATCAGGTCCACTTGATCCAGAGCTGAGTTCAGGTCCTGAATATCTTTGTTAATTTTCTGTCTTGATGATCTGTCTAATGTTGTCTGTGGGGTGTTAAAGTCTCCCACTATTATTGTATGGGAGTCTAAATCTCTTTGTAGGTCTCTAAGAACTTGTTTAATGAATCTGGGTGCTCCTGTATTAGCTTGCATATATATTTAGGATCATGAGTTCTTTTTGTTGAATTGAGCCCTTTACCACTGTGTAATGCCTTTCTTTGATCTTTATGGTTTAAAGTCTGTTTTATCAGAAACTAGGATTGCAACCACTGCCTTTTTCTGTTTTCCATTTGCTTGGTAAATTTTCCTCCATCCCTTTCTTTTGAGCCTATGTGTGGCTTTGCATGTGAGATGGGTCTTTTGAAGACAGCATACTCGTGGGTCTTGGCTCTTTATCCAGTTTGCCATTCTGTGCCTTTCACTTGGGACATTTACCCCATTTACCTTCAATATTACTTTTATGGTTATGTATTGTTATGTGTGAATTTGATTCTGTCATGATGCTAGCTGGTTATTTTGCAGACTTGTTTATGTGGTTGCTTCATAGTGTTACTGGTTTGTGTACTTCCGTGTGTTTTTGTAGTGGCTGGTAATGGATTTTTCCCTTTCATATTTAGTGCTTCCTTCAGGAGCTCTTGCAAGGCAGGCCTGGTGGTGACATATTCCCTCAGCATTTGCTTGTCTGAAAAGGATCTTATTTCTCCTTCACTTATAAAGCTCAGTTTGGCTGGATATGAAATTCTGGGTTGGAAATTCTTTTCTTTAAGAGTGTTGAATATTGGCCCCCAATCTCTTCTGGCTTGTAGGGTTTCCTCTTAGAGGTCTACTGTTAGTCTGATGGGCTTCCCTTTGTATGTAACCTGGCCTTTCTCTCTGGCTGCCCTTAACATTTTTTCTTTCCTTTAGACCTTGGAGAATCTGATGATTTTTTTGTCTTGGGGTTGATCTTCTCATGGAGTATTATACTAGGGTTCTCTGGATTTCCTGAATTTGAATGTTGGCCTGTCTTGCTAGGTTAGGGAAGTTCTGGATGATATCCTGAAGTATGTTTTCCAGCTTGGTTCTATTCTCTTTTATCTTTCAGCTACCCCAGTCAGTTATAGGTTCAGCCTCTTTATATAATCCCATATTTCTTGGAGGTTTTGTTCATTTCTTTTTTCATTCTTTTTTCTCTATTCTTGTCTGCCTGTTTTATGTCAGAAAGACGGTCTTCAAGCTCTGAGATTCTATTCTCTGCTTGGTCTGTGCTTCTGTTGATACTTGTGATTGCATTGTGAAGTTCTCCTGTTGTGTTTTTCAGCTCCGTTAGGTCGGTTATGTTCTTCTCTAAACTGGCTATTAGCTCCCGTATTGTTTTATCATGATTCTTAGCTTTTTTGCATTGGGTTACAATATGCTTCTTTAGCTCAGCGAAGTTTGTTATTACCCACCTTCTGAAGCCTACTTCTGTCATTTTAGCCATCTCAGCCTCAGCCCAGTTCTGTGCCCTTGCTAGAGAGGTATCACAATCATTTGGAGGAGAAGAGGCACTCTGGCTTTTTGAGTTTTCAGCATCTTTGCATTATTTCTCACCTTTGCGGGCTTATCTACCTTTGATCTTTGAGGATGCTGACCTTTGAATGAGGTTTTTGTGGAGTCTTTTCTGTTGATGTTGTTGTTGTTTTCTGTTTGTTTTTCTTTTAGAGTCAGGCCAGTCTTCCATAGGGCTGCTGCGGTTTGCTGGGGCTCCCCACCAGACCTCAGTTGCCTCAGTTTTTCCTGTACCTGGAGGTATCACCAGTGAAGTCTGCAAAACAGCAAAGATGGAAGCCAGCTCCTTCCTCTGGAAGTTCTGTCCTGGGGGTTATTGGCCTGTTGCTGGCCCACATGCATCTGTAGGAGGTGACTGGAAGCCCCTGTTCTGAGGTCTCACCCAGTCAGGAGGAATGAGATCAGGGACCTGTACAAAGAAGCAGTCTGGCTGCTTTTTGATACAGCAGGTGTGCTGCATTGGTGGGAACCCTTCCTCATCCAGACTGCCTGTATAGCCATCAGGCTGGAGTGGCTGAGTCAACCAAACCACAAAGATAGCAGCCACCCCTCCCCCTGGGAACTCGGCCCCATCTCAGACAGACCAACCCACTGCTGTTGGCTGGCTGGCATCCCAAGCCAGTAGGTCATAATTGGTGAGGTGCCATGGAAGTGGATCCCACAGAATGATGCTGCTTGGCTTCCTGGATTCAGCCCCCTTCCTAGGGATATGTACAAACAGATTTCCTGCCTTGCTAGGGATCCCAGGGCCAGAGTATGTAAAACTCCTACGTTTCTGTGTGTGCCTGAGTGGCTGCTCTGCCAACACTCCACACAGATCTGTGGCATGGGCTCACAAAGGGATCCCCTGATTCACAGGTTGCAAAGATCCATGGGAGAAATGTGGTTTCCCGGGAGGGGTCATATAATCACTCACTGCTTCCCTTGGCTGGGGGTGAGGGTTCCTTTTGCTCTGTGCTGCTCCTGTGTGGGCTGTCGCCTTCACCTACTTTTCTTCATTCTCCATGGGTTGATTTGTATGTATGCCTAGTATGTCCGAATGTGAGAACCTGGATATTTCAGTTGAAGATGCTGAATTCATTGTGCCTTTTCATTCTTCTTTGTGAGTGCCGCAGACTGCAGCTGTTTCTAATAAGCCATCTTGATTGATCCCCTGGCATAACACATTTAAAATGTTCCTTCATAGTTAGACATCTTGATGATTTCAAATTATTTGCTATTTAATGATTCAGCAAATATTTAGTACCTACTATATGTCAGGTACTGTGCTAGACATTGAAGGTATAACAGTGTGTGTCTGTCCTTAGGAATTTACACAGTAGTGAGGGTAGACAGACAGTAAAAAATAAATAATCTGCATGATACTATTAAGGAAATACAAAGAGGATCGCCTTAGGGGTGACCTACTTGAAAGAAAGCCTAGACACGTTTTTCTGAGAAGACTTAAACTGAGACCTACAATATGAGAAGAGCCAGCCACATGAAAAGCAGAAATGTGCTGCAGGTAGAGAAAGAGGGAAAGCACCAAGATTCTGTGCTAGGAAATTATCTAGGAATTGACAGAAAGGCTGTGTGATTGGAGTGCACTGGTCAATGGAAGAGGGCAATGATAAGGTTGAAAGGAAAGCAAGGACTTGTAGGCCATAGAAATGCAAAGAAAAGGAAGTCATTAAAAGGTTTTAAGTAAAGGAATGACATGACGTGGTGTGTTCCAAAAGGTCATTTTGGCTAAGGGGATGAATTACAGGAGTAATTACAAGAATAGAAGAGTGGAGGCAGGTAGGAGGCTTTTGCAGTGGTCTTCTAACAAGATGATGGCTCAGATAGGATAGTGATCGCTGATATGAAGAGAAGTAGATATAAAATTATTTTGAAGGTACTAGTAACTGCTAGATTGAATGTGGGTAGTAAGGGAAAGGGAGGAGTCAATTCTCAGATTTTGGTTATAGTAGCTTGTCACTCATTTGAGATTCAGAAAACGAAGGAGCAAGTCGTGTAGGGGAGAAATTAAGGGTTCTTTTTAGACATGTTAAGTTTGAGATGGCTAAGACACTCTAAGTAAATTTTTTTTTAGGAAGCAGTTGGATATGCATTTTTGGAGCTCAGGGAAGATGTCTGGGCTAGCAATACAAATTTGGAAGTCATCAGCTTGTAAATGATATTTATAGACATGAGAATGGATTTCTTAAAGAGAATATATAAATTTGAGTAGTGGAAGAGTGATTCAGTGTTGGAGGCAAATCTGTTTCAAGAAAGGAGTGGTTAGCTCTATTGAATGTGCTTTGAGAGACTGAGGGCATTAAGTTTGTATGAAGAGAGTAGAAATAGTATGATTGATAATTTATGAGATTATGGGGCATTGCTACATTGACATCTTCATCAGTGTGTCCTTTTGCTTTAATTCATTTAATATTTTCTTCGTGATAAAACTCTTTGAAGTGGGAATTACTTGATAAAAATGTATAGATATTATTCATGGTTCTTTCTCCATACTCAACCATATTAGCACCGTTAAGAGTGAATTTCATGGCAACTATGCCATCATTTGGTGTTGGTTTTAAAGATAAAATATTTAAAGATTCCTTCATTTGCTCTTTTTATTTCTGTCAAAAAGAAATAACTCTCCATGCATTTCTTTATATTGCCCTTTAGTTGAGTTGTTTTTTTCATCTTCTGCCCATTTATTTGGGTACTGATATTTTACTCAAAAATTTGAATGATAGCGTTATAATTTAAAGATGTTATTAATCTTTTTTCTGTCATGTTTAAGTCAATCTATTATTCATTTTGGTGTTAGTATTTTGAGTTCTGAGTTTTGATTGCTGTGTATTTAAACTGAATAATCTTTTCCTATACTATTCACTTTCAAAGCTGAGAAAATTTCATCCCTCCATTGATGTGATAAGTATTGTTTTTGTTTTCTATAATTTGATTTTTAATATTTTTTATAACCATGTTGAGTTGATTCTGGCCTAAAACAAAGATCTAAGTTTTTCCAAGTGCTTTCCCCTCATCTGTACAATTTATTAAACAGTTCTTATATATCCTCCTTTAGAAAGCTTGCATGATTGCATGGTAAATTTGGTATCTTTAACCTTTTTGTATACTCTATTCCTTTACATTTCTGCCTTTATATTGCACCTTTTTATTTAGTATTTTTATTTATTAATAAATTCTAATATCTGGTAGTAGAAGCTCTAGCTGTAACTCTTTACTGCCTTTCTGTTATTGAGCTATTGTTTGATAATCTTACCTATTTTTAAATAATGAATATTCATTAGTCATCTTCTTGTAATCCTTTTGCAAACAACAGTTCTTTTGTGTTTGTTTGTTTGTTTGTTTGTTTGAGACAGAGTCTTGGTCTGTCCCTCAGGCTGAAGTACAGTGGTGCAATTACAGCCTACTGCAATCTCTGTCTCCCAGGCTCAAGTGATCCTCCCACCTCAGTCTCTCGAGTAGCTGGGACTAAAGGCACACACCACCATGCCTGGCTAATGTTCATATTTTTTGTAGAGATGGGGTTTTGCCATGTTGCCCAGGCTGGTCTCAAACTTCTGTGCTCTTACAATCTGCTCACCTCGGTCTCCCAAAGTGTTGGGATTACAGGCGTGAGCCACCGCACCTGGCCTCTTTTGTATATTAATTTAATGTTTCCATCCAGGAAATTTAGTATCTTTTAATTAGCCATACCTTATTTTAAATTTATCTTAAAAAATATATATTTTTGGTAACTTTTATAAAGTTTGGGGATATTTCCTAAGGTGATTCTTAAGATTCTTTTGTTGCTGTTTTTAGTTGTCATGGTGAATGGATTCTCTTTGTGTAATTTTCTTGCTGAACTTTAGAAACATTATTGCAGACATTATATATTTTATGTACCTTGTTACTTTATTAAACTCATTAATCCTTTGGATTTTGTATTTATTGAATTATATTACCTTCAGGTGGTAATACTTCCATTTATTACCAAAATGTATTCCTTTTATTTCTTTCTGAGGATATTAGAAAACTGAATTAAGGTCCATTTTGTCTTACTGAATTTTAAAGGTTCAAATTCTAAAGTTATACTATTGATTATAATGTTAATTTTAATAAAAGTGTCCCTTTTAAATAACGGAATAGTGTTTGTGTGTGTGTATCTGTGTGTGTGTGTGTGTTTTTGTTTTTAAGAGACAGGGTTTCACTCTGTTATTCCGGATGTAGTGCAGTGGTGCAGTAGTCATAGCTCACTGTAACCCTGAACTCCAAGGCTCAAGTGATCCTCCCACCTTAGCCTCCTGAGTAGCTGGGACTATAGGCATGAGTCACCACACCTGGCATAGAAGGTTTTGTTTTGTTTTGTTTTGTTTTGTTTTTTTGTGTATGTGTTAAAAATTTGTTGAATTTACTAAATAGCATTTGAGCATTTGTTCATATAATCAGAAATTATTTAGCCTATTGATGTGGTATATAGATTTTCTTATGGAACTGCTATTTTGTTCTGAGAATAAACCTTCCTTGGACTAAGTGTGATTTATTACATTGCTGGATATTTTTCTAACATTTTATTTAAAACTTATATTTATCTTCATTGGGGAGGCTGACCTGTAGGGTTTGTGTGGTGTGTGCTTGTACATATTCCGGTATGTAGGTTTTAGGTGTTAATCAGGTTTTGGGTTAGGTTTAGATTTGTCTCATTACAGGAATGGTCATTATTTGATTCCATGCAAAATTGAGAGACTTGGTATTCTGGATTTCTTTGTTGATGTTCTTTAAGGATATCTCTGATTTCTTCCTTAAATATATTTGTGTTCTTCTAGTTCCTCTACTTTCAGTTTTAGTAATTTTCGTGTAGAAAATAATTAATTTCTTTGAAGATTTCAAATTTATTATTTATACATACTGTATGTTTTAGCCTATATCAATTTCATATTTTATAATGCATTCTGTATTTTTATAATCTCATTTTCACCTAATTTTGTAGATAGATTTTTGCTTTCTTCTTCCTTTATTAAATTTACAGAGGGTTATCTATTAATATTTTCAAAGAACTGGGTTATAGTTTTAATTACCATTTTGTCTTTCTAATTCATCTTTTTATAATTTTCTATTTTCTTCTACTTTTCTTTGGGTTTTATGTTATTTTTCTTAGATATATTTAGCTGTATACTTTTTCTTTTTAAAACTGACCTGTGACTTTATAAGAGTATTGCTTTGGGCACCTTTCATAGTTTTTGATATGTAGTATAGTCATTCCTTCCTTGAATTATGTTATTTGTTTCTTTTTCATCCAGTTATTAAAGATTGTGCTTCAAATTTTATATTCTTGTCTTTTTTATTTTGTTGCATTGTGATGAGACATTATAGTCTTCAAATGGTCCCTTTTTTTTCCTTTTAAATAAATACTGAGATTTAACATGTGATCTTTTGAGTTTGAAGGACTTCCCACACAAATTGTTGTATGTCAGGAGGGTTTGTGTATATGAAGCGTATTTATTCTTCTTAGTTTTTTGCCATAACGTAAGAAGGTAAAAGTGATTTTTTTTTCATTATGTACTTGGACAGTGGATGGCATTCCCAATGACAGTAGTGATAGTGAAATGGAGGACAAAACTACAGCTAATTTGGCAGCCTTGAAACTTGATGAGTGGCTCCATTTCACACTGGAGCCAGAGGTAAGTTGCTTTCAAGTAGTGTAATAAATTTCTTTCATTCAGTTAGTGTGAATTGATATATAATATGATAAAATTTTTTTCTTTACTATTGAGCCCTTAGTATCAGAGAATATAACTTGTTTTTCAGTTTTCTTGGGGACCTCATTCATTCTCTTCTGTATTGGGGTTTATTCCAACAGAGGACTTGGAAAACCTAGTTGTGGCTCATTATTTAAGCAAGGTAATTGTCTTAGTTTGTTGTTGCTGCTATAGTAATTTATAAAGAACAGAAATTTATTTCTCACAGTTCTGAAGGATCTTAAGTCTGAGATCAAGGTGCTGACGTCGGTTGAGGGCTGCTGGACCCTGCCTCCTATAGAGTGGAGGAATACTGTGTCCTCATATGGCAAAAGGCAGTAGGGCAAGAGGGCATGAACTCCCTCCATCAAGCTCTTTTATAAGGATACCTAATCCCATTCATGAAGCCAGAGCCCTCATGACTCAATCACCCCTCAAAGGCCAACACCTCCCATTACTATTGCATTGGAGGTTAAGTTTCAACATGAAGTTTTGGAGGGGACAAAAACTTCAAACTGTAGCAGTAATCCTTGAGTATTTCTGGATATATAAGAAAGTATTGAGTATTGGGTACACAAGAACTCCCTTTATTTTGTGTAACTGTGTTTTCTGAGAGAAAGATATGATTCCATACTATTTTCTCTTTGCATATACTTCTGAATTGGGGGTTTGAGGGAGGATGAATGTTTCTTTTCAAATTACAAATTTTCATGACAAAGCCTCCCCTTGATTCTATCTCTACTGTCCAAGATCATTCTCTATACATTTTTGGGAGGCGTCAAGCTGTCAATAGTTAACACTGGCTAGGTTTACTATTTTAGCATCCATTCATTCATCACTTCAACCTACTACACTCTCACTTCCATTCCCACCAATTCATCACTTCACTGAAACTGTACTTGCCAAGGTCAACTGTGTCCTTCATGTTGTCAAAGTCAGTCTGCTGTCTGGGATAAATGTGACCTCTATTATTTATCACTATTGTCCATATCCTCCTTTTTGTACTCCTGCCCTTCCCCAGTTTTCTTCCTTACTCCTGCCCCAAATTCTTTGTCACTAGTTACTGTAACATTAATCTTTCTTAATTCTTTCTCTGTAGTCAGTCCTTCTTAGTTGTTTCACAGACCCTGCTGTGTGTGTTTGTGCCTTAAATTTTAAGTTCTCTAGCACTTTGTGTCTTACTCTTATCTTCTTACTCCCTCTATACATTCCCTGGGGACTTTATCTCTATGTGTATATTTTGCAATCATTTAGGAACTGGTGACTTTCAAGTTTAGAGCTCTGTCTTAGACCTTTCTGTGAATCCAGCTGCCTTCAGGACATGATCATTTGGATGTTCTACAGGCACTAAAATAACACTATGAGCTACATATATTTTTATTTACCCTGCTGCTACTTTTCCAGTATTAATCACACTCTGCCACAACTATTGTTTACTGTCTTTCTTATTAGACTATTTAATTTGATTTTGTGTCTTAGTGCCTAAAATATTATAAATAAATTTTATTTCATTCATGCATTAAAAATAATGAAATTAGTAGTAAATTATATGAAATGTGAAATAAGTTTGTTGGAAACAGTTGCAAACTAATGGAAACTAATCAACACATAGGTGTTTTGCATATGTGATATTCATTTGCTTGTATCTATTTGAACTATTACAGGCAGCTAGTTTATTGCTGCAGCTCAGACAGAAGTGGCATAGCTTATTTTTACGCCGAATGAGAGCTCCATCTAAACCTTGGTCTCAAGTTGATGAAGCTACCATAAGAGCAATTATAGCTGTTTTAAGCACTGAAGAACAGTCTGCAGGTTTACAACAACCATCTGGGATTGGCCAAAGGCCAAGGCCTATGTCTTCAGAAGAGCTTCCTTTGGCCTCATCTTGGAGGTCAAATAATAGTAGGAAAAGTTCAGCAGATACTGAATTTTCTGATGAGTGTACTACTGCAGAAAGGTAAATTTATGACATTTTACCAAAATGGGTCACTTTTTATTCAGGAAAATGAATTATTTATCTTAGAATCATGTGCTTTTATAATATTTAAAAATTACTTTTTTATAATCTAAGATCCATGAAAAGATAGCAATAAAGTGGAAAGAGTTTTCTACTTGTTCAACTTAATTCTTCTAAGTATTAAGGTAATATGAATTTTAAACTATTGATATCTGTGAGTTATTTAATAAGGCAACTCTTTGTCAGGAAAAGGTCAAAATATCTAATTTCTAGAATTGGGTCTCTCAAAAATATATAGACATTTTAAAATTATGTATTTTACTTGATATATGTGAAGTAACATTTTACCTAGATACCCTGGGCCATACTGGCTATGGCCATTTAAAAGAACAACCTCCTTATAAGCCTTATCTAGATATCAATACTGCTGATTAGCATTCCTATAGAAAAGTACTTCACTCAGTGACACATTGAATGCCAGTTCTTGGTGTGAGGGATCTAGAAGTGTACAAAACAGGTAAGATCTCCTCCAGAGGATATACATTTGATTGAGGGGAGGCATATAATAAGTAAACAAATTTACTGTCATATGACAAGATTTCTGTTATAATTTAGCCAAATTCTTCTTTTCTTCTTTTGCAATTAAATGTGGTGGTGTTTTTGTTTATTTTATGAATATTAATGAGATACCGCATACTGAATTATTTATGTAAAAAATATATTTTAGTAATATGATAGTGGTTACAATAAATCATTGGCCATGATTCAGAAGTGTTTCTGGTTATAAAAACATTTGTTAGAATCAAATTTAAGTTATTTTATAATCAGGTTTTCACCTTGTTAAAATTCATAACAAAAAACATTCTTGGTTATGAGGCTAGTTTTGGCAATACTGGTAGAAAAGTCTCTGTAGTAAGAATTTGATTTTATAGTTAAACTGAAAATAGAAACAATGGAAACATAAAAGATACGTAATGCTTACTGTTTTTCAAGGATCAGGTGGGGTTTTTAGTACCTTTTTTGATCAGATTTTTGCATATTTGAATGAAATATAAAGGCTTAATATCATTTAAGCCTTTAAAGAGGAATAAAACATTGGTTTCCATGTTCTTCAGATATTACATTTTAGTAATAATTTAACCAGTTTCCAAGGAAAGCTTGTAAAATGTGTGCTGAACCTTTCTTTCTGGTCTAGACCCTGCTGAGAAAAAGGGGAAGACTAAGAAGTAATTTTTTTACTTAGATACACCGTACTTTTTGAAAATATTGTTCTAGAATTTTCTTGAGCATTAGTTATTTAGGATGTAGGAATATATTTCCATAGGAGTTATTCTGTGGTAGAGTTATTCCTAAACCAGCCTATGAAAAGTTCTGTTAGATTCAAGAAACGTGACATACTAATATATAATGCATGAGTGTTTCTTGTATGCTGATTCAAAGGAATCAATAATTTGAGACAACTGAGGAAATGATAATTTTATTGGGATTGGTAACCACTTTGGTTATGTAAGGACAATGCACTCATTTTAACAGATGCATATTTAAATATGGAAGGATAAAATGACATGATGTGTGGGATTTACTTTTAAATATGTAAGCCAAAACAGAAAGGAAGCAGGAAAGAAAAAACAAAATAATGTTAGATAAATCAACTAGGTGAAATGTTCAAGGAACTAGGTCAGTGGTACTGTGAGATGTCCTACATTCTGAATTTGTCTCTGTTTTTTTCCTGGCACTATTTATTTCTATACCCTATGTATCTTTTATTTTTTATTTATTTTTATATTTTATTTTTGAGACAGTCTCACTGTGTCGCCCAGGCTGGAGTGCAGTGGCACGATCTCAGCTCACTGCAACCTCTGCCTCCTGGGTTCAAGCAATTTCCTGCCTCAGTCTCCTGAGTAGCTGGAATTACAGGTGCACGCCACCACGCCCGGCTAATTTTTGTATTTTTAGTAGAGATGGGGTTTCACCATGTTAGTCAGGCTGGTCTCGAACCCCTGACCTCGTAATCTGCCCGCCTCGGCTTCCCAAAGTGCTGGGATTACAGGCGTGAGCCACTGCACCCGGACTCCATACCCTATGTATCTTATATAAGCTGGTGGTTAGCTCTCAGGGTTTGATTTGATCCAGTGTTTTAACAAGAATATTTTATAGGTGGTGTTGTGAACTTTATATTGCAATACATCAGGAAGTACTTAATGTCTGTCCCAGAAAGACCCATACTTTAAGAAAGATTATGAAATTCCTGACTGCGATGTTTGTGGCATTTATTCATAGAATTTTAGAATATAAAAATCTTGGAGTTTAGATATAATCCTTTTATTTTATTTAACAGATAAGGAAATTAAAGTTCCAATAAGTTACGAGGCTTGCTCAGGATCTCATACCTAGTTAGTTGTAAATTTAGAACTGCCATAGACATCTATATTTCCTGACCTTAGTATTTTTAAATAATATTCCATAAATCATAAGATCATTGGGACTTTGGATTGAAATGGCATCTGCTTTGTATTATAAACTTATACATAACTGATCTTTGTATGACGAACTTATATATAACTGATCTTTGCTTCCTCCTTCTTGCTCAAGAGTACTGATGAAATCTCCATCTCCAGCATTACACCCACCTCAGAAGTACAAAGATAGAGGAATTTTACATCCTAAACGAGGTACTGAGGACCGATCAGATCAGTCTTCTCTGAAATCTACAGACAGCAGTAGTTACCCAAGTCCTTGTGCTAGTCCTTCTCCTCCATCCTCAGGAAAGGTAAGAGTATCTGAAAGAAAATGTAGTAAGGAACAGATTTGTAGCACATGTAATCCTAGGTAAATAAAATTGTAAAACAATTAGAGTACTTTTCTAATTGTGGCCTCTTCTA
The DNA here is from genome assembly GCF_000001405.40 of Homo sapiens. Taxonomy (NCBI): domain Eukaryota; kingdom Metazoa; phylum Chordata; class Mammalia; order Primates; family Hominidae; genus Homo; species Homo sapiens. Next base: position 113,584,592 of record NC_000005.10, read on the forward strand.
GATGTAAGTTGAAGCTAGCAAACTTGATACAGTTTGAGTAAATTTTAAAGTTTTTCCTGCATGCCAAATATTTCTAGTTATTACCATCTTGGGGTATTTTAGAATGCTTTAAAACTATAGATCATTCACTACTGGCATGTAGGTAGGCTGTTTATTATTTCTTTCCTATTTCTTTCGAATCCTTTTTTTTTTTTTTTTTTTTTGAGGTGGGGTCCCACTCTTTTACCCAGGCTGGAGTGCTGTGGTACAATCATATCTACTGCAGCCTTGAACTCCTGGGCTCAAGTGATCTTCACACTTCAGCTTTTGAGTAGCTGGGACCACAGGTGCATGCCACCATGCCCAGCTGATTAAAGAAAAATTCTTTTTTTATAGATGGGGATCTCCCTTTGTTGCCTCGGTTGGCCTCAAACTCCTGGGCTCAAGTGATCTTCCCATCTCAGCCTCCGAGTGGCAGGGATTACAGGTGTGAGCCACCATGCCCAGCCCTTTAGAAACTTTTTTGCTAAAATAAATAACAAAAAGATTAATTTAACTTTGGTTTATAATTTCAGAATCGAAAACAGTGGTTTCTTTCTATTGTTAATTGGTTTCTACAGTGGTTATATTAAAAAAAAAACAAGATGGGATAGGGTTAGGAAGGTAGGAGATGTTGATAAGAAATTGAAAACTATCTTTAAAAAAACTTGTAATAAGAATAATTTTAAATGTTCATGATGTGATGACTTTACTGTTTTAGTAGCTAAGTATTTGATTAGGGGTTATTTAGCTGCATATTGTATTTTGGCGAATGTGCCTGTTGAAATACTCTTTGTTAAATAAGAGGAAAATAAATGTTTTTGTAGATTTGCATTCTTAGGTTTTGAAGTTTTTTGGTTTATTTATACACCTTTATTAAGGTGTAACTTACAATAAAATTCACCAGTTTAAACTGTATAATTTAATGAATTTTGGCAAATGTATACAATCATGTAACTATACCACAATCATCTACACATTTCCATCACCCCTACTCCCTGGTAACCCACTGTTCTGCTCTTTGTCCCTTGAGTTTTGCCTTTTCTAGAATTTCCTGTAAATGGAATCATATATATGTAACGTTTTGTGTCTGGCTTATTTCACTTAATAGAATCCTTTTGAAATTTCTATTAAGTGAAATAAGCCAGACACAAAATGCTACATACATAAGATTCAGTGTATCAACAATCTATCCATATTGTTGAGTATATTATTAGTTTATCTAATTACTGAGTAGTATTCCATTTCTAGATAGACTATGGTTGGTTTTTCCATTCATCAGTTGATGGACATTTGGGTTGTTTGCACTTTTTGGCTATTATGAATAAAGTTGCTAACATTGTACTAACTGGTACTAACATTCAAGTAAAATCTTTGTGTCTAAATATGTTTTCTATTATTTGGCAAATCCCTAGGATTAGTATTGTTTGAGTTGTTTGATAAATGTATATTTAGCTTTACAAGAAACTGTCCAACTGTTTTCCAAAATGACAGCACTATTTTGCATTTCCTTTAACAATCTTAAGAGTTCCATTTGCTCCATATTCTTGACAATATTTGGCATTTTAGCTTTTGTAATTTTAGCCATTCCAGTTGGGTATGTGGTAATAGGCCATTATAGTTTTAATTTGTATTTTCCCAGTTACTAATGATGTTGAGCATCTTTTCATGTGCTTATTAGCCATTGTGTATCATCTTTGTGAAATGTCTGTTCAAATCTTAGTTCACTTTTTGTTGTTGGTTTTTGTTGATTTGTCATCTTTCACTGAGTTGTAAGAGTTTTCTGTATATTCTGGGTACAAGGCTTAATTATTATATGTTTTGCATATTTTTTCTAACAGTATGTGGCTTGTCTTTCCATTTCCTTAACAGTGCCTTTTGAAGAGCAAATGTTTTTAATTTTGATGGAGTCCATTTCATCAGCTTTTTCTATTATGATTAGTATTTTTTTGTGTACTAAGAAATTTTGTGTACCAAACCCAAGATCATAATTTTCTCCTATGTTTTTAGAAGTTTTATAGTTGGCAATCTTACATTTTAGATATATGATTTATTTTAAGTTAATTTTCGTTTATAGTATGGGTGAGTCAAGAATTACTCGTTGGCTTTTGCTTATACAATTGTTCCAGTACCGTTTGTTAAAACCATTTGTTTTTTTCCATTGAGTTACACTGACACCTTTGTCAAAAATCAACTGGCCATAAATATGTGGTCTACTTATTGGACTCTTCAGTTTCATTAATATCTCTCTCTCTCTCTCTCTCTATATATATATATAATATATAAATATATATTATGTATTCATATATAATATATAAATATATATTATGTATTCATATATAATATATAAATATATATTATGTATTCATATATAATATATAAATATATATTATGTATTCATATATAATATATAAATATATATTATGTATTCATATATAATATATAAATATATATTATGTATTCATATATAATATATAAATATATATTATGTATTCATATATAATATATAAATATATATTATGTATTCATATATAATATATAAATATATATTATGTATTCATATATAATATATAAATATATATTATGTATTCATATATAATATATAAATATATATTATGTATTCATATATAATATATAAATATATATTATGTATTCATATATAATATATAAATATATATTATGTATTCATATATAATATATAAATATATATTATGTATTCATATATAATATATAAATATATATTATGTATTCATATATAATATATAAATATATATTATGTATTCATATATAATATATAAATATATATTATGTATTCATATATAATATATAAATATATATTATGTATTCATATATAATATATAAATATATATTATGTATTCATATAATATATATAATGTATTTATATGTAATATATATTATGTATTTATATATTAATATATTGTACATACATAATATATAGTATATTTATATATTAATATAATTAATATTTATGACATATTATTATATATATATTTGCCAGTGGTACACTGACATTATTTTAGTAGCTTTATAGTAAGTCTTGAAATCAGTTAATCCTTCAATCAATTGTCCTTCAACTTTGTTTATCTTCTTCAATATTATTTTGGCTGTTCCAGGTCCTTTGTACTTTCATATAAACTTTAAAGTCAGCTTATCAGTTTCTGCAGAAAAATTTTTTGGTATTTTGAGTGGAATTGCATTGAATCTATAGATCAATTTAAAGAAAATCAACAATTAACACTTCTTAGTCTTCTAATCCATAAGCATAGTATATCTGTTCATTATTTGGATAGTCTTTAATTTCTCTCAACAATGTTTTATAAATTTCAGAGTACAAGTATTACAATTTTTTGTTAAATTTCTCCCTAAGTATTTAATGTTTTTGATACTGTTCTTTAGAATTTTAATTGCAGGTATTCATTGTTAGTATATACAAATACATTTGATATTTGTATATCTGCCCTGAATCCTATGACCTTATTTCATTTATTAATTCTATTAGCTTTTTATGCCTTCTGATAATAAAGATAATTTTACTCTTTTCCTTTTCAATCTGATTGCTGTTTATTTCTTTTTTACCTTATCTCTCTGGCCAGAGCCTCCAGCAAAATATTGTTCAGTGTTGAGAGCCACATATCTTTCCCTTGATCTTAGGGGGAAAGCATTTTTTGTCTGTTAGTATGGTGAATTTCATTGCTTGATTTTCTTATGTTTATACCCCACTTGGTCATGGTGTTATTTTTATATATTGCTGGATATAATTTTGTTAAATGAGGGATCTTTGTTCATGAGGGGTATTATTCTGTAGTTCTTTTTTCTTATGTATCTTTGTATGGTTTTGATGTCAGAGTAATGCCGGCCTCATAAGATTAGTTGGGAAGTGTTTGTCCCACTTCAGTATTTTAGAAGAGATGTGTAGAATTGGTATTATTTCTTCCTTGAATATTTGATAGAATTCACTTATGAAGCCATTTATTTATTTATTTATTTATTTATTTATATTATTTTTTTTTGAGACAGAGTCTCACTCTGCCACCCAGGCTGGAGTGCAGTGGCGCGATCTCGGCTCACTACAAGCTCAGCCTCCTGGGTTCACGCCATTTTCCTTCCTCAGCCTCCTGAGTAGCTGGGATTACAGGCATGTGCCACCATGCCTGGCTAAGTTTTTGTATTTTTCAGTAGAGACAGGGTTTCACCATGTTGGCCAGGCTGGTCTCGAACTCCTGATCTCAAGTGATCTGCTCACCTCTGCCTCCCAAAGTGCTGGGATTGCACGCGTGAGCCACCATGCCTGGCCAACAGTGTTCTTTTATTTTACACTTTACTCCTTTATGTTATATTGTTTTCATACATTTTGTTTTTATATAAATGCTATAATGTATTGTTTTTACTTTACATAGTCAGTTACCTTTATGAAGATTTCAAAGTCAGAAAAATATATTTTTACATTTATTATTACTAATCTTGTGCTCATTATACTTTTATGTTAATACGAATGTCCATTTTGTATTATTTACTTCTGCCTGAAGAACCTCCTTTCTGGGACTCTGGATACACAGATGTAAGACCATCTCATATGGTTCCACAGGTCACCGATGTTCTCTTCATTTTTTTCAGTCATTTTTCTGTCTTCATTTCAGATAGTTCTACTGTTTTGTCTGTACGTTCACTGATGTTTTTATTTAGTGTCTAATCTGCTGTTCTTTCCTTCTAATGTGTTTTTAAAGGCAGTATTTTCATCTCTAGAAGTTCAAGTCTTTTAAAAATTAAAAAAAAAAAAAATATATATATATATATATATATATGTATATATATCTTCTGGCCCGGCGTGGTTTATGTCTGTAATCCCAGTGGTTTAGGAGGCCAGGTTGGGATGATAGCTTGAGGCTAGGAGTTTGAGAACAACCTGGGCAACATAGGAAGACCCTATCATCTCTACAAAAGAATAAAAAAATTAGTTGGGCATGGTGATGGGCCACCTGTATTCCTAGCTACTGGGGAGGCTGAGGCAGGAGGATCACATGAACCCAGGAATTTGATTTTATAGTGAGCTGTGATTGTGCCACTGCATTCCAGCCTGTATGACAGAGTGAGACCCTGTCCCCCTAAAAAAAGTTAATAATATCTTCCATTTCTCCTCTCATTATGTTCAAGTTTTCCTCTACCTTCTTGGACATAATGAATGTATTTATAACAGATGCTTTAACATTCTTGTCTCCTAATTACATCAACTCTGTCATCTCTGAGACTGTTTCTGTTTATTACTTTTGGCATTTTTTTCTTTTACTTTTCTTTCTGTTTTGTCTTCTTGTTATCCAGTGCTTTGTCTGTGGAGAAAATGCAAGTACAAATTTTATATTCCATATGCACATGAGAAACGGGTTCAGATTTGTAAAGAGCTAGTAAAAATCTACTTGTAAATGTGTCTGATTGCTCATTGCAATCAGAGTCTCAAGATGACAACAGTATTTAACTTCTCTTCAGCCTTAATTATGTAAATAACAACCTTTGTATATTCTTTGTGTTTCTTATAATTTTGTTGGGCAGCTAGGTTTTTGTATATTCCTTTCAATAGCGTTAGACTTTGTTGTGATGCACAGTTTAGTTGCAATCAGTTGAATCCTTTTGAAGTTTGCTTTTAAGTAATGTTAGGAATGGGCCAGAGCAGTCTTTATTCTGTTATTAATTTAGTTCCAATACTAAGGTATGGCCCTTCTGTGGGCCAGTACCATATATATTACAGGTTCTATCTGTTCTGGCTGAAGATAACACGAAATATTCCCAGCCATGAGTGAGCTCTAGGAATTGTTTGGTCTACTTGTTTTCCTTTGGATCTTTCCCTAGCCTTGGGTTATTTATCTTTTTTCTCACTCATGTTCAGGTCAGCACTTAGCCAAAAACTTGTGGGAACCCCTCTGTGTTTCCTTTGGAGCTCTCTTTATGTGCAGCTCCTTTCTGTCTAAGATAGTACATTGCCATGCACAGTAGCCACTTCGGTCTCTGAACTCCAGTGTCTTTCTGCACAACTTAATGAGACCACTGGACTCTGTTTTTCTTTGTCCTCTGAAAACTGCCTCCAGGCAGTAAGCTGGAGAAGTATTTGTTTTGTTTTCTGATTTTGAAAGTTTATTAAAACAATTTCTGAAAGTATATTTGAGGTATAAACCAAAGTTGGTACTCCAGGAGCCTTTGTTGATAAGGGATTTTGAATGCTCTGAAAATGAGTACTTGTTTTTGGCTAACTTTATTTTGGTTGAGTCTTGTGTAGGTTTCAGACATGATAGAGCTATTTGCATTTGTTGAATATATGATAAAATATTTTGGCTTATATGTTTATGAAGATGTTATTTAATGGAGCCTCTTGGTTTTGAAAGGTCAGGTTACCTTTCAAGAACTTATGTTTTCTTTTATAGGGCTCAAAATCTCCTTCGCCAAGACCAAACATGCCTGTTCGATACTTCATAATGAAGAGTAGCAATTTGAGAAACCTTGAAATTTCTCAACAGAAGGGTATCTGGTCTACAACTCCTAGTAATGAACGGAAGCTAAATCGAGCCTTTTGGGAAAGCAGCATAGTTTACTTGGTATTTTCTGTTCAAGGATCTGGACATTTCCAGGTGAGCCACCCTGAATCAGTAAAATGGGGTTGTTCTGGCTATAGGTTAAATCATAGAGATTTTTAGAAAAACAACTGGCTTTTCATTGCATCAGAATGCAAGAATGCCTTTTGCTTGACTGAGAATAAGGGATATATTGCATCTCTTTAGAGGATGATAGAACTGGAATCCTCTTTGTTTTTGCCTTGTCTTACCAGAGTCTTTCCAGGTAAACTATGTTTCCTTCTGAAGACAACTTTAGATTTACTAATTCTCAAGTGGATTCAAAGTAATGAGAAGCTTGACCTTTTGGTAAAATATTTATTTAAATAGGCCAAGGAAGTTAGTATTGACAATCAGTAAACTAAGTATGTTTCTTAACCCATCACCCATCTTGACTTAATGTATACCTGAATTTATAAAATAATACATTTATTATTTGATGTTTATTATAATTTTTGGAAATGAAAGCTTAGAGGTTAGCTTGTATCCATTTATCATGGAATAAAAATATGGACTTTGCTATTTTATTTAGAAATCATTATTGATATTTGAAATTGTTAGGAGGCTAGAACTGTTTTTTTCTAAAATTTGCTAAGAGAGCTTTTAATGAAAAATTTAGTAGCTTATTTTTTGTTTTTGTTAGGTATCTGTTATTTCAATATTATATCTTAATCTTAAAATTTTAAAAACTCAGCCTTCTCAGATAAATTAAATTTAGACATGCTAATCTCCTCCTCACCTCTATTCCTTCCTCCCATTTTACCTACAGGGATTTTCTAGGATGTCTTCTGAGATTGGAAGGGAAAAGAGTCAGGACTGGGGCTCTGCTGGACTAGGAGGAGTATTTAAGGTGGAGTGGATACGAAAAGAAAGCCTTCCCTTTCAATTTGCACACCATTTACTCAATCCATGGAATGACAACAAGAAAGTGCAGATAAGCAGGGATGGGCAGGTATACAATGGCATTTTTTTTTTTATTTACTTTTGTTTCTGTTTGTTTTCTGTTATCCAGTGCTTTAATTGAGGAGAAAATGTAAGAGTACAAATTTTATATTCCATATGCACATGGGAAACAGGGGTTCAGGTTTGTAAAAAGATAGTAAAAACCTACTTGTAAATGTGTCTGATTGCTCCTTGCAGTCAGAGTCTCAAGATGACAATAGTATTTAACTTCTCTTTGGCTTTAATTATGTAAAGTAAATAACCTTTTTATATTCTAGTGGCTTGTTTATTTCTATTGTGTTTTGCTTTGTCTTCATGATGCTATTTACATGCATTTTAAGCTAGTTAAGATGATGGAAATTAATGTATATTGACCAAATACTATGCTAGCTGCTTTAGAAGATATAATTTATTTCTTATGATTAAATTATTAGTCCAATTTTATATAGGAGAAAATAGACTCAAAGATTAGTTTTGCCTAAGGTCACACAGCTAATAATTTATCTGAACCAGTATGACTCGTTTCAAATCACCATGTAAAAAGTGTTTGGGTTCTTCTTAAGTGCTTATCATAGGTTATCATTCCACAGGAGTACTATGAAGTGGGATTCTTTTCAATTGTGTGAGAATAATTTCATTTTTATTCTATAATAATGATTTTGAAGAAATATGTTAGCTAGAAATCTTAGAAGAAAAAATATTTTAATAATTTTCAAGATAAGAAGATATAGTTGCTTAAGAGAGTTCCTTGGAAAAAAACCCAACATCGAATATGCTAGGTTTCACAGTAAACCTTTGGAAGTTCCAGCTGAGTGCTTTTGCTGAATCTCTATGAAAAACAAAATCCATTATTTTTAGGTAGAAACAGTTCCAGGACTCCATGGGAATCTGTTGCCATTTTGTCACAAAAGTTGAGAGATTTTGCAGATTAACTGTAATCTTAAATCTGGAAGTCAACTCCATAAACCTTAAAGCAAAGAATTAGAACAATTCATACCAGATGATTTTAGCATACGCTGGTAGGAAAATGAAATTTAAAGTGATTTTCTTACATTTTTATCAGTGTAGGTTTTGGTCATTAAAAATTTTCACTCCAGTTCTTTTTATGTTTATTTTGACTTCTGATTTATCTAGGAACTAGAACCTCTGGTTGGTGAACAGTTGCTCCAGTTATGGGAACGTCTTCCCTTGGGAGAAAAAAACACAACTGATTGACACTCAGGTTATACCATCTTGACTTTGAGTATTGGCAGTATTTGTGATCATTAGGAACCTTTCAGATTATTTATCTTTTTTTTTCCCCTTTCTTCTAGAACTCTTAGCTGTGGAAGAACATCATGCCTATTTATAACCACTGAATGCACTGACTTTCAAAAACTGAGGTGGGGTGTGTGTTACGAATGGGCTTTTTAACACTTTTAGAGTGTTGCTTTAGAACTACCATCTTCATATACAGGAGAAAGGAAGCATTTAAATTTTTATAGTGATTATAGAGAATGATTATATGATGTTTGTAATGAATAAAATAGTAGTTTCATTATTTGGCACAATAGCAGTTTATTTTAAACAAACAATTTGAAGTTAAACATTTCATTTTTAAAAACACTGAATTACAGTTCTTATTGATGACTTTTTAATGCAGAGTAAGTTGTTTAAGAAAGGCCTGAATATATCAGAACATCTGAGCACCATTTTAGAAGAGTCAACTCTTAAGATTATCATTAGAAAACAAATACGTCAACACCTATGAAAAGAAGCGGGGAAAACAACAACAAGGACAACAACAAAAAACCAGTGAAATTCTACAAGTGTCCCTTTTAAAAATAGTGTGTGCTAACTAAGGGCTATTCATTCTGCCATTTTTAACTTGAGACACATTTAAGAATAAAGTTGGATGTTCTTTTTCTGTGATTATGAAATGCAATAAAATCTGAATAAAGGGCAAAGTTTCTTCCTGATCAGATTAGATTAAGTGCTTAGTTTTATTCCTAATTCTGCCCCTTTTAACCTGATGTGTACCTTACTCTTTCCTCCCTCTCTTCCTCCCTTCCTCCTCTCCCCGCTCCTTTCCTGCATTTCTCCCTCCCTCCTTCCCTCGTCACATCTCTTATATGAGCACAGTAATTATGACCTTTTTGTTTTGGCTACAACTTGATTGAAACAAGTTCAAAATTTAAACAAGTTCATACAAGTTTTTAAAAATTCTCAACTGGTAGCTTGCTTGCTGTGCGTCTTCCAAACTAAAGCCTGCAAGCGCCACAATTCTAAGTGCCGCCTTCCATTTTTTTTCAGTATGTTTTCACTGGCTTATGTTTTCAGATATGATTTTCCTTTTTCGCATATATGGTTTAATAAATGGGGGATAATTTTTTTTTTGTAAATCCGTGCTTGTGCCAAGTCTCATATTTCTTTGCCATCTCAGAATTATCTTTTTACCACCACTGTTTATAAAATTTCCTTAGAGACTTTTTGAAGGGAAAATAGAGCAACAGGGAAAAATGAAAGAAATGTCTTGGTTACTGAGCTCTAAATAGACAGGTTTGATGGCACTTCTCATGATACATTTTAGTTATTCTTATAAAAGCAAACAGGCAAACATGAGTGTAAATTAAAGACAAAAAGAAAACTCTGGTTTTATATTTGAGAACACGTGAAAAATCATGGGTCAACATAAAATCTTGAGAACCTTCTACTTTCTCTGGGAAAGCATTATATAGTGGTGCATTAGTTTAGAAAGTCAGCTATGATTTTGCCTATAGTTCTAGTTATTAGCTTTGGGGTTTTCTTGTACTTTAAGACATACCTGTAAATTGAACCTATTTGAATTATATTCCACTGTATGTGTATTATGGCTCTTTTCCTATTAGAGCAACTTGTGTTTCCCTGATAATGTGTACATTTTTTAGGCATGTACTTAATAGTTCACAATGTTCTAAATTTGGAAGGACTTAAAAAAAAAACTTGTTTAAATTTCCATCTGTTTTGTAATATCTAGCTCTATATGTAAATGATGGGTTTGTTGGTATTTAAAATGAATACAACTTGAATGTAATTAAAGTGCTGTTTTTTGGAAGCGATAAACTTTAAATATACTTATTAAAATGAAATTCTATTAAGTTTTTCAGATCTTATTTCTTATACTTTATAATAAGACTAAGTTAACAATGATCAACAATATCCCCTGAGATAATAATGAATTTCAAACACCTTGAAGAATACTAAATTGATATAGAAGGTGATGGTTTGTATTGAAACTCCCTTCCCTGTAAATTGCCTTATTTCAATAGGAGATGGCAAAAATCTCTTTTGTTTAGTATAAAATATTTTAAATATTAATAAAATATACAAAAATAGGAAACTTAAACTATATTAAAACATTTCTAAATATTATGAATAGTACCTTGTACTTAAATGTTAGTATTTTTCTAACTTTATTCACAAAGTTCTTGTCTAAACATCCAGGAGAAAGTTAGTTATAGTATAATATCTTTTTTTTTAATAGTACAATATCTTGGTAGCTAACACTACTTTTTCTGAACAATTTAGTTCTTTTCTGTCAGCTAATGTTTCCTTTCTTTCAGCTAATGAAGCCATCCATTCAGAAAAGGTGGAGCAGCTGCTGTTTTACCCAGACATTTCTTTGTAGAAAATGGTAGTAGCATCTTAGATACTTGGCTTCCATCAGTCCTTTCATCTCCCAGAGAATTTTAATATTTGCTTTCACTAATTCTCTGGAAGCAGTTTGTTGTCTTTTTTTTTTTTTTTTTTAAAGGCAAGGTCTCGCTCTGTCACCCAGGCTGTAGTGCTGTGGTGAGATCACAGCTCACTACAGCCTCAGTCTCCTGGGCTCAACCAATCCTCCCACCTCAGCCTCCCAAGTAGCTGGGACATGCCACCATACCATGCCTGGCTAAATTTTTTTTTTTTTTTTTTTTTTTAAGGAGACAAGGTCTCGCAATATTACCCAGACTGGTCTCAAACTCCTGGGCTCAAGTGATTCTCTGGCCTCAGCCTCCCAAAGTGCTGGGTTTACACGCGTGAGCCACTGTGCTTGGCCACATTGTCCTTTATTTATAATAAATATTTAATATCACAGTGACATACTAAGATATAACAGGTACATTTCTTGCTGTCCAGGAGGAGCTTCTTTTGAGTAATAATTTTATTTAAAGTTGTGAGTAACAATTTTATTTAAAATTGTAACAATTTTCACTTTTATAGTACAATTGTTATAGACAAGGGTTAAGGTATTTAAGAGGAGGATAATCATTGAGGTCTTCATGGTAGAGCTGCATTTGAGCATGCCTTTCAGAAGAGAATTTTTAAATGGATTGGGACAAAGTTAAAACTAGTGAAGAGCTGGAAAAGGACAAGGTGTATTTGGGAATATATAATTCACAGTAGCTACCTGGTAAGGTTTTGTGTAAGAGTTTTACAATGTGAAATATAGAGTGTTTAAGAAAAGCTAAGAAGTGATAATTGAATCAAGTGGAACTTGAGCTTTAATATGCAGATGGGGTGGCTGTTAAAAATACTTCCTTGGCCTAGGCACAGGGTCTGATCAATAGGTCATTAGTTTTGTAATAGGCCTCAAGAATCTTCATGTTTAGTACATCAACTACTGTCAATTCAAATGGACAATACTGAAACAGATTGATAAAGAAACTGTGTTTTAAAGTTCATGTGGCATCAACACAAAATATTCACATTTTGTATTTTATGCAATAAAAGGTGATTGGAGTACCAAAAGTAGAGATATATAATAAAGGATTTACCTTGTTGCAAGATACAATGTGTTATATCAAGAAATAGCTTTAGATTTAAGGTTACAATACCTGCATTTGAGGCCAGCCTCCAACACTAGATGTGAAAATAGCAAATCACTTAACTTTTCTGACTTCTAATTTCCATGTTTGAAAAGTGAAAATAGTATTTATCTATCTTAGAAGACAATTAGAAGTGTCAAATGAGAGTGCTTGGAAAGGTATGAATGCTATACAAATATAAACAGTATTATCTGCCTAATAGTGTCCAGCACAGAGTGGGCACTCAAGTATGGTAGATCCCTAATGTATATTTATTCATACCTTTTTCTCTACTAAGTTCAAAGCCAGTTGAGAAATAAGTAGGAAGGGGACTGAAATATTAGTTTTATTGCTAATGAAGTTGAAGATCATGGCTCAGATTCATGGCCACACAAAATTTCTAAATGCAAACTATTCCTCATTCATTGGACTTAATCCTATGGTCATAAGCCTCACCTATAGGAACAGGCCACATATCCAGTTGTTGAGGAAGAGAACATGTGCATCTTGAGACCATGAGACCCAAAAAGGAAAATCCGGGAAGGAAGAATTTGAGAATACTCAGTCCCTTCAGAAATCAGTAAGACGATGTCACTTCTGCTGGAGGGAAGGAAACAAGGGCAGAAGTGCTCTTCTCATTATTCTGTATGGGCAAGTGTTACTTTATAGTGCAAGCAGGAACTTTGCGGAAGGAGAGCATGTATTTTTCCTCAGGAGACACAAGGCAAAGAAAGGCAGAAACAATCGTCCATGAAGTAGAAGAATACCAGAGTAACCAACCCTGAGGATAAGGGAGCAAACTGATGGAGTTGATCCTGTCACGTTGCAGCACTGGTTTTGCAAAGATGTTTTATCTGAGAAGAGATGTCTGTAGATTCAGTAATTTTGGATGTTAAGCTGAAGTGTCTTCTGATGATGAAACCGCTAAATATGCCTATTAATCCATTTATGCTGGAGGTTGGAATTTTTTTGTGTGAAAAATCAGAACTTGGCGATGACCTTGAGCAGTAGTGTATAAATAACTCCCACATGCTTAGCGTTCCAATAATGGAACACTAGGCATAAAGGGATTAAGAAGCTTGGCTTAATCTGAGTTACTTGTGTATTTAATGAATACTCAAAGACCATGTCTGTTCCTTCAGTTTCTAAGAAAAGAAGAAAGAATGACTTAATGGGTTATTTTGGGAGGATGGACTGAGTGTGCTCAGTTTAACTCTTCCTGAATTCTCCATCTGTGTACTTTTTCTTTAGGCAACTGACAATTTCTTTAGAGGAAATGCATATTCTAACTTAAAATGAAAGAGGGAAATAATTTATATGCTAATATCCTCGTCCCAGAACTTTTTTGCATGATATTCAAGCCGTTTGAGCATAGTATGCTAATAGAGATAAGCTCTTGCAGATATATTCTTCAGTTTTTCCTCCCTCTATATCATATACATATCCTAATCTACTTATATAAATTAAGTCAAGACAACACTTTAACATGCACATTGAAATTCAGTGAATATTTTCAAATATTCTGCTATGAAGTTGAAAGTCAAGAGTTTATAAGATTATCAATGTATTTGACACAAATTCAGAGAGTTCTCATTTAGCCAATTGGAAAAAAAAAACCCTTTAATTTTATTAATCAAAATGAGAAAATCAAGCCTAGAATAATACAACTATATACTCACATACCTGTGCATATATTGTATGCACATGTGGTAGAAACAGGCTTTTGGGTTTATGTTCATAGTAACAAAAAAGCAAATGCCATTTATTCCATTCTATTGCAGTCAGTCAGTATCGGAAATTAGCTTTCAATTTAGTATACGGTAAGTTTTCCTAAGTTAGCTGTGCAGAATCTTTTGGTTATTATATGAAACAGTTTCTTCATATTTTTAATTAGCTTTGAGACACAAAAATCCACTGTGCACTTATAAGAAAATACTGATATTTAGGAAATTAAAATATATTTCCTTAGAGATTATATAAGTGAATGGATGAATAGAGAAAATGTTTATTATATCAAAACTTTCTGTGAGGTGGATTATTTTAAACTAGGCTGATTTTGACTCGGCAGCTTAACAACTAATGGTAAGACGGAAAAACACAAAATAGTACAGAAATTGCTGTTCTTAGTAATTTCTCAAGATAATATTTCCTAACTTCCTGTCATTCTGAAAGAATATGTAGTGGCAAAACAATTACTCTGATTATATAATGAAATCACAGAGGCTTCAAAAAAGCATTGTTCCCCATGCCTCACTGCCCACTCCCTCACCCCCCAATACATGGCCAACTTACAATGATGATATATATTTAAATTATTTCTATGTCCACTGTACACAGTTATGAATCTAAGATTTGACTAATTCTTATTCTCTAATTTGTGAATTTTTTTTTTAATGGGATCTCACTCTGTCACCCAGGCTGGAGTGCAGTGGCACGATCATGGCTCACTGTAGCCTTGACTTCCTGGGCTTAAGTGATCCTCCCACCTCAGCCTCCCAGGTAGCTGAGACTTCAGGCATGTGCACCATGCCCAGCTAATTTTTGTATTTCTTGTAGAGACAAGGTTTTGTCATGTTGCCCAAGCTGGTCTCAAACACCTAGGCCCAATCAGTCTTCCCTCCTTGGCCTCCCAAAGTGCTGCAATTACAGGCTTGAACCACCATGCCCAGCTAATTTGTGATTTTTCACATCAAACATCAATGCACAAAAAGAGAAAGTAGTCAAATCCTATTTTCATGAATGATATCTTTGTCATAGTTTTTCCAAATACTATATAGTTTTTAGCATATTGAATATACCTTCTCAAAGATGCTGTGGACTAAATACAACACTACTTAGAAAACGCAGATGAGGCCGGGTGTGGTGGCTCACATCTGTAATCCCAGCACTCTGGGAGGCCAAGGCGAGCAGATGACGAGGTCAGGGGTTCAAGACCAGCCTGGCCAATATGGTGAAACCCCATCTCTACTAAAAATACAAAAATTAGCTGGGTGTGGTGGCTCATACCTGTAGTCCCAGCTACTTGGGAGGCTGAGGTAGAAGAATCACTTGAACCTGGGAGGCAGAGGTTGCAGTGAGCCGAGATCGTGCCACTGCATTCCAGCCTGGGCAACAGAGCGAGACTCCATCTCAAAAAAAATAAAAAATGGCAGATGAATGTAATATGAAGGAATATTAGAAGCTTTCATTTCTAGACATTCCCTTGTTTACTTATTCTGAAGCCTACAGATTCATTATGGGAAATCTATTCCCTTGGATCTAGTATTGAGTCATTGTATTTTGATCTCTTGAGAAGAGTTGTATATAGATTTGTTAGTTAACAACCTAGTCGGAAGATATTTGGGTTTGGGATTTGGGATGGGATTAGGCTGTGAAACAGAGCTATACATATATAATGTGTTTATGTATAAACCTGGAATCTAAAATAGTACTATTGTTAATTTCTATTTGGGGGAATGGGAAGGGCCAGAAGGAGACATCTTGTGACGTTTTTATTTCATAATATGCACATAAAGATTTGCAGCTGGAGCTGATGTCAGATTTCATTGCTATTTCCACTCTTTGGCTTCTTAAATCAAGAACTTAATTTTCATAATTTGTCAGTTGCCATTATTTTTCATTTTATCTGGTACTTTGTCTAAAACTGTTCTTCAGTGAGTTTGTATATTTCCCACCCCTATCCACAATTCGTATTTGTTCCTTCTGATTCTCTGGGCAGCTTAGATTACAGCAGCCTTGTATCTACTGACACCTTTTATTCACTGAACGACTCAGCCTGACTCTAAAAACTACAGCAAAGATAAACAATGAGAAAAGAATAATCTTGAATGAGTACTATAAGGAAAGACATATTCATTTAAGAATTTGTTTTTAGAGATGCATTCTTCACCATTTAAAATCTTATATCCTGAGACAGAGAAAGTCTTGATGAATAAATCAAATAAACTTCACTCCTGAATAAAAGACCGCAACTGAACAGGTAACTTACAAGTGACTACAACCTTTTAGTTCTGGTGTGGAATGAGCTTCCCAGAACACAGATTCCCCATTCTGCTCCAGAACTCTCCACAGTTAACCAAAAGGACCACACAGCGCAGTCAGTATGCCTAAGGCCACTGGATGCACCTTGATCTTTCCAGCCAAATGTAAAATCTTCATTTGGCTGTTAGAATCTCAAACAGCATATTCACAATTGAACTATTCTTTCCCCCGTCCTGATTTACCCAAAGCTGTCCTCCCTTTAACTGATGCTGGTTTAAATCTTTTGGTTGCTCAGGCCAGAAAACTTGAAGTCATCCTGGACTCCTTTTCAATTCATTTTTCAATTCAATCCATCAGAAAATAAGTATCTTGAGTCTACCTTCTAAATTATATCTCGACTCCAGCCGTTTCTCACAACATCTGTCACAACCATTCTGTACTGAGCCGCAAACAGTCATTCTTACCTGGGTTACTGAAGTAGCTCCTAAGATATCTTCCCTCTTCTACCTCCTCTTCTCTTCCCCCTACACAAATCTATTTTCAACACAGGAGTTACAGTGATCTTTTTAAAACATTAAATCTGCTCATCTCATATTTTCTGCTCAACACCCTGCAGTCGCTCCCTATTTAATTCAAAAGCCAAAGTCCTTACATAATCTGATCTCTCATTATCTCTGACCTTCTGTCCTCTACTCTCCTTTCCTACTCATCCTACTTTAGCCACACTGACCTGCTTACTATTCCTTGAATATACCAGGCATGTTTCAGACTCAGGGACCCACTGAAGCTCTTCACTTTGCTCTTCTCAGAATATCTGGACAACTAGATGTCACCATTTAGTATTAGTTTACTATAAAGTTTTCTTTTAAATCTTAACTTTTAAAATGAATAGAGTAAAATGAACTTTTTTAAAGATGGACAGTTCTTTGAATTTTAACACATGTACAAATTTAGGTAACCTTCACCACAATCAGGATGCAATTTCATCATCCTAAAAAATTCCCTTGTGCTACCCCTTTGTAGTTACATCATCCCCCCGACCCCTAACCCCTGCCAACCACTGATCTGTTCTCTGACATTCTTGGTTTGTCTTCTTGAGAATGTCCTATAGATAGAATCATACAGTATGTAACCTTTTGAGACTGGCTTTTTCACTTAGCATAATGTCTTTGAGATTCATCCAAATTATTGTTTATATCTACAATTCATTTTATTTTCTTTTATTGCTGAATAGTATTCACTATTTTTGAGAATAGCTATATCATTTTGCATTCCTCCCAGTAATGTCAGAGAGGTCCAGTTGTTTCACATTGTTGATAGCTGTTACTATTGTCGGTATTCTTTATTTTCACCATTCTATTAGGTGTGCAATAGTATCTGATCATGGGGTTAAGTGGTATTTCTCTAATAGCCACTAATGTTGAACATCTTTGCATGTGCTTATTTGTCAACCATATATCCTCTTTGGGTAAGTCACCTATATTTCCTCTCCAAGTCTTTAGACCATTTCAAAATTGTTTTCTTACTGTTAGTTTTGAGAGTTCATTATAGATTCTGAATACAGGTCCTTTGTCAGATATGTGACTTGAAAATACTTTATTTGTAGCTTGTCTTTTCATTCCCTTAACATTTTTTATAATTTTTAATTTTGATAAGCTATATCTTTTTTTATGGATAGTGATGTTGGTGTCATACTGAGAACTCTTTGCCTAACCCCCAGTTATGAAGGTTTTCTTCCATTGTTTTTTCTAAAAGTTTTATAGTTTTATATTTAGATTCATGATCCATTTTGAGTTAATTTTTGGATAAAGTATGAGATAGGTTGAGGTTCATTTTTATGTACATGAATGTCCAATTGTTCCATCACTATTATTTAAAAGACTACCCTTTCTCTCTTGAATTGCCTTTGCACCTTTGTCAAAAAATCATTTGGCTGTATTTATTTGGTTCTTGAGTTCTTGAGTTGAGGAGACAAAGTTAAGAGTGGGAAAACCAAAGCACCTAGAGCTCTTAGAACAGACAGAAGACCAGAGATGAGAGAATTTC
This sequence comes from Homo sapiens, assembly GCF_000001405.40. NCBI lineage: Eukaryota > Metazoa > Chordata > Mammalia > Primates > Hominidae > Homo > Homo sapiens. The sequence goes on from NC_000005.10 coordinate 113,603,001, forward strand.
ATAGAGAGTAAACCGCAACTCTCTGCAGAGGGTCCCTCTGGAGTGTTCAGCAAGCTGCTGATCAGTGCATGCGTGCAAAAACTACCTGAAGTCAGGAAAAGAACCATCTGAAAGGATTAAAGAAAACAGTGCCTGGTGCTTATAAATGGCCAAAAATAGTGCCTGTTCCCACCAGACTTGCAAAACTTCAAAAAAGGGAAAATGGTACAAAAAACAAATGGAAATAACAAATAGAGACAAAGACAACAACAAAAATAGAAAACAGACAATAGACTCAAACTGAAAAAATTAGTAATCTTATGATATGGCTTGGCTGGGTCCCCACCTAAATCTCATCTTGAATTGTAGCTTCCATAATCCTCGTGTGTCATGGCAGGGACCTGGTGGGAGGTAACTGAATCACGGGGGTGGGTTTTCCATGCTGTTCTCATGATAGTGAATCAGCTGCACGAGATCTGATGGTTTTATAAAGGGCAGTTTCCTGCACAGGCACTCTTGCCTGCTGCCATGTTAAGACTTGCCTTTGCCTTCACCTTCTACCATGATTGTGAGGCCTCCCCAGCCATGTGGAACTGTGAGTCCATTAAACCTCTTTTTCTTTATAAATTACCCAGTCTTGGGTATGTCTTTATTAGCAGCGTAAGAACAGACTAATACATCATATTAAGTGGAATGGTCCAAAAACTCCAAATAAAAGGGAGAGCTTGTCAGATTGGATAAAAAACCAAGACCCAGCTACATGATGCCTACAAGAAATGAATCATAAATGTAAAGACACACAGGTTAAATGTTAAAAAAATGAAAGAAGTTATGCCATGCTAATATTAACTTTTAAAAAGCTAGAATGGTTATATTAATGTCAGACAAAGGATAATTCAGAACAAAGAATATAATTGGGATAAAGACAGTAACTTAATAAAAGATCAATGGATATAATAATCCTAAAAGCTTATGCTCTTAATAATAAAAGAGCTTCAAAATGACTTAAGTGAAAATTGATAGAACTGCAAGGAAAAATAGGTAAGTTGACAATTATAGTCAGAGATTTCAATGTCTCTCAATAATTGTTAGAAAAAGTAAGCATAAAGTCAGCAAAAAATAGTAGGCTTGAAAAACACTATCCATCAACTTGACTTAATTAACATTAATAGAACTTACCACATAACAGGATTAGAATACACAGTCTTTTCAAGTGCACATATAATACTTATGATAGACCTGTTGTGGGCCACAAAGCAAATCCCAATAAATTTAAAAGCATTCAAATCATACAAAGTGTGTTCTCTGACCACAATGGACTTAAATTTGAAATCAGTAACATTCTACTTTGAACTAGCTAGAAAAAGCAATGTTTTCCCATTGACTTCCTCATAACTTCCAGCATTTACTTTCATTGGATGAACTGGTCACGTACACCATTGTCTCTACACCAATCACTGTGCTAATTAGTCTCTGTTAAATGTCTTCCCAAACACATGGACCAAGAGTAGAAAAGAAATGGTTCTCCAAAGGAATAGCAAAGTTATATTATCACAACAAAGATTCTGGGGCAGGGAAAATTATTAGTTTCCCACTACCAAAAGCTACTTGAACTAATTAATGAGTTTAACAAGGTTCCAGGATACAAAATCAATATACAAGAACCCAGCTGTATTTCTGTATATTGGCAACAAACAACTGTAAGTTAAAATAAGAAAAAATGCCATTTACAAAGCATCAAAAAAGATAAATATTTAGGAATAACTGACAAAAGATACGAAAAACCTATACACTGAAATGTACAAAATGTTGCTGAGAGAAATTAAAGATGACCTAAAAAACAAAGATTTACTTTTTCATGGGTTGGAAGACTCAATATTGCTAAGAAGTCAGTTCTCTGCAAAATCTATAGATTCATCAGAATCACAAAAGTGGGCTTTTTTGTAGACATGGGCAAGCTGATTTCAAAATTTATATGGAAATGTAAAGGACCTTAGCATAGCCAAAACAATGGAAAAAGTACAACTTTAGAGGGCCCATACTTAATTTTTATCTAATTCAAGACTTAACAAAGCTTTATGCTATAGTTTGGATATAGTTTGTTTGACCCCTTCCAAATCTGATGTTGAAATTTGGTTTCCAGTGTTGGAGATGGGTCCTAATGGGAGGTGTTTGGGTCATGAAGGTAGATCCTATGTGAATAGATTAATCCCCCTCTCTCTTGCTTTCTTGCTTGCCATGTGATCTCTGTACAGCTGGCTCCCCTTTGCCTTCTGCCATGAGTGGAAGCAGCCTGAAGCTCTCACCAGAAGCAAATACTGACACCATGCTTCTTGTATAGCCTGCAGAATCATGAGCCAAATAAACCTTTTTATAAAAAATAAATTACCATCTCCGATATTCCTTTATAGCAACACAAACAGACTAAGACACTTTAGTATACAAAACAACCTGGTTTTTACATAAATGTGGACACATAGAGCAGTAGAAAGTAATGGAAAGTCCAGAAATACACTCAACATCTATGGGCAACTGATTTTTTTTCACAAGGACACAAAGATAATGTGGTAGAAAAAGTACAGTCGTTTCGATACAGGAGTTGGAAATTATTTAGGCAGATAGGGTAAGAAAGTCCTCAGTAAGCTTTCCTTTTTGTAAAAGCAGCCCCCAAATCATTTCTTTTCTAACAAAAAGCAGCCTGAAAAATCAAGCTGCAAGCATAACTAAGCAAGCTAAAATCTTGCATAGGTAAATACCAGCAGCTGTGCCAGTAGAGAAAGGCTACCTGGGGGCCAGTCATGTTCAACATGGTGGCTCCATCTTCCCTTTGTGAACCACGTGTACAGTAAGGAACAGACAACATGGCGCTGGCCAGGTAGAGAGCCCATCTGCACAATAAAAGATTAGGGTGGGATGGGCAGCTTCCTTGAACCCCATGCAAACATAACAACTGGTTCTACCAATCTCTTGGGCCCTATGTAAATCAGACACCACCTCCTCCTATATAAATCAGACACCACCTCCTCAAGCTCATCTACAAAACCCCGTTTATTTCATCACAAAACTGGAAGACCCACTCGGGTGCCCCTCTCTCTGTGCAGAATAGAGAGCTATTCTCTTTTTCTTTTACGTATTAAACCTCTGCTCTTAAACTCTCTACTTGTGTGTCCATGTCCTTGAATCCCTTGGCGTGAAACAACGAACCTCGGGTATTTATCCCAGACAATGTCGCCGCTTCATTTTGGGGCCCCATCTGGGACATCCTTTCATTTCAAGGCTGTCGGCCTCCATTCTGGGCATTTTGGCTGTGTTTTGAACTGATTTCCCTTCATGGAAACCTAGCCATTGCATGGGGCTGGAATAAGTCCTGGAGGATTTCTGGCCAGGTCTACACCCTGGTGTTATCTGAAGGCTTCTGGACTGACCCGCCTCCAACTGCTCAATCAGGCATCGGCAACAGGATCTCCAGCTTTACTTATCATAATTTCCTCCTTTCCTGTCTGCGACTGCCATGTCTCCTCTCTCTGTATGCAATGTGGTGGGAATTTTTACAGTTCAGGGAAGTAATCCTATTAGGCAAGATCAGGAAATGTAGGATGCTGCAGTAACCAGGAATATAGCTCAAGGGAATGTCGTTTTTGTGATTTTTCTAGGAACTGAGGGTCTCCACCACTCCCCCGCCCCACCACTGTGAGCATTTCTCCGCCCTTGGGCTGGAGGGCACATGGCATTTCAAGGTCAACAGCACCACCTAGTGGAATAGAAATCTCCTCCCTTTTGGCACCTCTCTACTAGAGACCAGGCTTTATGCGCTTCTGTAAATGGAAAAACTCTCCCTTCAGCAATGAGGAGGAAAAAATCCTCTAAAATCAAATTTTAGTCTCGATACCGTCCCATCAGCAGGAAAATGGCCATTCGGTCCCTACGTTCTTTTAAGGCACATATTCTACCTCCCATTAAAACGATACTTAAATAGTAAGAAGATTTTATGTCTGGAAGTTCACCGGAACCATTCTCTAAGGGTAAGTGCTTTAGCATGGGCCATAATAGCAGGATATAGAGTTTAATCTAGTACACTCCCTCCATTAAATGGGTCTTGCTCACATGAAACTATTATGTAGTTTTTCCTGAGATCCATCTTTCTGGGAGCCACACGGGCCAGATGAGTCCAGGAAATCAAAGGGATATCACAAGTGGAGGACTAAAGTCACAAGAGTGAACATAATCCCAAATCGCTTAGTTCCTTTGGTTCCATGCTGAGGGTCATGCCTGCAACCATGGGTGGCACATTTAATAAATGCCAGGGCTCAGGGAACTAGGGAGGGAAAACAGGTGGGGGGATGCCTCCACTGTCTTTCCCTCTACCTTGGGCCATTTCAAAGGAAAGGAAGGAGACTAAAGGCATACGTTTTTCTTGCTTCTCTTTCTAGATAGGTAACAGACCATCTTCAGCCTGAATTCCTCTGGAATGTGTTCTGAAGCACTGGGACTCCTTTGACACTAGATTTTAAAGAAAAAGTGGGTCACTTTCTTATGCACAAGGGCATGGCCTTCTTACTAGAACTTTGCAAGTGTTGCACAATCAACTCAGCTTTTTTACCAGTCATATCAGGAGGGCCCAAAGAAAATGATTCCCCAAAATTAGAGAAACAAACCCTCAGGAAACCCTTGAATGCAACCCTCGAATGCAACTTCCAGATGCTGTGGCCCTTCCTGCCCCCCATCCACATGTCAGCTCCTCCAGTTCTACTACCCAAACCGCTAGACTTTTCTATGGTATTTCTCCTTCCTTCTTTCACAGTTTAAAATGGCTCCTATTCCTTCTTTTATAATGTTCCTCCAAACAGAGAAATGTCAAGTTCCCCAAACCTTAAAGTGCATCGCTTAGAGTTGAGCTCAGGAGCAGGGAACCCAGAAGCTGACATGCCAGCAAAACGGTAAAAGTTTTTTTTTAACCAGTTGGGCTTTTGGCCTCTCTGTCTCTGGGCAAACTGGTAAAAGGGATAATAAGGATCACTGATTACATTCTCTGTTAAGTTTTAATTAATGAAAAAGGATTTGTGTAGTTGGTCTTAAGCTGTCGTCAATCTGGTGTGCTTTGCATGTCTTTCTGCATGGTTCTGTCAAAAGAAAGGGTGCCTTAGGACTGGGACCTCATAAACCTGCTGTTCAAGCCAGCCCTACAAAATGATCGGTGATGAAGTTTGCTGCAGGCCTCCATCTTGTTTTATGTCCTTGGGAACATGAGCTGTGACTACGTGGCAATATTTTGTTTTAGTCTCTGCCATTCTACAGTGGTGGCTGTCTTCTTGTGCTGAGTCACTTCCTGAGTGGGGGCTACAAAATCAGATGAGCCAGTTTGTCAATCTGGGTGGTGCCAGCTGATCCATCAAGGGCAGGGTTTGCCAAGTATCTTGAGCACTGATCTTGGGAGCAGTTTAGGGAGGGTCAGAATCTTGCAGCTTCCAGCTGCACGACTCCTGAGCCATGGTTTCTAATCTTGTGGCTAGTTTCTTGGTCTAGTGCCCAGACAAGAGGGAGGCTTATTTTGGGAAGGAGTTGCTATCATCTTTGTTTTAGGCTATAAACTGTAAACTAGGCTCCTCCCAGAGTTGGTTTGGCCTATGCCTAGGGATGGGCAAGGACAGCTTGGGGGCTGGAAGCAAGATGGAGTTGGTTGGGTTGGACCTCTTTTACCGTCTCAGTCATTTTGCAATGACAGTTTCAAAAGTTGCTTACCGCCCCTTTGAGAATACCTCATACACTTGCAGTTAAGTCATAACCTAATGGAGGCTTATTGGTTTCACCTGTGAGGTTACTTTTGGTAAAGTTCAAAAGCCAAAAATCTTAACCACTTGGTGTGGCTAATGTTGAGTAACAAGATATCTTAAATGATTTTCTTAAAGAGAGCTCAGCTTAATTAAAAGTGGATATTCAAGCTACAGGTATATTTTAAAGGCCTATACGTTTTTCTTTTCTTGGGTCTTGTTTTTCTGGAAAAAGGTTTTTATTCTCAGTTGACTGAATTATTTTTCTCCATTTTTTGTCTTGCCACTCTTTTTTTTTTTTTTTTTTTTTTTTTTGAGACAGAGTCTTACGCTGTCACCCAGCCTGGAGTGCAGTGGCACGATCTCGGCTCACTGCAACCTCTGCCTCCCAGGTTCTAGCAATTCTCCTGTCTCAGCCTTCCAAGTAGCTGGGACTACAGGCGCATGCCAGCATGCCCAGCTAATTTTTTGTATTTTAGTAGAGACGGGGTTTCACCGAGTTGCCCAGGCTGGTCTCAAACTCCTGAGCTCAGGCAATCCATGTGCCTTGGCCTGTGAAAGTGCTAGGATTACAGGCATGAGCCACTGCACCCAGCCTGTCTTGCCACTCTTAATGCACACATGAGATGGCCTAAGATAACTTTTGGTAGCCTGGAATTCCTTTGGAAAAACAGAGGAGATGCCAGAGACCCTGTTTTGGAAAAAAACCTCTGTTTTCCTCATGAAATCCCAGAATTAAAAGCGGATAAATCCCTCTCAAAATGAAAGGCTCTGTTCTATTTTGCATTGTGTTATCTGACGGTTTAGAGTTTGGGGAGTATCAGAAATTGCTTCACATTAGAGAGACCTTTGGTGTGTACTAACGAGGTAGGAAATATACTTTAAGGGATGGCTACTAGTAGTTATGGAGGGATACTTGACTCTTTGCACATTTGGATCAGAGAAGCACGCTGTTGACCACCTGGAAGATATGGAAACATCCCTACCCCCACTAAGAGATGAGACTCCCATGGGGGATGGGCTGATTACAAAATAGGCTTATTGGCTTTGCTTTGCCTTGCAATAAAATGCATGGTAGAAGCACTGCACTATCTTCTTCTATAGTATTTCTCTCCTTTTGGGGATCCAGGATCCAGTATAAAATGGCACCCTTAATTTTGGGGATCTGTCTTTGCCTTCAGCTGTGCCTGCTTATTAGACCCTAGAAATGAGTGCTTTCCTAGCCCTGTTCCTCCAAGGGCTCTACCCTGAAGCCAGTAATTCAGTTAAGAAACTGGCAAATGAAAAATCTTACAAGTACTGAATCTTCTGTCTGTCTGTATAGCTAAATATGTGTTGTGTGTAATGTCTATAAAACAGCTCTAATTGATTGGCTCAAAGAAAAATACACATTTAAATCAAGTATTTTTTAAAGCAAATATAAAAGCTATAATGCCTTTCAGTGCAAGTGGCTTTAATGTTTAAGAAATAAAAATAATCTTAGGGATTATTGGTAAAATATAAATGTCATCAAAATGCAAATGGGTGGTCTACATCATATAAGTCTGATACTAGGTTTGATAAATGTTTCAAGACTGTAAGCTGCCTGCTTTACAATTTGGTAAGGCCTGGGGACGTACAAAATTAACCACACCCCTAACTATGCTGGAAAAAGTGACTTTATCTGTGTCTAGTACATAATCAAAACAACTTACCAGGTTTCACATTAAAGTTAAAAACTGCTAAAAGTTATCATTATAACATGTAACTTAAACCACTAAAAATAGATTTACGTATGAGGTGTGTAAAAGCAGTAAAATGTGTCTTTAGTAGAAGATTATAAGAAGGCATGGAAATGTAAATTTCACCTAGGAATAAAGGATTGTCTTAAATTAGATAAGATACATCTGAATGTTTAAGCAAGTTGTGGAAATATTGTAAAATTAATCTTGCAAAAAAATCCTGTGTGTAAACATTAACTAAATTCAAAAGGGTAATACAAAAGGGTATTATATGGTCTTTTCATAAATTGAGGATTGAAATAAAAATACAGCAAGTTTGTCTTAATAAACTAGTCTGCCTTTTAGCAGAAAGGTTATAAAAGGTTTGTAAAAATTTTACCTCATGGTCAAAATGGTTAAAATTAGATGGAATTGTCTATGAGGCTTTACCAAAAAATTTGGGTTAACGTTAATAAACTAATGCAAGGGTAAAATTTGGCTTTGAACAGGATTTTCATGTAATAGTAAAGGCTAATGAAAGGTTTTTGCCTTTTTAAAATTTTTGAGTCATCATTTTGGCAAAATAAATAAATTTATGGTAGTCTAGAATTCTATTTCATAACATCAATATTTTAAACCTGTAACATATTTACCAGGTTTTCCAAAATCAAACCTCAGTTTCAAAATTGTCTTTCGTGATACTTGGCTTTTCGGAGGCTCCAGAAGGGACCCTGGAGTGTCCAGAAAAGAGAGAAAAACAGGATTATTTAACAGGTTTAGGTATATGAGATTGCCAAAATGATGTTAAATCATCTTCAGGTTATATTTTAGTGGATAATGTTAATATATGTTCCAAAATTGTGTGAGATGTCAAAAAATTCTAATGATAAAATATGTTATATTTAATGGCAGTTATCTTTCTGGTCATCTTTAAGAATTTGGTATGTGTGTCAATCAAAAAGTTCATTGTAAATTAATTCTGAGCTAAGCAGTAAAGGGACTTATTGGAAGGATGTCAAGCCATTCACAGAATTAACGAGATTGAAGAACTAGATATTGAAATAGGCAGGGGTGTGGGAAGATGGAATTTTAGCCAAGGAAGGGTCAGGCCAGGACCTTATCCCTGGCTTTGCTGCCATTAGACACTATAGAGCTCTTCAAACACTTTTCATCCTTCCCTCTATCTTTGCACCACCCTTTCAAGAATCAAAGTCTGATTGGAGCAAATGACCAGATAAGCGGGTGCTTTTCTGGCCAAAGAAAATCAGGCAGGCCTCTTCTGCCATGTCAGGTAGAACCCTACTTCTCACCAACCCTGATACAATGCAGTAACCTCCACAATAGGAAAGGGGTTTCAATTATGGTTAGATTTTTTTTTTTAAAGACAATAGATGTGCTACAGCATTTACTGATCCCTGCTGATTATAGGATCCTTTTTCATTTGCCTAGTGATTGAAATAATGTATAAAGTGGAAGTTGTTAAACTGTGGCCCATGCATATGATTCAAGGGTCATATATTGTCTAAAATTGTGTGCAGAAATTTGAGGTATATGCATTTCGCATTTTTGGCGGTGGGAGGGTCCATAACTTCTCCAAGAGGTCTACAATCTACAAAAAATTGAGAAATACTCTCTGGAAAGTTCTATATAATTGCTTTCTCCTTTTGAAAGTTCACTCATTTGTCTGCATTAATTGTCACTAGTATTACTACCTTTTATCCGCTAGATGGTGATATTGTACGTGTTTTCATGCACCAATCATAAGCTTCATTGATATGAATTGAAATAGCTCAGTGGTTTAAACGAAACCTCTTCAAAACCATTTGAGGGAAGGAAGGAATTTTAGAAACTGCATATTCCTTCTCCTTGTCTTACACATGAGGAACTGCGTTCCCAAAAGTTTAAGAGAGAGCCTTGACTGGAAAAAAAACCCCTTTGAAAAAATGGAAAGGATGCCCTGAGGGGAAGGAGCACCTGGAGTCTGGGCTCTCCTCTTTCAACCCCAAATCACTTTAGGATGCACCTCTGGCTAGCTGAGAGACTGGGGGTGGTGCTGGTTGTGGACTTTAGATGCCTTTGGCTCTGAGACACATATATTTCAGTTAAAACTGACCATGACTGAAAATCTGATCCTTCTCTTGGGATCCTGATAATGCTAAAGAGAGCTTTACTTAGGGAAGAGTTTGCAAAGAAAGCCGCTTTTCTCTGACATAAGCCTCCCCTCTCCCCTTTCCTGGTTAGCTTTAGACATTTCTTAAGTGCAGTATGTTATTTTGAGGGCCAAAGGTAACCCTATATAGATGTACGTATTATGATAACAGGAATGAGTGACTGAGGCAAAAGTCTTGTTATCAATGGTGAATATCACAGTTACTGTTGGATAATCTGTGTGGGTCTGCAGCAGCCTCAGTTCTTGACTCCTCAGAAGAAAGAATTCAACTAAGGGGCATAAGGCAGAAGAAAAGACCAAGGCAAGTTTCAGAGCAGGAATGAAAAGAAAGTAAAGTACACTTGGAAGAGGGTCAAGTGGGAATGTTGGAGGTAAAGTGCCCTGTTTGACCTTGGACTTAGGGTTTTATATGCTGCCAGTGTCTTGCCTCCCTTTTACCTTGATTCTTCCCTTGGGGTGAGCTGCCCACATGTGTGGTGCTGCTAGCACTTGGGAGGTGAGTATGTGCAGTATGTTTACTGGAGTTGTAAGCATGCTCACCTGATGCAGTCTTCCGTTTTCCAGAGGAATGCCCCCAGAAAGTCATATACCAGTTAATTTGCACCATTTTGCCTCTTAATGCATATGTTTGAGCCCACTCACCCAATTCCTGAGATCTTATTGGGAAGCTGCTGATCTCCAGTTTCAGTTGTTTTTATCTAATGGGAAACTGCCTTTCTCTGGCAGAGGCTGTGACCAATTATCATTTTGGAGAGGCCATGTGACAAACTGCCTGACCATCACCTGATGGTTGCCTGGCATTCCTGGTGGTGGTTAGGGGAGCCCTCTCTTGCCCTGCTCGTGCCTCATGGCTGTGTCCCCACCCAGATTTCATCTTGAATTCCCACGTGTTGTGGGAGAGACCAGGTGGGAGGTAATTGAATCATGGGGGCAAATCTTTCCCATGCTGTTCCTGTGATAGTGAGTAAGTCTCACGAGATCTGATGGTTTTAAAAAGAGGTATTCTCCTGCACACGCTCCCTCATTTTTTGCCTGCTGCCATCCAGTTAAGATATGACTTGCTCCTCCTTGCCTTCTGCCATGATGTGAGGCTTCCCTAGCCACATGGAACTGTAAGTCCAATTAAACCTTTTTCTTTTGTAAATTGCTCAGTCTCAGGTATGTCTTTACCAGCACCATGAAAACGAACTAATACACCTGACTAGCTACCTACTGTAACAGTCTCAACTATCTAGATTTATTAAGCCAGCTTTAGGGTATTCTGCGAAAAAATAAGCCATAGACATATGTTCTTCTCTGATTGTTTTTCAGAGAGGTTTTCAGGAGTTCAGTATTTATACACTTCCTTAAAGCAGGGGAAGGCATTTGGAAGAGAGACAGGTAGGCAGTTAGATGAATTACATTCTTATGTAATTTGGAAGAGATTACGGCATTTGGAAGAGAGACAGGTAGGCAGTTACATTCTTATGAGACTTTAGTTAGTGGCCAGTGAATCTACATTTTACATGGGATAAAGGGAACCCCTGAAGAGAAAAAAAGGAGTAAAGGAGAATCAATAATGCAGACATTTCTGGGTAGATGGAGGAAGTGACTGACCTCATCTTGTCTTTGTTCTGTACCTGGTAAGATATGTATAACAGACTTTAGTCTTAGGAACTAGACTTAGACTGTAGACCCACAGTTACAATTGGCATGTCCTTGTTTATGGGAGGCCAGCAAATAATTTACTTATGAGTGATCTGTGGAGACAGCCCTCCCTAGATGCCTGAGGCCTTTCACTTCTCCACCTCTCCTTGAGGATCTGGCTGATGCATAATGCTAGTAGCAGCTATTCATTTGCAAGAGGATGTTGCACGACTCAGTCTTCAGGCTTAACCTTCCTTTTGCATAAGGAGTTTGGGGGTCCTGAGATTCTTTAAAATTTTCCTTTACAATAAGCAGTTTTGACAACACTTAAGAGATGTGCTGTAAATATTAGTGTTTGGAGTTCCCAGACATGAAGATAGAGAAAGCCTCAAGTCACATGGGCTGCGAGAGTGGAGCACGGTGGAAAAGTGGCTGGACAGATTCTCACAAGCAGTGGGTCTTCCTCAATGAGTTCTGTGGCATCCTTCATGTTCAGACCATTAAACCAAGGCACCAAATGGAGCTACCACATGTGCTCAGGACCCACGTTTCTGGAGGATAATCCTTCCAAATGAATCCTCCAAAAGTGTCTTTAAGCAGTATCCAAAGCTACTGCTATGTCTTTTCCCCTCCACTTCCCTATTATGTTTGCTCCTCAGTCCTCAGCCACACCCTAGAAAAGACAGGAATCAAAGTACCTTTCCTTCACACTTCTTTCCACCAAAGCTAACAATATTAAATTAATAAAGTGCCTTTTAAAAACCAACCTTTCCATTTGCACTAATAGACAAGCTTTGCTATATCTGAAACTCAAGGTTGTCTCTGCTAAATTTCAGTAAACAATTGTGAAAGTCATGATGATGGATAATCACTGTCGTCTCTACAGGTCCACTATCCTATGCCTCAATATGCTGACCTTTATGTTCTTTGATTTCCTGTTAGGTTTGGCCAATGGGAAGCAACAGCAAGAGATGGATAGATGGAAGGAGAGAGAGCTGGAGAATTTCTTTCCTTACATCAGTTGGGTAGCTGGGCAGATTGACTGGGTCTGAAACCAAACACAGGTTCAGCTACTTGCCACTTGCAAGGTCAAAAATCAAGGACAAGGTGGGGTGGAAGGAAGGAAAGGAATCGCCAAGGCTTTGTGCCTGAAAGGAACCATTTCAAATTTCTGGATAGAACGCAAGGGCTTAAAAAGGGAGGTTGGTGGTGGGAGGGGCATGCAAGAGGGGCAAGGAGGTGCCAGTCAGTCTATGTAAGTTGCTCTGATGACTTGAGTTATTACCCCATCTGTTGAACGGGCTGGCACCATCCCAGGCACAATCGGGGTGAAAGCTAACTGCAGCTTTGAGTAATCTCCTGGAGGAGGAGAATTCCATAGGTACCTAGATTGTTTCAAGACTCAGTCCATGAACTTCCAAGAAAACATATAATTAGATGAGGGGGACATTGTGCAAGGGAGTGCCTGGTGGAAGGAAAGAGAGCAAAGGTTACCATATAATTTTCAAGCATCTAAACATAAAGTAAGCAAGGAGGAAAATGGAAAAAGATTAAAAAATTAAAAATAGAGTATTTGGTTACATGTCCTTGACCCTCTGCTGAAGGCCACAGCTTATGACCACCCTCTCCTACAGCTACCAGAGTCTCGGTTTCCAGTAACTCGTTGTTCCTTCCTCTGGCTCATCAGGCCCAGGAATGATAGCAGCTTCCTGTTATTGCTAGTCATGGGGTGTTTCATTATCTCTTGTTATTTTTCCTTAACTCTACTCACTCCTTTGTAAACAGACCTTTCACTAATAACTCTTCACTCTTTCCATCTGCTTTCAGCCAGAACCCTGACCTGCTCAGCCAGAAACTTCACTGAAGTTTCTATAGTCCTCACGTTCCATTAGATCTCTAGACTTATTCATTCTACATATCTGCAACTTTGTATCCTTTGATCTGCATCTCCTTATTTCCTCCCTCCTTCCCCCACCCCACCGCTGGTAACCATCATTTTGTTCTTTGTCTTTGTGTCTTCGACATTTTTTTTTTTTTAAAGATTACACATTTAAGTGAGATCATGCAATATTTTTCTTTCTGTGTCTGGAGTTTTGCAGTTTCAGGTCTTACATTTAAGCCTTTAATCCATTCTGAGCTGATTTTGTGTGTGGCATAAGAAAAGAATCCTATTTTATATTTTATTATATTTCATTTGGTTTTTAATTTTTAATTTCATCAACTGTGACTTTGTTGTATGAAAAGAGTGTGGGTAGCAAATCTCTTGCTCCACTTTGGAAATCCCCTCCCCTCCCACTAAAGTGGAGATTCCTACCTAATCTAACTCCTGGAGGGTTGTTAACAGAGATTAAAAGAGACAGTGAAGTGGACATGCTTTAAAATAAAAATGTGTTTTATAAGAGAGGCAGCATAATCTGGAGACTCAGAGCACAGGCACCAGAGGCAACACTAGGTTTGAAGCTCCAGCTCTGCCTCTGATAAACTTATAATTTAAATCTGTGCCTCAGTTTCCTCATATGTAAAATGAGGATAATAACAGATGTACCTCTTAGGGTTGTTGTCGGAGTTAAATGAAATATAATATTGCCTGATATATAGTAAGTTCTCAGTCAGTGGTACTTTTCTTTTTTTTTTTTTTTTTTATGAGACAGAGTCTTGCTCTGTTGCCCAGGCTGGAGTGCAGTGGCGTGATCTCGGCTCAATGCAAGCTCTGACTCCCAGGTTCACACCACTCTCCTGCCTCAGCCTCCTGAGTAGCTGGGACTACAGGCGCCCGCCACCACACCCGGCTAACTTTTTTTGTATTTTTAGTAGAGATGGGGTTTCACCCTGTTAGCCAGGGTGGTCTCGATCTCCTGACCTCGTGATCCACCCACCTCGGCCTCCCAAAGTGCTGGGATTGAGAGGTGACAATGTGCTAGCAGCCCTTGCTTGCTCTCGGCACCTCCTCAGGCCACAGCGTCCACTCTGGCTATGCTCGAGGAGCCCTTCAGCCCGCCACTGCACTGTGGGGGCCCCTCTCTGGGCTGGCCCAGGCCGGAACTGGCTCCCTCTGCTTGTGGGGAGGTGTGGAGGGAGAGGCGTGGATAGGAACCAGGGATGGGCGTGGTGCTCGTGGGCTAGTGCGAGTTCCAGGTGGGCGGGGGCTTGGCGGCCCACACTTGGAGTGGCTGGCTGGCATCGCCGGCCTGCACAGTGAGGGGTTTAGCACCCGGGCCAGCAGCTGCGGAAGGTGTGCTGGGTCGCCCAGCACTGCCGGCCCATGCGCGACACGCTTGAATTCTCGCTGGGCCTCAGCCACCTCCCTGCATGGCAGGGCTCGGGACCTGCAGCCCGCCATGCCTGAGTTCCCCTGCAGTGGGCTCCCACGCCGCCCGAGGTTCCCCAACAGCTGCCGCCCCCCGCTCCACGGCACCCAGTCTCATCAACAGCCCAAGGGCTGAGGAGTGCAGGCAGGGCGTGGGACTGGCGGGCAGCTCCGCCCACGGGCCTAGTGTGGGATCCACTAGGAAAAGTCAGCTGGGCTCTTGAGTCGGGTGGGGACTTGGAGAAATTTTATGTCTAGCTGGAGGATTCTATATGCACCAATCAGCACTCTGTGTCTAGCTCAGGGTTTGTGGATGCACCAATCAGCACTCTGTATCTAGCTAATCTGGTGGGGACTTGGAGAACTTTTATGTCTAGCTAGAGGATTGTAAATGCACCAATCAGCACTCTGTGTCTAGCTAAAAGATTGTAAACACGCCAATCAGCATTCTGTGTCAGGCTCAAGGTTTGTAAACACACCAATCAGTGCTCTCTGTCTAGCTAATCTAGTGGGGACTTGGAGAACTTTTACATCTAGCTAGAGTATTGTAAATACACCAATCAGCACTCTGCATCTAGCTCAGGGATTGTAAATGCACCAATCAGCGCCCTGTCAAAACGGACCAATCAGCTCTCTGTAAAATGGACCAATCAGCTCTTTGTAAAATGGACCAATCAGCAGGATGTGGGTGGGGTCAGATAAGGGAATAAAAGCAAGCTGCCTGGGTCAGCAGCGGCAACCCGCTTGGGTCCCCTTTCACGCTGTGGAAGCTTTGTTCTTTCGCTCTTCACAATAAATCTTGCCGCTGCTCTCTTTGGGTCTGCACTGTTTTATGAGCTGTAACACTCACAGCGAAGGTCTGCAGCTTCACTCCTGAGGCCAGCAAGACCACGAACCCACTGGGAAGAATGAACAACTCCAGATATGCCACCTTAAGAGCTGTAACACTTACCACGAAGGTCTGCAGCTTCACTTCTGAAGCCAGCAAGATCATGAACCCACCAGAAGGAAGAAACTCTGAACATATCCGAATATCAGAAGGAAAAAACTCCGGACACACCATCTTTAAGAACTGTAACACTCACCACGAGGGTCTGCAGCTTCATTCTTGAAGTCAGTGAGACCAAGAACCCACCAAATCTGGACACAGGATTACAGGCATGAGCCACCATGCCCAGCCCCAATTAGTGGTACTGTGTCCAGAATTGGTTCCTTCTGGTGGGTTTTTGGTCTCGCTGACTTAAAGAATGAAGCCGCGGACTCTCGTGGTGAGTGTTAAAGTTCTTAAAGATGGTGTATCCAGAGTTTGTTCCTTCAGATGTTCAGATGTGTCCAGAGTTTCTTCCTTCTGGTGGGTTCATGGTCTCGCTGACTTCAGGAGTGAAGCCACAGACCGTCACAGTGAGTGTTACAGCTCTTAAAGGTGGCACTTCCAGAGTTGTTTTTTCCTCCCGGTGGGTTCGTGGTCTTGCTGGTTTCAGGAGTGAAGCTGCAGACCTTCATGGTGAGTATTACAGCTCATAAAGGCAGTGCAGACCCAAAGAGTGAGCAGCAGCAAGATTTAGTGCGAAGAACGAAAGAACAAAGCTTCCAACAGTGTGGAAGGGGACCCAAGGGGGTTGCCACTGCTGGCTCTGGTGGCCTGCTTTTATTCCTTTATTTGGCCCCACCGACATCCTGCTGATTGGTCCATTTTACAGAGAGCTGATTGGTCCATTCTACAGAGTGCTGATTGGTCCATTTTACAGAGTGCTGATTGGTCTGTTTTACAGACCAATTGGTCTGTTTTACAGAGTGCTGATGGGTCCATTTTTACAGAGTGCTGACTGGTGTGTTTACAAACCTTTAGCTAGACATAGAGCACTGATTGGTGCATTTACAATCCTTTAGCTAGACAGAAAAGTTCTCCAAGTTCCCACCTGACCCAGAAGCTCAGCCAGTTTCACCTCTCAATCTCCCCTCTAAACAGGACACCCCAACTGCTGTTGGGAATTGGCCAATGACTGCTCTAGCTACTTTCTGCTGGATAGGGGTGAAGAAGCGGCCCTGCAACTGTAGTGTCCTCCAGAGGGGAACACTTCAGGCCAGTGAAACGTCCAGAGGGTCGGTCCAGGGGTCCTCAGTAGAGGTTGTTAGTTGAGCTCATTTGGGGCTCCATTTGTAAGACCATCTGTAGCTTGATGGCCTCGATTCTAGAGGAAACAAATTTGACAAGGAGGTTAAAAATACAGGGCCCGAAGGTGAATAATAGCAAGATGGCTGCCATGGGACCTAGAAAGGGGAGAAGCCATGTTGCCCAACTCCAGAGGTTGGTATAAGAGTTTGAGAGGCGTTGTCTGATTTCAGAAGACTTTTCCTGTAAATGCCAGGTGGTATCTCGTACTATCCCTGACTGGTTAGTGTAAAAACAACACTCTTCCCCTAAGAAAGTGCAGAGTCCTCATTTCTCAGCAGTGAGAAGGTCTAGGCCTCAGCAGATTTGGAGAGTCACTGCTGCCAAAAAGTCTATTTGGGATTGTAGAGTAAGGATAGATTTCGTTATCTCTTGTAAACTGTCTGAGAGGCAGATATCAGTTGAAGTTCCACATAAGAAGAATATATCGTGGCTGGGTAGACAGAAATTTACCCTGGCTTTTAAAGGAACAGGGTACACTGTTTTTTCTTTACTGCTTCTCTCTCTTTCTTTCTCTTTGACTTCTTTGTCTCTTTCTCTCTCTTCCTGTCTCTGTCTCTCTCTTTGACTCCTTTGTCTCTGTCTCTTCCTCTCTCTGTCTCCTTCTCTTTGTCTCTGTTGCTTCCTCTCTCTCTCTTTCTCTTTCTGTCTCTTTCTCTCTTTCCATTCTGCTGCCTCTGCCAGCTGCTTATGCTGCTGTTCTCCCCTCTCCTTCCCCTTTTGATGGCAGTGTAAGACTACCACCTCCTTGGGTTTTTGCACTGCGTGCAATAACTCCATGGTTTCTTTGTGATATTTAATGGGGGTTCCCCCAGAGGTTAGGAACTCCCTTTCTTTCCATATTGCAGCATGGGCATGTAGGATTAGATAAGCATACTTGCTATCTGTATAAACATTTATTCTTTTTCCCTTTCCCAGTTCTAAGGCTTGGGTAAGTGCCACTAGTTCTGCTAACTGGGCGCTGGTCCCTGGGAGAAGAGGCTTACTTTCAAGTATGGTTACATCACTAACTATGGCATAACCTGCCCTTCGTATCCCATTCTCCACAAATGAACTTCCATCAGTATATAGGTTAAGGTCAGGATTAGCTAAGGGGACTTCTAAAAGATCATCTCGGGCAGCATAAGTCTGGACTATAATTTATTGGCAGTCATGCTCAATTGCTTCCCCATCCTATGGAAGAAAAGTGGCAGGATTGACAGGCATGCACGTACGTATTTGAAGCACTGGTCCCTCAAGGAGTAGCACCTGGTATGTAAGTAGGTGTTGTCTGATATCCATAACCTTCCTTTGGCACCTAGTATGCCATTTACATCATGACTAGTCCAGACAGTGAAATCCTTTCCTTGTATTATCTTGATAGCCTCTGACACTAAGACAGCCACCGCCTTAACTAACTGTAAACAGTGAGACCAACCTTTTGCTACTACATCAATTTCCTTACTTAGGTATGCCACTGGTTGTGGGGTTGTCCCACGAGTCTGAGTAAGGACTCCAAGAGATATCCCTGCTCTCTCTGTGATGTATAAAGATAAATTTTGTCCTGTGGGAAGACTTAAAGCTGGAGCTTGTACTAGGGCCTGCTTTAAGGTTTTGAAGACTGTTTCTGCCCCTGGTTCCTATTCTACTAGATGAGTATTTGCCCTCTGGGTCTCCTTGATTTGAGTATAGAGGGGCCTGGCTATCTCGCTCTATCTGGGGATCCATAGTCAGCAAAAGCTGGTGATTCCAAGGAACCCCTGCAATGGTTTTAATGTCTTAGGGCAAGGATAAACCAGTATAGGCTGTATTTGTTCCTTGCTGAGGGCCCTGGTCCCTCTGGCTAAGATTAGGCCTAGATATTTAACCTGCTGTAGGCAAAGCTGGGTGTTTGACCTAGGTGCCTTGTATCCTTGATTAGCTACAAAGTTCAAGAGATCTAGAGTAGCCTGCTGGCATGAGGCTTCTGAATTGGTAGCCAAAAGTAAATCATCCACATACTGAAGGTCCAGAGTGCCTGGACTTGAGAAGTGGCCTAGATCTTGGGCCAGCACCTGACCAAACAGGTGAGGACTATCCCTAAACCCTTGGGGCAAGATTGTCCACGTAAGTTGGGACGTGTGGTCTGTGGGATCCTCAAAGGCAAAGAGAAACTGGGAGTCAGAGTGCAGGGGAATACAGAAGAAGGCATCCTTGAGGTCCAGAACAGTGAA
This sequence comes from Homo sapiens, assembly GCF_000001405.40. Taxonomy (NCBI): domain Eukaryota; kingdom Metazoa; phylum Chordata; class Mammalia; order Primates; family Hominidae; genus Homo; species Homo sapiens. Next base: position 113,621,916 of record NC_000005.10, read on the forward strand.
CCATTCTGGTTCCTCTGGTATTTGAGAGAGCAAGGTATAGGGGTTGGGTATAACTGGATATAGAGGAATTACTGCCTCACTGATGAGTCTAAGATCTTGCACTAGTCTCCACTGACCATTTGGTTTTTGTACTCCTGGAATTGGGGTGTTGCAGGGACTGCTGCATTTCCTTACTAAGCCTTGAGCTTTTAAATGTTTAACAATATCCTGTAATCCTTTATGAGCTTCAGGCCTTAAGGGATATTGCTTTTGATAAGGAAAAATGGTGGGATCTTTAACCTGATTTGGAGTGGGTGGGCATTTTTTGCCCTTCCAAATTGCCCTTCCAATGCCCAGACTTCAGGGTTGATTCCCTCCTCAAGCAGGGGACAACAAATGGGTAACTTGTTCCCCATATTCATGTAGATAATAGCTCCAGCTTTGGCTAATATATCCCTCCCTAATAAGGGTGTGGGTCTTTCAGGCATGACAAGAGAGGCATTTGAAAAGAGCAAAGTCTCCCAATTACAACTGAGGAAGTGGGAGAAATACCTGGTTACAGGCTGTCCCAGGATTCCTCAGATGGTAACAGACCTTGAGGACAGTCGTCCAGGACAGGAGATTAACACTGAGAAGGCCGTGCAGTGTCCAGGAGGAAGTCAATTTTCTGGCCCTCAATGGTTAAACATACCTGGGGCTCAGTGAGGGTGATGACATGAGCTGGCGCTTGCCCTGGACACCCTCAGTCCTGTTGTTGGATCATCTGGTTGGGGGCTTCTGGCCCAGAGAACCATTGTACTCTGGGGCAGTGCACCTTCCAGTGATTGCCTCGGCATAGTGGACATGGATGAGGGGGCAGCTTGTTTCTCATTGGATGATCTTATTTAAAGTGTCCTTGTAAACTACAGTGATAACAAGCCCTACCAGGTGATTGGCCTGCTCCATTTTCTGTCCTCTCTGAACCACCAAGGTTTGTCTGTCTGAGGGCCATGACTAAGGCTGCGGGCCTTCTCTGATCTCACTTTTCCTTTTTGGCCTGTTCCTCTTGGGCCCTATTATAGAACACTGAGGTTGCCAGGTTTAATAATGCCTCCAGATTTTGTTCAGGGCCCAGGGCTCACTTTTGGAGCTTTCTCCTGATGTCTGTGGCTGATTGGGTAATAAACTTATCTTTTAGAATCAATTGACCCTCAAGTGAGTCAGGTGACAGGGGAGTATATTTTCTTAAGGCCTCCTGTAGCCACTCGAGGAAGGCAGAAGGATTTTCTTCCTTTCCCTGACTTATGGTGGATATCATTGAATAATTCATGGGGTTTTTCCTAATTCTCCTTAGTCCTTCTAGAACACAGGTCAACAGAGGTTTGTGACTCCAGTCCCCAAAATCTGAGTCAAGGTCCCAGTGGGGATCCATTCTGGGGACAGCTTGCTGACAGGTAGGGAATTTGTCCCTTTTTCAGCTGTCATTCTATCATTTACTTGACTAAGATACTAGATATCTCCAAACTCTCAGGCTGCCACTACAGCTGTATTCTTTTCATAAAGGGCCAGGGTTTGAGCTAACAATAGCATGACATCTCTCCAAGTGAGATCGAAGGTTTGCCCTAGACCCTGTAGGACATCTATGTACCTATCAGGATCATCTGAAAACTTCCCCAGGTCTGCCTTGATCTGCTTTAAATCAGAGAGGGAGAAAGGGACAAGTACCTGGGTTGGGCCAAATTCCTCTCCACCTACAGCTTGAAAGGGACATAACCAATAGGCTGGGGGTTTTTGTGGTCCCTTGGAGATATCTTTGCTTGTTTCCTTCTGGATAGGGGAGATTGGAGGAGGCTTATTAATAGGAAGGGGAGCTATAGGGAGGCTAGGATATGGGGGTAAGCTGAAAGGTCCTCCTGTGGGATGTAAATTGCAAGTTTTGTGTACTTGTGTATTCTCCTTCAATGAAAAGAAAGCTTGGACATAAGGCATTTCCCTCCATTTGCCTTCCCTCTTACAGAAAAGGTCAAGCTGCAGGATAGTATTATAATTTATACTTCACTCTGATGGCCGTTTTTCCCCATCACAGAGAGAATACTGGGGCCACGCTATGGTGCAGAAAAAAATGAGCTGCCTGTTTTTCAGGGTTTTTGGGTCAAATTGGTCCCAATGGCTTAGGATGCATTTCACGGGTAAGCCTGTTGACGCCTGATTGTTTCCCATCTGAAAGACAAAACTGCCTGTGGTTTTGGTTTGTTTGTTTCTCCCCCTGCCCAAGAACCCACAATGGTCCCTGGACCCTGCTGATTGGAATAGTTGTACTCACCGACGCAGCAGCAGAAACACCTCTTGCCCAAGAACCCACAACGGTCCCTGGACCCTGCTGATCAGAATAGTTGTGCCCAACAATGCATCAGCAGAAATAACCCCTGCCCAAGAACCTGCAGCAGTCCCTGGACGTTGCTGATTGGAATAGTTGCGCTCACTGATGGAGCAGCAGAAACACTAGTTTTCCTCCCAGATCACAAGGAGGACCCAGAAGGTCAGATTTAGTGGCGCTTACCAATGGATTCTCAAAAACCTGCACCCTTGCCTGTCCTCCTAGACCACAAAGAGGACTGAGAAAAATCAGATTTAGTGGCCCTTACTGATGCACTCTTGAAAACATTTTAGAGTCCTAAGCAGTCTCCTGTTAGTATTGGGACTTTACCTGTGTCCAATAAAGATGTTATGCCCTAAAAATGAGGTTGAGGTCCACACCCTGAGGAAGGGAAGGGATATCCAGAGTTGAAAGAGTGATGCCTTTTGTCCTCACTTATATGAATAGGAAGGATACAATTTCTGAGTCTCCCCATATCCTAGCTTCAGAAATAGCTTTTGTTAGGCCTGCTTGTCTGAAGAGGGATCCTAAAATTCCAGATAGTCCCCCCTACAATGGGGCTTTGGGCAAAAATTATGTCTTTCTGATTGGTGAGCCCGGGTGCCTAAAGAAGGTAACAGAGTCCTGGAATTTATACTAGAAATCATTCTTATAGGAGAAACTAGGAAAGCACCAGAGACAGGGAGTGGTTTTTATAAGCGGGGCTAGCCTCGGAGAAGAGAGGCGAGAAGGTCTGTCTGGCAGGTGCCAGGACTCATGGGGCAAGGGTCAGGATAGATCGGCGAGTCTTGCTTGGGCGACACGCCTTTGAGAGTTCTGCTCATGGCCGCAGGGTCAACCAATGTGTTGTCAGGACCCTGGAGCTGAATGGCTTTCCTCTCTGTTGACCCTCAGCTCTGCCCAGAAGTACAGGAAAAGCGGAAGCTGGTTCCAGGCAAACCAACACTCCCAACTCTGAAGATTTGGGGGTTGTTAGAAAGCCCTTTCCCAGAAAGCCTGACACCTGTGTCTTTGGTCCAGTGGCCGCACTAGTCGCTTTTAACTGGCCGGCAGGTGCCCAGTATTTAGCCCCCAAATTCTAAGGAAAAATAGGACAGAATAGCAAGCAAAAGGGATCTGATGGTACTCACTGCTTGGTGATAGGCAATAGTCTCACCACTTGGCAATAGGCGATGGTCCCTTCATGGTTGCCAAATTGTGTCTGGAATTGGTTCCTTCCGGTGGGTTCTTGGTCTTGCTGTCTTCAAGAATGAAGCCGCGGACCCTTGTGGTGAGTGTTAAAGTTCTTAAAGATGGTGTGTCTGGAGTTTGTTCCTTCAGATGTTCAGATGTGTTTGGAGTTTCTTCCTTGTGGTGGGTTCTTGGTCTTGCTGGCTTCAGGAGTGAAGCCGCAGACCTTCACAGTGAGAGTTACAGCTCTTAAAGGCGGGATGTCCAGAGTTGTTCATTCCTCCTGGTGGGTTCATGGTCTCGCTGGATTCAGGAGTGAAGCTGCAGACTTTCACGGTGAGTGTTACAGCTCACAAAGGCAGTGCAGACCCAAAGAGTGAGCAGCAGCAAGATTTATTGTGAAGAGTGAAAGAACAAAGCTTCCACAGCGTGGAAGGGGACCTGAGCGAGTTGCCACTGCTGGCTCAGGTGGACTGCTTTTATTCCCTTATTTGGCCCCACCCACATCCTGCTGATTGATCCATTTTACAGAGAGCTGATTGGTCCATTTTACAGAGTGCTGATTGGTCTATTTTACAGAGTGCTGATTGGTCCGTTTTACAGAGTGCTGTTGATGGGTCCATTTTTACAGAGTGCTGATTGGTGCATTCACAAACCATTAGCTAGACACACAGCAGTGATTGATTGGTGCATTTACAATCCTTTATCTAGACAGAAAAGTTCTCCAAGTCCCCACCTGACCCAGAAGCCTGGCCAGCTTCACCTCTCAGTACTTTTTATGACATCCCTTGATACTGTAATCTGTATAAAAGGAAGAATCCTATTTTATTTATTTATATTTTGCATGTGAATATCTAGTTTCCATAACACCATTTACTTATTGAAGAGCCTGGCTTTGCCCATTGGTATTCTTGGTGCTTTTTATCTAAGATTACTTGGCCAGCTGTGGTGGCCCATGCCTGTAATCCTAGCACTTTGGGAGGCTGAGGTGGGTGAATCACAAGGTCAGGAGTTCGAGACTAGCCTGGCCTATATGGCAAAACCCCATCTCCATTCAAAAAACAAAAAAAAAGTTAGCCAGGTGTGGTGGCCTGTGCCTGTAGTCCCAGCTACCCAGGAGACTGAGGCAGGAGAATTGCTTGAACCCAGGAGGTGGACGTTGCAGTGAGCTGGGATGGTGCCACTGCACTCTAGCCTGGGAGACAGAGCGAGACTAACTCTCAAAAAAAAAAAAAAAGATTACTTTACTGTATAGGCATGGGGTTCTTTCTGGACTTTCTATTCTGTTTTACTGGCAGATGTGTCTATTTTTATGCCAGGAAAACAGTAATATACTTTTTGATTCTTTTAGCTTTGTAATGTAATTTGAGATCAGGAAGTATGTTGCATCTAGCATTGTTCTTCTTGGTCAAGATTAAGTATTCTGAATCTTTTATGGTTCCATATGAATCTTGGAATTTTTTTTTATTTCTGTGAAAAATGCCCTTAGAACTTTGATACAGATTGCATTGAATCTGTAGATTGCTTTGGGTAGTGTGAAATTTTGACAATACTGATTATTTCTATCCATCAACATGGGATATCTTTCCATTTATTTGTATCTTACTTAATTTCTTTTGTCAATATTTTATAATTTTCATGTACAGCTCTTTCACCTCCTTTGATTAAATTTATTTCTAAATATTGTATTGTTTTGGATGGTATTATAAATTGGATTATTTTCTTAATTTCTTTTTCAGATAGTTCATTGTTAATGTTTAGAAAAACAACTGATTTTTTGTATGTTAGTTTTGTATCCTAATTTGTTTATTAGTTCTAACAGTTTTTTTGTGTTCTTTAGGGTTTATATATATATATATATATAAGATCATGACACCTGCAAATAGAGACATTTTTACTTCTTTTTCATTTGGATGCATGTTAATTCTTTGTATTGTCTAGTTGTTCTAGCTAGAACTTCCTGTACTATGTTGAATAGAAGTGGTGAGAGTGGGCATCCTTGTCTTGTTCTTGATCTTACAGGAAAAGCTTTCAACTTTTCACCATTGAGTATGATATTAGCTAAGGGTTTGTCATATCTTTGTTGTGTTGAGGTATATTCCTTTTAATTTTTTGAGCATTATGAAAATGTATTATATTTTGTGAAATGCTTTTTCTGCATAATTGAGATGATCATATGAACTAATCCTTTATTCTCTTTATGTAATGTAACCATATCATATATTTAGATGCTCCAATATTTGATGTATATATATTTAATATTTTTATATCCTCTTGAATGACCACTTTAAAGTCTATTTTGTGTAATATAAGTATTACCCATACTTTCTTTTGATTTTCATTTGCATAGAATACTCTTTTCTGTTCCATTGCTTTCAGTTTTTGTGTAAACTTAAAGATGATGTTAGTCTCTTGTAGGCAGCATACAGTTAGATTTTTATAAAAATCCATTCAACTATTCTGTGTGAGGGATTCTTAAGATTGTGTGTCTTCTCTTCATCCTGAAAAGTCCAGTCAAATGCTGAGAGCCTCCCATTTGTTTCCTCTGGTGTGGTACTCTAAAATCCTCAAGTTTGTGTGCCTTTTCCCAATTCTGCAGTGTTGGGCTGGCTGTCAACAGAAGACACTTGCATTCTCATGAGGGCATACTTGAGGAGCCAGCCTGGGAAGGAGGTGAGGTGAACAGAGTATTTGAAATGCCTAAGGGCAAGTTGGTGGAGATAGGAGTGTCCATTGGCAAGGTATCCCTAGCAGCTTGTGGGCAGGCTTTCTGATGGAGACTATGGAGCAGTTAGTAGATTCTGTGGCCTTTCTTCTCTGTTCCCAGTCTCTTCCAACAACCCAGCCATGATGATTACCTCAGTATTCTGGGTGGGCCAAGAATGAAGTTGGCTTCTTGGGCAGCTTTCTAAATGACTGAGGGAGTTGGGCACTCACCCACTATGCTTTCACTTTCCCTCATGGAATACATTATGGCCTAGGATTGGGGTGGGGAGACTATTTGGCACTGAGCTGTGCTGCTCTGGGAGAGGGATGACATGCATAAAGTGAAATTCTTTTTACCCTCTTCAGTACACATATTCTTGGATGTGTGCTGAGCTCCACCAGACTCCCTGACTCCCACAGTGGTACTCTCCTCTGTGGATAGCTGTCTAAATCAATGCCTCTGTGGGGAAAATAATGATAGAAAGCTCTTTATTCCACTATCTTGCTGACATCACTCCTGTGGGATAGAATTTTGAATCTGGATTATCCACCAACTTGTTGACAATGAGGGCTCCCATCACCAGTAACAAGTGGAGTGCAGATAGCTCCAGATACAAGGTAGCAATGCAATTGTTTAAACTTTTGACCCTACTTGAATCACATGCTCACCTACTCACCATGGACTGAATGACAGGGGACAATGACAGGGGACCTGACTTGGGCCATATATCCTGTAATTGGGAACAGGGAGGGCACTGTGATGGAAGTTCAATATAGCCACATGAAGAGGGTTAGAGTTTACCAAATAAAGGGATGATGCAGTGTCCAGTGCAGTTCTAGATGCAGTTCTAGTTACAAAAGTTCTTCTCATGGCCTTTAAGGCTCTAGTTGACCTGGCCCCTGTCTTTCTAACTTCATCTCCTTCTCCTCTTCCCCAAGCATTCTAGGCAACACTGGCCTTTTCACTATTCCTTAAATATGATAAGGATTTAATTCCTGCCTCAAGGCCTTTGCACCTATTCTGTTTGTTAGAAGGTGATCCTCTTCATGTCACCATGACTACTCCTTCACTACATTTGGTTCTGTGTTCAAATGTCACTTTTTCAGACAGTTCTTCCCTGATCCCTTCCAGAATCACTTTATTCATATTCTTTGTCTTTACCTAGCTTTATTTTTCTTGAGATTGCCAAATTGCACTTGAAATTAAATTATTTTTGTTTGTAACATTGTTTCTCATTCATTTGAATATCAGCTCCATAGAGAAAGAATTGTGCTTTTTTCAGAACTGAATCCATTGCTTTCAGAGTAGTACGTAGCATACAGTAGGTTTTGGATAATAATTATGGAATAAATGAAGATAAAAGTCACACTAAAATAGAGATGTCAAGTAGGGTGGTTTAACTGGAGAAAACAATGATAAAGATTTCTTGGAGGGGTATCACTATCACTTTCTCATCCAGGCTAGACTGTAATGGCATGATCAGGGCTCACTGCAGCCTCAAACTTTTGGGCTCAAGAGATCCTCCTGGCTCAGTCTTCCAAGTTACTAGGACTACAGGTGTGCACCATCATGCCCAGCTAATATAAAAAAATTAACAAATTTTTTTTTTGGAAAAAGGTCTTGCTATGTTGCCTGGAGTGGTCTCAAACTCCTGGGCTCAAGTGATCAACCTGCCTTGGCCTCCCAAAGTGCAGAGATTACAGTTGTGAGCCACCACATCCTGCCCAAAGAGATGGCATTTGAATTGGACCTCAAACGATGGGCAAAATTGGTAGGCAGAAATGGAAAAGTCCAGATAGAGAAACTTGTGTGGGGAAAGGCACTTTTGTGGGACAATATACAGGAGTGAGTAGTCTATTGTGATAAGAGTTATGGGGTAGTTTGGTAACATAGGCCAAGTCATTTTGGGTCTGGTTCATACTGTGATCCAAGTTCAGTTGATAAGTAATGTCTAGCTATGGGATTCATATTCTCAAAAGTTATTGCTATTATGCTTTGAGTTAACTAATTTGTGGTTTCTGCTCATAGTTCAAATGAATTTACCTACTTCGTAACACAGCAGCTAGTTGATACTTACCTATAGTATGTGCAGTTTAAATAGTTACCTTCTTTGTTATCCCTGTGCAAGATTCTAGGATAATGTAGAGAAGACCAAGGTTCTAATAAAGTCAACAGATGATATGGGAGAGAGTGATGTTGGTTTCTAAGCCTGTGTCAAAGGTCCATATTTTGATAAAAGCTTAGGTAAGGCTGGGTGTGGTGGGTCATGCCTGTAATCCCAGCACTTTGGGAGGCCGCCGTGGGCAGGTCACTTGAGGCTAGGAGTTGGAGATCAGCCTGGTCAACATGGTGAAACCCTGTCTCTACTAAAAAATACAAAAAAAAAAATTAGCCAGGCACGGTGGCAGGTGCCTGTAATCCCAGCTACTCAGGAGGCTGAGGCAGGAGAATCACTTGAACGCAGGAGAATCACTTGAACCCAGGAGATGGAGGTTGCAGTGAGCTAAGATTGCGCCACTGCACTCCAGTCTGGGTGTCAGAGTGAGACTCCATCTCAAAAAAAAAAAAAAAAAAAAAGAAGCTTAGTTAAGAGCTCTTACAATGGATAGCAGAGAGGTTATAGGTTATTGATGTTTGCTTTTTTTGCCTTGTTTTTGACATTCAATAGTATATACTTCTGTTTATTTAGATTCCTAATACTTAATCAACATTTGAGAAATACTTAATATTTAACAAATATTAAATCAATAATTTAAATATTCAGATTATAGAAGTTTCTGGAAAGATGATTGAATGAGAGTAAGTTTGCCTTATTCCTCTTCCTGAAACCTACAGATATGAACAAAAAGAGCCAAATAGAAAGGAAAAATTATATCTACAACAAAAGCAGCAGACAGCTAAATTCCACATCACTGACTACTGAAGAATATCTCCTAGAAGCAAGATCACTTGAACCAAATTAATTGAAGATGGATGTTCAGACCTTTCTCCTATATCCTCTGATATTGGGAAAGAAGCAAATTTCAAATCAGTGGATTAAAAAGAGTCTTACTACTAATCTTTAACCTGATGCAGTAAGGATTAACTCTATGGATGGATTAAGGAGAAACAGAGAGAACATTGACTGGGGCACCATTCGGTTTCAAAGAATGACAAGAAAGGTGATGTTAAAAGGAGATCATGTATTCCCACCGCCTTTATTGTTCACGACCTGGTCCCAGACTAGGATAACTTTCAGAATGGCAAGGGTCCTAAGAGGGTACACTCAGAACCAGTATGTTTACATAACAGAGGATTAATCAGTTTGGCAGGAAAATAATTAACATTAAGGATGCTTGCTGGCTGTTTCTGGGCTCACTCCACATTCCTACAGCTGAAAGATCAACCAGAGACCAAGGGATGAATATTGATGTAAAAATCCAAAATAATATATTAAAAAATAGGATCCCTGAAGGACATTTAAAAAGAATACCTTATGTTCAAGTGGAGTTTATCTAGTAATGCAAGGATGATTTAACTTAGGAAATAAAGGAATAGCAGAAGTTAAATGATACCACAAGAAAATAATCGACATTCTGTAAGATAACTGGTCATTTTTCTTCAGAAGTCAGTGCCATGGGACAAAAAATAGATACTTTTCTCGATAAAAGAGTCTGGAAAAATGTAACAATCAAATGTAATGCATGGCACTTGATTAAATCCTGGTTTGAGAAAAGCAAATATGAGACAGTTTTTTTAGATAATTGTAAAAATGTGAATATAAATGGGCCTTATATAATAGTAGAAAATTATTATTTATTTTAAGATATGGTAATGGTATTGTGGTTATGTAAAGATAATGTCATTTTTCTTAGAAGTTGCTAACGTATTTAGGGGTGAAGTGTTATGATGTCTGCATCTTATTTTTAAATGGTTAAAGCAAAGAAAGTAGAAAGAATATGGCAAAATGCAAATAATTTTTGAATCTAGGTAATGGATATGGGTGTTTGTTGTACTATTTTTTGTATTGTTTTTATGCTGGCCATAATTTTAAAAATTGGAGGTAAAAGAATACACTTAAATATATGAAACAATTGAAGAAGAAGTTACAAAAAGTCAAATGAGCAATGCTCAGACAACAGAAAAAAATAGAAAGGGAGCAGAGGTAATGTAAAAAAATGAGTAACAGGCCAGGCCTGGTGGCTCACGCCTGTAATCCCAGCACTTTGAGAGGCCGAGGTGGGCAGATTGCCTGAGGTCAGGAGTTCGTGACCAGCCTGGCCAACATCGTGAAATCCCATCTCTACTAAAAATAGAAAAATTAGCTGGGTGTGGTGGTGCCCACCTGTAATCCCAGCTACTCGGGAGGCTGAGTCAGGAGAATCGCTTGAACTGGGGAGACGGAGGTTGCAGTGAGCCAAGATTGTGCCACTGCACTCCAGCCTGGACGAAAAGGTGAGACTTCATCTAAAAAAAAAAAAAAAAACAAGAAACAAATGAATAAAAACGGAATCAGCAGTAGCACAAAATTTTAAAATCAACACAGCTGAAAACAGAGACCATGACATGAAATAGAATTGAAAAAATCATAGAGGATAAAGTAAAAAATAAAAAGATGAGAGCAATTAGAGAAATGATAGATACTGCTACAAAGATTGGTTACAAAGATCTAACATACATGATTAGTATTCCTAAAGAGCATAAAATATATTCTGGGGCTTCCTACCTAATTGAATTCTTTCAGGGCTCACCATGTTTAAATCTACAGTTAATATCTCAAGGTATTCAAATTTATGTAATAGACAGGGGAGCTAAGGTTTCTATGGAAAATAAAAAAAAATTAAAAAGTGAAAAACTTTAAGGAAGGCAAAATGGAGATTGTGGCAGAGGTATTTTAAAGCAAGTAGTTTTGACAGTAAAATGACCAAAAAAGAAAGTTTTAATAATTATGAAAATATGGTACTATTCAATGCTATCATGCTTTGAGGAAATGTCTGATTCCTGGTTTGGACATAAAGAAAGAGGAAGAAAGGAAATATTCTGAAGTCACTTGCTCACATGCCAGTTTCTCCAACTCTGATTATTGTTTCCCTATAGTTAATGTTAGATCTTTGTAGCATTAGTTCTTGCAAGCTAAACAATTTTTATACTAAGTAGGAAAAGGAACTGGTGAAAAAAGGCAACTTCTGTTTTCTGTATTCTGACAGGATGAAGAATTGGCTGGAGGTAAAAATCTCATTGAAAATCTTTGTCAGTGGGTGAGTTCTCTTTTTTTACTTCTAGGATTTCTGTATCCTCTTAGGATACAGAAAACAAAATTACCTACATTTCACAAAACTGTCCTGATCACACTTAGGAGTTTAGTAGGAAAAAGAAAATGGAAAGAAAAGGCTGAAAAACTATATTATCTTCACATGTACCTTTCTTACTTCTTTCTCAAGTTACCAGCTATTTCTTACTTCTTACACAGGTTACCAGCTCTTCCTTACCATTATTCCTACAGAAGTTCTGTAGACCAAATACAGGGTTCTAACTTACGGTTCTTCTATTTATTTATCTGTGTGACTTGGGAAAGTTTTGAAATATGTTCTAGTTTTGCCTTTGCAAAATGCAGATAATATGCACTTCATAAGGTTGTCGTGAGGACTAAACAAGATATCATGGAAAATATCTGGTTCAGAGTCTGGGGCAGAGAATGCCCTCAGTAATATCCTGATGTTTTTTATTCAATGATAAGAGCTCATAAGCAAGGAAATAGGATATTCCAAAAAGAATACCTCCTTGTTTGAAGGATTTAATCCATGACATCTGTTACATTACTCTATAATCTTAAAATTAGCACAGCATAGAATTCTGTGGGACATTTTGATGAATGAAAATAATTAGAAATTTTATTTTTGGTTCAAATAATGGTCCTTGAGCATATGAAAGTCTCCCTAATTCATTGGCAATGGGTTTTTAAACTCCATTGGATCTACGGCTGTGAACCTACTGTACACATCCTCTGGGCATTCTTAACAGGTTTTAACTTGGTGATAATTAATAAATTAATAATTGGTGCTAAGAGAATTTAATGTGTCATGAAAGGAGAAAAATAACAAGTAAGAAATATGTGTTTCAATAAGTGACATGCTGTAGAACAAAAGAAAAGCTTGAAGGCTGACTTGACCTTGGCTAACACACTAGAACTTTAGATAGATTACCCCCACCCCCTCAAGAGTGCCCTTCTTTTAAACACCGATGGTTGATGCTATGAACGTTATGCTTTATTATATAGTGATCTGGGAAACTCTTGAATTATTAATAATTAGTGTTTAAATGTGAAATTCACACAGAATTATACCTGCAGCCTTTAAAGGAAAAGTGATGCGCATATTGCCTTTGAAAAACTTGTAGTAGAAAGTCATATTCAATATTCCAGTAATTACTCTCGTTTAGTAAGAAAGATCTCTGTGTACAATGTCCTCATCATTCTCAATAAGTTACCTAATGTTCAATACAGTTGTAGTCACCCAATAATAAAAGCTAAGAATCCATACAGTGCTTTTCAAAGGGCTCCTGCAAGTTGTTTTTCATTAAAAGTATTGTTATTATTATTTAATGTCCAGAGATTGGAAATCTTTATCAGAGATTATAGGTTGTCATGTGCTTCAGACTAGAGTCATGGCCTCAGAATAGGGCTGTCCAGTGAGAATAGCACCTCTAGCATCATTACTTCCCTTGGAAAATGGAGAAAGAAGAAAGAAAGTTATATATGAAGAGAATATTGTTTTTCAGCCTTTTCTTTCCTTTTTTTTCCCTACTAAGCTCCTAAGTGTGATCAGAAATGTTTTGTGAAATTTAGGTAATTTTTGTTTTTTGTATCCTACGAGGATGAAAAGTTGGTTTGAGGTAAAAATCTTATTGAAAATCTTTGTCAGTGGGTGATTTCTCTTTCTATTTCTATGATTTTTAATGTATACAGATTACCAGCTGTGTCTACTCTCTCACCCACTGACTGATCATGTGAAAGGTTTGAGGTCCACATTGTCTACTCAGCATCTCAAAGCAGGTGTCTTAAAGGAAACTTAAATTGCCATGTCTAAAACAGAATCGAGCTCATTGTTTGGACCTCCCACCCCCATGTGTTCTCCTTTTGTGTTTCTCAACTCAGCAAATGGCACCACTAATCGCTCAGGTGACTAAGCCAGGAACTGGAGGATTATTCTTACTCTGAATGTATCCTTGTACTTCAAGTCACACTATCACAACTGACTAGTTTACTTCTTAATATCTTTCAAATTGATCTGTTTCTCTTCATCTTAACTGCCACTGCCTTAAACAAGTCATCAGCGTATGTCACCTGGATGACTGCAGTAGCCATTTAATTGGTCTTTGTATTTCCATTCTCCCTTTCCAATCAATTCTCTGTTAACTCTAGCGACAGTTTAAAACCAAATTGGATCACATCAACAGACCTAGTTAAAATCATTGCTGTTGGGATAAAGCCTGTTTGCGTTGGCCCTGCTTATTCCTCCAGGTTGATCTGCCATCTCCTCTTCATTGGCCACATATGTCTTCTTAGAATTCTTCAGCTGTAATGTGCCGTCTCACAACAGGGCTCACTTCAGTTCACTTCTATTCATCTTTCAGACCTCAGAGCAAAAGTTACCCCGGGAAGCTTTCTTAGACACTTCGGGCTCAGTGAAATACTCATTCTGTGCTTTTATTGCACTGGGTTCTTTTTCCTTCAACATTTATCACACATATACGTTGTGTGATCATTTGTTCAATATCTGTGCAGGAACCCTGTCTATTTGGCGCACCATTGTAGCTTGGTGTCTGTCATATTGTAGCTTCTCCCGCCCCTTGTTAATACTCATTCCCTAGTTTAATTTTATGGCTGTTTTCTATGTTTCATCTTCAGGGTTGGGTTGGGAAGGAAGTCAGAGCCTATTATAATTAGCCATCTTGTCAGGAACAGAGAATTCCCTATTTCCCTTTTATGTAATTTTCATAGTTAAAATTGTAATTACTTCAGTATGTTCCACTGTGATGGTTAATATTAGGTGTCAACTTGACTGGATTGAGGGATGCCTAGATGCCTGATACAGGATTGTTTTTGGGTGTGTCTGTAAGGGTGTTGCCAGAGGAGAGTGATATGTGAGTCAGCGGACTGGGAGAGGAAGACCTGCCCTCAATGTGGGTGGGCACCATCCAATCGGCTGCCAGTGCCGCTAGAACAAAGCAGGCAGAAGGTGGTTAAGTTTGGTTGCTGAAGCTTCTGGCTCTTTTTCTTCTTCCTGTGTCGGATGCTTGCTTCCGCTTCTCTTGCCCCTGTACATCAGACCCCAGGTTCTTTTTGCTTTGGACCCTGGGACTTTCACCAGCAGCTTCCCAGGGGCTCTTGGGCCTTCAGCTGCAGACTGAAGCCTGCATTGTTAGCTTTGCTGTTTTTTAGGCTTTTGGACTTAGACTGAGCCACTACTGGCTTCTCTTGTCCCAGTTTGCAGACGGCCTTTCATTGGACTTTGCCTTATAATTGTGTGACCCAGTTCTCTTTAATAAACTCGCTTTTATTTATACATATATCCTATTGGTTCTGTCCCTCTGGAGCACCCTAATACATCCACTTTATTAATGTGCCACAATGTGAGGTATTTCCTAAGGCAGGGAAAATGAAACAGTAGTATTTAGGATCATACACACGTTTTAACAATATAAAAAGCAATGAAATGGCTACCATAAAAGTCAGGATAGGTATTACTTCTGTGGGAGGGAAGAGATTGTAATTAGTAAGTAACATGTCAGGAGCATCTGAAGTGTGACAAACTTTTTGTTTCTTGACATGAATGGTGATTAGGATGGGCCACATAATTTGTGGGGCCTGTGTGAAATAAAAATGTAGGGCCCCTGGCTTAAAAATATTTAAAAATCTCAACACAGAGACAGCAGAGGAGTAAACCAAGCATGAGACCCTTCTAAGTGTGGGTTCCTGTGTGACTGCATGCCCATGAAGTCAGCCCTGATGGTGATTGTATTAGTATTCACTCTAAAATACTTTGTTCAGCTAGATACTTATATTTTATGCATTTTCTCTGTGTTTGTTGTATTTTACAACAAAAAATATTAGAAATAATTGAATAAAAAGAAATATTGAATAAAAAGAATGAACTAGAACTCTAAATGATTACCATGAGGTGTTCTTAATGACTAGGAGGAGAAAAAAAGGATAGAAATATGAACAAATAAGGCCAGGCGTGGTGGCTCATGCATGTAATCCCAGCACTTTGGGAGGTCCAGGTGGGTGGATCACGAGGTCAGGAGTTCAAGGCCAGTCTGGCCAAGATGGTGAAACCCCGTCTCTACTAAAAATACAAAAAAATTAGCTGGGCTTGGTGGTGAGTGCCTGTAATCCCAGCTACTCAGGAGGCTGGGGCAGAGAATTGCTTGAACCCCAGAAGTGGAGGTTGCAGTGAGCCAAGATTGTGCCACTGCCCTCCAGCTTGGGAGACAGAGTGAGACTCCATCTCAAAAAAAAAATATATATATAAACAAATAATAAAGAAATATGGGGAGTAGGAACAGTCTTAACATCTGTCGAATAGAGGACTCTAGAGGAGAGGAAAAAATAAGCAAAGAAGTATCAATATTTTAAGAAATAATAATAGAGAAATTTCCAGAATAAGAGGAAGTAGAAGCAATCTATAGATTACAAAACAGTATAGATAAAAATAAACTTACACTTAGATATACTGCAATAAAATGTAGAAACAACTAAGAACCAAAGAGAATTCTAAAAGCTTTTGAGGGAAGGAACAGATCACCAATAAAGGAGCAAGAATAAAATTAATGTCAAACTTCTCTTTAATGATATGAGATGCAAGATCACAATGAAGTAGCATCTTCAAAGTGTTAGAGAAAAAAATCCTTTGAACTTAAAATAAACCAGTAGTCTTCTAACTTTTTGATCTAAGAACTCCTTTACACTCATTGAGGACCTTAAAGAGATTTGGTTTATGTGTATTATGTCTATCAGTATTTAAAGTATTACAGATTAAAACTGAGAAAACAAAAGATAATGTTATTATTTCATATTACTTCATTTAAAAATTACTAATTATATTTTAAGACAAATAATATACTTTTATGAAAAATAACTATATATTTCAAAACAAAACACAATTAGTGAGAAGACTGTTGTCGTCACTATCTAACCTGACTCAGAACTTGATCTCTGGGAAAAGATCTATCCCCAAGGCATTTGTCGAGAGCAATCTATGGAAATTCTTTAATATTTCAGCTGCCTGAAGCTGGGCTACCAGTTGGGGCAAACAAGCCTGGCCAGATATGTAAGAGGAAAATCTGGGAAATGAGAGGTGCATAAGAGACTTTGAAAAGTTTTGACATATTCTTTAGAATCTAGAAGGCCATGTGGATGTGCAGGGCTTTGTAAATACCCAGGAAACACCAGAGCAACAGAGAGGGCCTCAGTTTGGTTGACCTTGAGGCACTGTATAAGCAGGAAGTGAAGACTAAGGCAGAGTTGTAACTTCCTAAGTGTTGAATGCATACCCCAACACACACCCAGAGTCCCTAGACAAATCTAATTGCTTCTTAAAATGCTTCTGAGAAGGGGAGAACACAATTTTAGGATAAACAAGATAACTTACATCTAGAAAATGAGTGGTCTTTTGGTGAGCAAGAGAGAATATCTGAACATAGTCAAATGTCTCTCTCTTCTCTATAAATGCTGTACAAGTGATGACTTCATTGCAGTTTACCTCTTCTCTGCCTGTACACTCTCTGGGGTAATTATAAAGGCTTCTGAAGTAAGAATGTGGATAATGAGAAGACCCCAGGTTATCTCATAAAGCATACTCTAATGTTGGACTTCATTTTCACTAAAGTTAAAATCAGTAAACAAAAGCAAGCAAATGAAATAAACCATCTAATCACCTTTAAAGCATAAAAATGGACTCCAGGGTGCAGTAAAATCTAGGACAACAGTGTTTTAGGATATAATATTAAGAAAAGTAAATAATCATGCTGAAAGCACAATGTAAATAAAACCTGTTTCGAAGAAAAAGGCTAAGACTAAATAGAAAATAAAAACTCAGGCAGTCTGGGGAACACAAGAAATATACCATTAAGCTGAGCGAGTTATGAATAAGGAGAAATTCAAAATCTGCTTGGGAAGCTTTTTCAATTTAGGACTGATAAAACTAAGCCCTGCCATTTAAGGGTTAATCCTTAGAAAAAAACAAACCTTTATCAATATAGCTGTTTTGCTCTGTCAATTCTCTTTCCAAGGGTGGCACTGAGAGTGTGAGTGGTGTGAAAAGAGGTCACGGGTATCTCCCAATATGAGTTGGCTGTGTTCCAACCCAAATCTCATCTTGAATTGTAATCCCCATAATCCCCATGTATCATGGGATGGACCTGGTGGGATGTAATTGAATCATGGGGTGGTTCCTCCATGCTGTTCTCATGATAGTGAATGAGTTCTCATGAGATTTGATGGTTTTATAAGTGTCTGGCATTTCCTCTGCTGGTTCTCGTTCTCTTTCCTGTGAAAAGGTGCTTTCTGCCATTTTTGTAAGTTTCCTGAGGCCTCCCCAGCAATGCGGAACTGTGAGTCAATTAAACCTCTTTTCTTTATAAATTACCCAGTCTCAGGTATTTCTTCACAGCAGTGTGAAAATGGACTAATACACTCCCTAAATTAGTAATGTAAGTTTGTCATGTTTTTATGGGGCCTACTGTGCTTTTGATCATTTTTAATCCTATTATGAATAGGACTGGGGGAGGAAGCCCTATAGAAGGAAGAGTGGATTCATATTATAATTTTTTCATCCTGTTGCCTAATCTTAGACTTGTCCTATTTGTGAAGCATTACCATTTTTGGAGTTTAGAAAATAATCGAGGTAAATCCCTTAAGTTCACTTCCTGCTGGTTAGGTGTAGGAACCCATGTATGCCTCCCCTTGCTCAAGTAGGAGTTAAGTATATTTGGGCCTGATCCACTCTTATGAACTGAGCACCCAGAAGCAGATGAAGCAATAAACAGATAAAAAACCAAATTAACATCCCCAGGTAACACCACTATCAAGTACAGAAAAATGGTTTATAACTGGTTTAGTGAAAGTAGTTATTACTATTTTTCAAATTCAACTAAGCACCAACATCATACCAGACACTGATCTAGGTGCTTGCACATATATTATTTCATTACATTCTTAGTGTTTTTATCCCCTCAAAGTTCCAATGGGAAATTAATTGATAGTGTAAACAATTTGTGGCTAATATTGCTGCCAAATGCTTAGAGAAAATTCAGGCTTTACTGAATGGTTTATTTCAAGATTGAGCTGAACAAATCTCAAATGGTTTTCTTTTCCAATTTAGATTTTTTGTTTGTTTGTTTTTGTTTTGTCTCTTTCCTTCGATCTCCCACAAAAGGTCTCACATCTGAGAATTTGTCATCCCAAGCACTGGAAAAATGCAGATACTTTTGAAAAGGACAAATTCTGCAAAGACACCAGGACTCATCTACCCTTGTCAAAAAGTCTTTTTAATACATTGATTCAGCTAAAAAGTTTGCAACTGTTAACTCCTCTTTGAAATTTACAAGCTGCTTTAAAATCCCTAAGAAAAAACAGCTGGGTGTGTGGATGCATATAATAAGATTTTATGACATCCCCAAAGTGAAATTCTAAGTCACCCATCCAGATAAGATGTTAACAGAGGGGCCAAGGTCAAGATCAGGCATATGAATCCAGATGACTGGACCATAACATATGTTTGTAGACCCATCCCAACTCCAGACAGAAAGTTTTTCTAACAGCTGCCAAGTGAGATGACTTACTGCTTCAGTTTTTAACCCTTACTTCAGATGATTATACAAAAAGGCATGTATGAGGCATTATTGTGATGGTTAATTTTAGGTGTGAAGTTGATTTAAGTGTGACTGGATTAAGGAATACCTAGAGAACTTGTAAAGCATTATTTTTGGGTGTGTCTGTGATTGTATTTCCAGAGGAGACTGGTGTGTGAGTTTGATTGGATTAAGTGGGGAAGGTCTACTCTTAATGTAGACCAAGATAGAACAAAAACAGAGGAAAAGCAATTGGTCTCTCTTCTGGAGCTGGGATACACATTTCTTATTCTGCCTTGGGGTGTCAGAACTCCAGGCTGTCTGGCCTTTGCAGTCCAGGACTTGGGTAGCCTCCTGGATACCCAGGCATTTGGATTTGGACTGAGCCATGCTACCAGCATCTCAGAGTCTCTTGCTTGCAGACAGCTGTCATGGGACTTTTCAGCCTCCATAATTGTAGGAGCCAATTCCCCTAATAAATACCTGCTCACCTCTGTCTCTCTCCTTCTTCAATTGGTTCTGTCTCTCTAAAGAACCCTAAGACAAAAAATTGGTATGGAGAAGTGGGGCTGTTGCTATAACAAATACCTAAAAATATATAATTAACTTTGGAACTGTGTAATGAGTAGAGGCTGGAAGAATTTGGAGGAGCAGGCTAGAAAAAAACCTAGATTGTCATGAATGAAGTGTTAGTGTTCAGAGCAATTCTGGTGAGAGATTAGAAGACCCCAGAACTAAAGACAGTCTAAATTTTCTTAGGAATCACTCATGTGGTCCTGGTCAGAATGTTGGTAGAAATATAGACAGTAAAGCTCATTCTGATGAGGTCTTAGACAAAAATGAGAAACAAGGTATTGGAAACTGGAGTCAAGGCCATCCTTGTAATATAGTTGCAAATAACTTGGCTGAATTGTGTCCATGCCTTTAGGGCTTTATGGAATGCAGACCTTAAGAGCAATGAACTAGGATATCTGGCAGAAGAAATATCTAAACAGCAAAGCATTCAGGCTGTTGTGTGGCTACTTTTAACCACACACAGATGTGAGAGGACATAAATAACTTAAAGATGGAATTTATAATTAGAAAAGAAGCAGATCAGAAAAATATGGAAAATTTACAGCCTGGCCAGGTAAAGAGTAAAAAAAGCATGGTTAGGAGAGAATACTAAGGGTGTGGCCAAGCAAACATTTGCTAAAGAGGTTAGCACAGACAGAAGGAAGCCAGGTGTCATTCAGCAAGACAATGGGAGAAACAACCCAAAGTTATTTCAGAGATCTTTGAGGCTGCTCCTCCCATCACAGGCCCAGAGCTCTAGGAGGACAAGAAGATTTCAAGGAATGGGCCTGGAGCATCCATGAGCTCACTGCCCAGGGCCTCCTTGGGACTGTGATTCTGCATTTCAGCACAGCACCCTTCAGCCACCCCAGCCATGACTCAAGAGGGCCCAGGTGTGGCTCAGGCTGCCACTCTGGATGGCACAAGTGGTGAGTCTTGGTGGCATCCATGTGGCGTTAAATCTGAAAGGTCTTAGGATGTAAGAGACATAAGGGGCTGGCTACCTCCACCCAGATTATAAAAGATGTCACAGATAGTGTGGGGGTCCATGCAGAAACTTGCCCAGGGATGGAGCTGCCACAAAGCATCCCTAATAGGGTAATGCCTAGTGAAGCCTTGGGAATGGGACTGCCACTGAGACCTCAGAGCTCTAGGGCCACCAGTGTCCAACTCCAGCCTGGGACAGCCACAGGCACAAGACTCCAACCTTAGAGAGCTCAAGTGTGGACTGAGACCACCAAAGCCATAGGAGCAGGGTTGCCCAGGCTGCCCAAGGCTTTGGGAGCCCAGCTACTCCCCAGGATGCCTAGGATGCAGAATGTGCAATCGAAGGAGATTATTCTGGAGCTTTAAAACTTAATGTTGATTTTCTTTTTGGGTTTTGGACTCATTTGGGACCTATTACTTCTGTCATCTTGCATTTTTCTCCCTTTTGGAATGGGAATGTCTATCCTATGCTTATCCTATTCTTGTATTTTGGAAGTAGATGACTTGTTTTGATTTCATAGATGAAGGAAATTTGCTTCAGTATGAATCATGCCTTGAGTCTCACCCCTATCTGATTTAGATGAGACTTTAGACTTTTGAGCTGACGCTGAAACAAGAATTTTGGAATGATTGTGATGGAATGAATGTATTTTGTATGTGAGAAGGACACAACTTTTTTTTTGTCAGGGGGTGGGGGGCAGGGGTGGATTGTTATGGTTTAAATGTTTCCTCCAAACCGTTTGAAATGTGATTGCAATTGTGACAGTATTAAGACTGGGACCTTTAAGAGGTGATCAGGTCACCTAATGAACCAAAGCCTTCATGAATGGATTAATGCCATTGTTGTAGGAGTAGGTTAGTTATTGTGGAGGTTTGGACCCCTTTTTCTCTTGTTCTCATGTGCTCACTTGCCATTCTACTGCCCCTATCAGATGACTCTCGGCAGATGACAGTGCCATGCTCTTGGACTTCCCAGTCTTCAGAACTACAAGCCAAAGAAATTTCTATTCATTACAAATTATCCAGTGGCATTCTGTGATAGCAGCAGAAAACAGACTAAGACAGTGATACTTCAAAGACAGGGTCAGGTTCAAAACCTGAGGGCATTTGTGGAATCCAGTGTGAGGACAGGAGTAAAAGGGACAACAAGAGATTCTCTCCCTTAAACATTAGGACCCTTCACTTCCCATCCTCAGTCAGCACTGAAGGCAGGGATTGGGAGGCCCTTGCTCCCCTCCCTCCCTACTTCATATGATATAATTTCAGCTGGTTCTGAATGTTTGATGAATGTTGTCAGTGATACCATCTGACTGTCAGGATGTTTTCTTGGGGGGCAAAACGTCCTTTGAATTCAGCTGACATCAATGGGATAACTGACAGCTGGGGGGAAACAGGAAGCACTCGTTGCAGAGATTGATGGGTGGCAGCACAGGCACCGATAGGTGCTTTAGCAGGACAGGATGAAGGCCTTGGGGTCCACTGCTGCCTCCTCTGCAGGATGAGAACACTGGTTCCCACTACGTGCAATTGAGAAGCACAACTCCAAGGCAGAGGAAGAGGATTTATCACTGGTGAAAGTGTGCCTCATAGGATTGGTACTCTAAAACAAAAATGGGATTCTCAGCAGTACATAGGCAAGTATGGGAGCATGGGACTGAGGAACTTTTTATTTTGAGAGCAAGAACACAGTTTTGGATGTGTGTATGTGTCTTGTTTTTTACCTGTTTGAAACAGAGTCTTGCTCTGTCACACAGGCTGGAGTTCAGTGGCACCATCATGGCTTGCTGCAGCCTTGACCTCCTGGGCTCAAACAATCCTCCCACTTCGGCCTCCTGAGTAGCTGGGACTATAGGCATGTGCCACCATGCCTTCCTAATTATTTATTTATTTATTTATTTTGGTAGAGATGACGGCTTACTATTTTGCCCAGGCTGGCCTCAAGTGATCCTCCTGCCTTGGCCTCCCAAAGTGCTGGGATTATAGGCATGAGCCACTGCAGTTGGCTTATATGTGTTTTACCATGGTAAAATATATATAGCATAACAATTTCCACCTCAGAAATTTTTAAGTGTACACTTCAGTAGTATTAAGCACATTTACATTCTTGTGCAACCATTACGACTACACATCTTCAGAACATTTTTATCATTTTGAACTCCATACTCATTAAGCAATAACTCCCCACTGTTTCCTCTCCTCAGTAATATATAATAACAAGTATTTTTCTTTGTCTTTATGAATTTGACTACTCCAAATATGTCATATAAGTGGAATCGTGCAATATTTGTCCTTTTTTTTAAATTTGAGACAGGGTCTCCTGTTGCCCAGGCTGGAGGTCAGTGGCATGATCTTGGCTTACTACAGCCTCGAACTCCTGAGCTCAGGTGATTCTGCCACCTCAGCCTTGCGAGTAGCTGGTTACTACAGGCACGTGCCAGCACACCCCACTAATTTGTTGTATTTTTAGTAGAGACGAGGTTTTGCCACGTTTCTCAGGCTGGTCTCCAACCTTGGGCTGAAGCCATCCACCCACCTTTGTCTCCCAAAGTGGTGGGATTATAGGCATGAACCACTGTGCTTGGCCAATATTTGTCCTTTTATGTCTGGCTTATTTCACTTAACGTAATGTCTTCGAGGTTCATCCATGTCGCCACATGTATCAGAATTTTCTTCCTTTCTAAGGTTGAATAATATTCCATTGTATGTATGCACCACATTTTGTTCATCTATTAATTCACTGATACACATTTTGGTTGTTTCCACCTTTTGGCTATTGTGAATAACAACACTGCTATGAAGATGGGTTTGCAAATACCTGTTTGAGAGCCTTGTGTTTTTGTCTTAAAAAATTAGCTGCTATCTACAGTTTGTTTAGGGTTAAAACAGTATTTACTTTTAATAGGTTACTGTTTTCATCCTTGAGTATTGTACCAGCATGAGAGAAAGGAAGATCTTTTCAAACGTTTCACTAGAAAAAGTGGACATGACCTGGCAGCCTGAAGCATAGCATCTGTAACTTAATGCTAGTTAAAAAAAAAATCTTCTAATGGAAAAAAATCTTTCTTAGATTATTATGCTGCCAAACTTTAGAAAGTGTTGGTTGGTTTGAGTTTCTAAATCCTCACTAATTTCTTGACTTTACTTTCTGGTGTTTCAGGAGACAGCCAGAGTTCCTGTGCCCAGGTATAAGTGCCCAGCAGTTCTTGCTTTGGGCCTGTCTGCAACCTTTGTTAGAAAGTAAGAACTCTGCTTGTTTTATTTAACCATACTTTGCAGAGAGGAGAATTGAGGTGGCAGTGATGGAAGGAAACAATTACAGTGACTTTTGTACGTGGTTAGAAGAGTGAAGCTGAAACTTAGGAAAGTGCTAATTTTGAGTGAAAGCCCGGCAGGGAAGTGGAAGTGAGAAAGCTGCATCTACCAGTTCTCCCTGTGGAGTATTTTCTTTAGGCTACAAAGCTAACGTGATGGAGAGCTCCCTGTGAATTTAGGGATTTCTGTACATTTTTAAACTGGAGTAACTAGTTCCTTTTCTTTTTGGTACAATGTATTCATTTCACTATTTTAAAGGGAGTTAAAGTTTTGGGCATTCACTTCTGGCTTGCTATTGTTGATATGGAGAGAAACTGTCGAGATAGTTTCTTGCCCATGAAAATCCACGCCAATCGAATACACTGTAAAGTAGGCCATGAGAATCACAGAAATCATGGGAAAAACATCTTAGAAATAAAAAGCTGTCTAGCTGAGTGCAGTGGCTCATGCCTGTAATCACAGCTCTTTGGGAGGCTGAGGCAGGAGGATGGCTTCAGCCCAGGAGATCAAGACCAACCTGGGAAACATGGTGAGACTCTGTCTCTACAGAAAAATAAGAAATTAGCCAGGTGTGGTGGTCCATGCCTGTAGTCCCAGCTACTTGGGAGGCTGAAGTGGAAGGATATTTTGAGCCCCCAAATTCAAGGTGGCTGTGCCTGTATTAGGGTTCTCTAGAGGGACAGAACTAATGGAATAGATACATATATAAAGGGGAGTTTATTAATTATTAACTCGCACGATCACAAGTTCTCACAATAGGCTATCTGCAGGCTGAGGAGCAAAGAGAGCCAGTTCAATTTCCCAAACTGAAGAACTTGGAGTCCGATGTTTGAGGGCAGGAAGCATCCAGGACGGGAGAAAGATGTAGGCTGGGAGGTTAGGCCGGTCTCTCTTTTCACATTTTTCTGCCTGCTTATATTCTAGCTGTGCTGACAACTGATTAGATTTTGCCCAACCAGATTGAGGGTGGGTCTGCCTTTCCCAGCCTACTGACTCAAATGTTAATCTCCTTTGGCAACACCCTCCTAGACACACCCAGGATCAATACTTTGTATCCTTCAATCCAATCAAGTTGACATTCAGTATTAACTATCACAGTGCCACTGCACCCTGCACTCTGGGCAAGCTATTGAGACCCTTCCTGTTTCAAAAAAAGAAAAGTGGCAACGGGACACAGCTGGACAGAGAATGACTTTGACGAGCTGACAGAAGCAGGCTTCAGAAGGTCGGTAATAACAATCTTCTCTGAGCTAAAGGAGCATGTTCTAACGCATCGCAAGGAAGCTAACACCTTGAGAAAAGGTTAGATGAATGGCTAACTAGAATAAATAACCTGATGGAACTGAAAACCATGGCATGAAAACTTTGTGATGCATGCACAAGCTTCAATAGCTGATTCGATCAAGTGGAAGAAAGGATGTCAGTGATTGAAGATCAAATTAATGAAATAAAGTGAGAAGACAAGACTAGAGAAAAAAGAGTAAAAAGAAACGAACAAAGCCTCCAATAAATATGGGACTATGTGAAAAGACCAAATCTACCTTTGACTGGTGTACCTGAAAGTGACGGGGAGAATGGAACCAAGTTGGAAAACACTCGTCAGGATATTATCCAGGGGAAATTCCCCAACCTAGCAAGGCAGGCCCACATTCAAATTCAGGAAATACAGAGAACACCTCAAAGATACTCCCCGAGAAGAGCAACTGCAAGACACATAACTGTCAGATTCACCAAGGTTGAAATGAAGGAAAAAGTGTTAAGGGAAGCCAGAGAGAAAGGTCGGGTAACCCACAAAGGGAAGCCCATCAGACTAACAGTGGATCTCTCGGCAGAACCCCTGCAAGCCAGAAGAGAGTGGGGGCCAATAGTCAACATTCTTAAAGAAAAGTTTCAGCCCAGAATTTCCTATCCAGCCAAACTAATTTTCGTAAGCGAAGGAGAAATAAAATCCTTTACAGACAAGCAAATGCTGAGAGATTTTGTCACTGCCAGGCCTGCCTTACAAGAACTACTGAAGGAAGCACTAAATATGGAAAGGAAAAACCGGTACCAGCACTACAAAAACATGCCAAATGGTAAAGGCCATCGACGCTGTGAAGAAACTGGATCAATTAATGGGCAAAATAACTAGCTAACATCATAATGACAGGATCAAATTCACACAAAACAATATTAACCTTAAATGTAAATGGGCTAAATGCCCCAATTAAAAGACACAGACAGGCAAATTGGATAAAGAGTCAAGACCCATTAGCGCGCTGTATTCAGGAGACCCATCTCATGTACAGAGACACACATAGGCTCAAAATAAAGGGATGGAGGAAGATCTACCAAGCCAATGAAAAAAGCGGGGGTTTCAATCCTAGTCTCTGATTAAACAGACTTTAAACCAACAAACATCAAAAGAGACAAAGAAGGCAATTATGTAATGGTAAAGGGATCAATTCAACAAGAAGAGCTAACTATCCTAAATATATATGCAAAGCAAGTCCTTAGGGACCTACAAAGAGACTTAGACTCTCACACAATAATAATGGGAGACTTTAACACACCACTGTAAATATTACACAGATCAATGAGACAGAAGGTTAACAAGGATATCCAGAACTTGAACTCAGCTCTGCACCCAGCCAACCTAATAGACATCTGCAGAACTCTCTACCCCAAATCAACAGAATATACATTCTTCTCAGCACCACATCGCACTTATTCTAAAATTGACCACGTAATTGGAAGTAAAGCACTCCTCAGCAAATGTAAAAGAACAGAAATCACAACAAAGTGTGTCTCAGACCACAGTGCAATCAAATTAAAACTCAGGGTTAAGAAACTCACTCAAAACCACACAACTACATGGAAACAGAACAACTTGATCCTGAATGACTACTGGACAATTAATGAAATAAAGGCAGAAATAAAGATGTTCTTTGAAACCAATGAGAACAATGACACAATGTACTGGAATCTCTGGGACACATTTAAAGCAGTATGTAGAGGGAAATTTGTAGCACTAAATGCCCACAAGAGAAAGCAGAAAAGATCTAAAATTGACACCCTAACATCACCATTAAAAGAACTAGAGAAGCAAGAGCAAACAAATTCAAAAGCTAGCAGAAGCCAAGAAATAACTAAGATCAGAGCAGAACTGAAGGAGATAGAGACACAAAAAACCCTTCAAAAAACCAATGAATCCAGGAGCTGGTTTTTTGAAAGGATCAACAAAATAGATAGACTGCTAGCAAGACTAATAAAGAAAAGAGAGAAGAAACAAATAGATGCAATAAAAAATGACAAAGGGGATATCACCACCGATCCCACAGGAATACAAACTACCATCAGAGAATACTATAAACACCTGTATGCAAATAAACTAGAAAATCTAGAAGAAATGGATAAATTCCTGGACAAATACACCCTCCCAAGACTAAACCAGGAAGAAGCTGAATCTCTGAATAGACCAATAATAGGTTCTGAAATTGAGGCAATAATTAATAGCCTACCAACCAAAAAAAGTCCAGGACCAGACGGATTCACAGCCAAATTCTACCAGAGGTATAACAAAGAGGAGCTGGTACCATTCTTTCTGAAACTATTCCAATCCATAGTAAAAGAGGGAATCCTCCCTAACTCATTTTATGAGGCCAGCATCAGCCTGATACTAAAGTCTGGCAGAGACACAACAAAAAAAGAGAATTTTAGACCAATATCCCTGATGAACATTGATGCGAAAATCCTCAATAAAGTACTGGCAAATCAAATCCAGCAGCACATCAAAAAGCTTATCCACCATGATCAAGTGGGCTTCATCCCTGGGATGGAAGGCTGGTTCAGCATACACAAATCAATAAAGACAATCCATCACATAAACAGAACCAATGACAAAAGCCACATGATTATCTCAATAGATGCAGAAAAGGGCTTTGACAAAATTCAACAGCCCTTCATGCTAAAAACTCTCAATAAACTAGGTATTGATGGGATGTATCTCAAAATAAGAGCTATTTATGACAAACCCACAGCCAATATCATACTGAATGGGCAAAAACTGGAAGCATTCCCTTTGAAAACTGGCACAAGACAAGGATGCCCTCTCTCTCCGCTCCTATTCAACATAGTGTTGGAAGTTCTGGCCAGGGCAATCAGTTAAGAGAAAGAAATAAAGCGTATTCAATTAGGAAAAGAGGAAGTCAAATTGTCCCTGTTTGCAGATGACATGATTGTATATTTAGAAAACCCCATCATCTCAGCCCAAAATCTCCTTAAGCTGATAAGCAACTTCAGCAAAGTCTCAGGATACAAAATCAATGTGCAAAAAATCACAAGCATTCCTATACACCAATAACAGACAAACAGAGAGCCAAATCATGAGTGGACTCCCATTCACAGTTGCTACAAAGAGAATAAAATACCTAGGAATCATACTTACAAGGGATGTGAAGGACCTCTACAAGGAGAACTACAAACCACTGCTCGATGAAATAAAAGAGGACACAAACAAATGGAAAAACATTCCATGCTCATGGATAGGAAGAATCAATATTGTGAAAATGGTCATAGTACCCAACGTAATTTATAGATTCAATGCCATCCCCATCAAGCCACCAATGACTTTCTTCATAGTATTGGAAAATCTACTTTGAAGTTCACATGGAACCACAAAAGAGCCTGCATTGCCAAGACAATCCTAAGCCAAAAGAACGAAGCTGGAGGCATCACACTACCTGACTTCAAACTATACTACAAGGCTACAGTAACCAAAACAGCATGGTACTGGTACTAAAACAGATATATAGACCAACGGAACAGAACAGATGCCTCAGAAAAAACACCACACATCTACAACCATCTGATCTTCAACAAACCTGACAAAAAAAGAAATGGGGAAAGGATTTCATATTTAATAAATGGTGCTGGGAAAACTGGCTGCCCATATGTAGAAAGCTAAAACTGGGTCCCTTCCTTATACCTTATACAAAAATTAATTCAAGATGGATTAAAGACTTAAATGTTAGACCTAAAACCATAAAAACCCTAGAAGAAAACCTAGGCAATACCAGTCAGGACATAGTCATGGGCAAGGACTTCATGACTAAAACACCAAAAGCAATGGCAACAAAAGCCAAAATAGACAAATGGGATCTAATTAAACTAAAGAGCTTCTGCACAGCAAAGGAAACTACCATCAGAGTGAACAGGCAACCTACAGAATGGGAGAAAATTTTTGCAATCTACCCATCTGACAAAGGGCTAATGTCCAGAATCTACAAAGAACTTAAACAAATTTACAAGAAAAAAACAACCCCATTGAAAAGTGGGCAAAGGATATGAACAGACACTTCTGTAAAGAAGACATTTATGCAGCCAACAGACACATGAAAAAATGCTCATCATCACTAGTCATCAGAGAAATGCAAATCAAAACTATAATGTGATACCATCTCATACCAGTTAGAATGGCAATCATTAAAAAGTCAGGAAACAACAGATGCTGGAGAGGATTTGGAGAAATAGGAATGCTTTTACACAGTTGGTGGGAGTGTAAATTAGTTTAACCTTTGTGGAAGACATTGTGGCGATTCCTCAGGGATCTAGAACTAGAAATACCATTTGACCCAGCAATCCCATTAAACCCAAAGGATTATAAATCTTGCTACTATAAAGACAAATGAACACGTATGTTTATTGCAGCACTATTCACAATCGCAAAGATTTGGAACCAACCCAAATGTCCATCAATGATAGACTGGATTAAGAAAATGTCACACATATATACCATGGAGTACTATGCAGCCATAAAAAGGATGCGTTCATGCCCTTTGCAGGGACATGGGTGAAGCTGAAAACCATCATTCTGAGCAAACTATCACAAGGACAGAAAACCAAACACCACATGTTCTCACTCATAGGTGGGAATTGGGCAATGAGAACACTTGGACACAGGGTGGGGAACATTACACACTGGGCCTGTTGAGGGTTGGGGGCTGGGGGAATGATAGCATTAGGAGAAATACCTAATGTAAATGACAAGTTGATGAGCAAACAACCATGGCACATGTATACCTATGTAACAAACCTGCACATTGTGCACATATACCCTAGAACTTAAAGTATAATAAAACAAAACAAAAAAACCCACAAAAATTAAAAAAAAAAAAAGAAAAGTGACCTAAAAAGCAAACTGTTGCTAAATGATGGAAATAAGATGAAAAGCATACTATTTTCTGGCATTAATTTATTTATTCTTTGTAGTTTTATCTCCATAGTAAAGGCTTATTGTAACCAAAAGATGGTCCGGCTGCTCTCCACTTGTAGAAAAAAAAGCCAAAATGACAAGAGTGAGGGGTGATAAAAAGAGTGAATTTTATTATCTGTTGCCAGAAGTGGGGAAGAGGCCAGAATCCTTTCTGAAAATTGCCACCTTTCCAATTTCTGAAGAGAGGGCAGGGGTTTTAAGAAGGGGACTTGGAATATGGGGGAGGAAAGGAGGGGCTAGGAGGTGCCAGGTGGCGTGACTCACTCCAATGGCTTATCTTGAATTCTTGTTCCATCTGGTGAAGGGGCCGGCTCCATCGTGGACCTAACTAGGTTACAGATTAATTGCTGTCAATCTTGCTGTTAATTTCTAGCTGGGAGTGAACTCCGCCCTCGAAGTATCTTCAGCTGGGGAGAGAGTTCTGGCGGTGCCTAGGTTGTGTCAGAATTCGGCCCTTGAAGCTTCTAAGGAAATATATGACCAGCTAAGTGGGCATGGTGTGAGTGTAAGAAACATCCAGGTAAATAAATGTGCATATGGCGTGAGAGCATAAGGTGGGTTGAAAGGGAAGGGAGTGGAGTTTTAAAGCACATTCCAAGGCTGTATTTCCGGACAAAAGAAAACACATCCATAGTTTGTCTCAAAGCTATGTTTTGAGACTGGGGAAAAGGAGGAAAGAAAAAAAGTTTTAAAATGCAATTTGAAGCTAAGCTGCTCGGTTACATTAGGTGTACCTGTTATTAAGCGAGTGAGTGTCCAAGTTAACAGCTCATACATTGCATAAGTGATAAAGTCTCTAAGGTTGAATAGGAAAAACTTTTAAAGAAAAAAGGTAGCAGCAATATTTGCATGTAAGAATCAGAAAATGTACGTACTTACAGCTGTTAAGTGTGACTACAACTGAGATGTTACTGGAAAGGGGTCCTGATCCAGACCCCAAGAGAGGGTTCTTGGACCTTAATCAAGAAAGAATTTGGGGTGAATTCATAGAGTAAATCAAAAGCAATTTTATTAGAGAAATAAAGAAGCAAAAGAATGTCTACTCCATAAGCAGAGCAGTGGAATGGTCTGTTCGACTGAGTAGTAATTTCTTGATTATATACTAAACGAGGGGTAGATTATTCATGAGTGTTCCAAGAAAGGGGCAGCTTAGGGCTTCTCACACTTTTAGATCATATAGGGTAACTTCTGGACATTGCCATGGCATTTGTAAACTGTCACAGTACTGATGAGTTTTTTTTTTTTTTTTTTTAGCATGCTAATACCTTATAATTAGTATATAATGAGTAGGGAGGATGACCAGAGTTCACTTTCATCTTGGTTTTGGTGGGTTTTGGCTGGCTTGTTTACCAGATCTTGTTTTATCCGCAGGGTCTTTATGACCTGTACCTTGTGATATCAACCCTGCCAACCTCCTGTCTCATCCTGAGACTAAGAATGCCTAAACTCCCGGGAACGCAGCTCAGTAGGTCTCACCTTGTTTCATCCAGCCCCTATTCAAGATGGAGTTACTCTGGTTCAAACGCCTCTGACAGAGGTAATATTCATTTTTAAAAGCCATGCTTTTCTTTTTTGCCTTTCCATGTATTTTTCTTCTACATCCTGAGGGATTCATATGGCTGGGGATAGAGGTAAAGTTAAAGGATTGTTACAGTGGAAATATAAAGAGAAAGAAAGAATTTGTGTTCAGTTTCTGGTATTTCAAACAGGATTTTGCATTAAGGCAATAAGCTTGCAAGACAGACATTATTGAGGATGGACCATTTTTCTCAGTTTCCTCAAATTTTATACATATCAAGAACCAAACAGGGAGGATTTTGATCAGTATCGTTTCTTCCACAAAGATTAAAAAAAAATACCCCCTTTGATATTGTGAAATATATCTGTGGTCTCTGTCTGATATCCTGAGATACAACTCCTAAAATCCTTGAAATCCCCAGAGTAGTAGGTGTGTTTATGTATGCCGATGAGTTGACTGATGGCTGGAGGCTCCTGGGTGACCTCAGGATGGGGACTGATTGCCATGGGAACCAACTATGTGATGAGAGGTTGGAACTTTCAGTCATACCTACCAGTCAAACCTGAAGAGGGGATTGTGGGAACCCTGATATATAGCTGATAGGTTAGAAGCACAGGTAAAACAACATGAGGCTTACAAGTGTCATCTGAAGTCAGGGGCAGTCTTGTGAGGGCTGAGCCCTCAACCTGTGGGATTCGATGCTATCTCCAGGTAGACAGCATCACAATCTAATTGAATTAGAGGACACCCAGGTGGTGTCCACTGCAGAACTGATTGGTCGGTTGGTGTTGGGGGAACAATCCCCACACATTTGGTCATAGAAGCATTCTGTGTTGTGAAAGTAGAGAGTTGTGGGAGAAAAAACAGTTTGCTTTTCTGCACATCCTCATACACGAAGAATAGAAGAAATGAAATCCTCTTGTCCTGAAAAATTGTAGGATAAGGAAAGAAGAAAGGCAGAGTAGATGGGGGTGAGAGACATCCCAATCCCTCCTCTGTGGGCTAAAAGATTTGAGGATCTGCTGAGGGAAAGGCCAAAGGCCAGGAGCGAGCCCTATCCTCAATTGGCATTTTGGTGTTGGGGCTAGGGGATTATTTGTAAATGTCTCCTGATTTGTGGTGGTGGCCACATCAAATTAAATGGTTGGCTGAGTGGTTTTAGACACAGAAGGGGTGCCTAAGCTTAGCATCCCCCCCCCCACTTTGGTTAACGGGTAGCATAGACACAATCCAGGAAGGACATGAAATTTAACCGAGGCAGTCACTCTAGGCTGTGCCAGTGGAAAGGGTGTCTTTGCAGTGTAGCTGAAGGATCATACAGGCCATGCAGCAGACTTCCAGTAGCCAAGAAAAGCAGTGAGCACTGCCAGGCCTGGATCAGCCAAAGAGACCATTAATGGAAAAACCAAATTATGTACAATGTTTTAAAGAAGTTTTTGCTGAGTCAGTATGAATGATCATGGCTCGGGGAATAGTCTCAAGAGGTCCTGAGGTGCTTGGGTTACAGCTTGGTTTTATACATTTTAGGGAGACATGAGTTACAGGCAAAGACATAAGTCGATACATGGAAGGTACACATTTGGCCCCAAATGGGAGGACATCTCCAAGTATGGAATATTTCCATGCAGTGGCATACAAGTCATAGGTGGGTTTTGGATATTCTTTAGTTAATTGGTTTACAGAGTTAAACTATCATCTGGAAACATGAAGTCAGTAGTAAGGTGTGCTTGATTTAAGAGGTTTATGGGAGCAAAGGCCCTTGTTATGTAGATAAAGCCTCATAGGTATCAGCCCTCAGCGAGAATAGATGGTAAATGTCACTTTTCAGATCTTGAAAGGTGTCAGAGTCTTAAGTAATCTCTTATATATTCAGGAAAGGCCTAAAAACGGAAGCCCTGGCTGTATTAATGGAGATTCTCTACAGGTACAAATTTTCCCTACAAAAGATAACTTTGCAGGCCCATTTCAAAATACATCAGTAAAATGTATTTTGGGGTAAAGTATTTTGATTTGCTTCAGAGTGTGCTGTCAGGTGATGCTATTTTGGAGTCAGGTTGAAAAGTAAGCCGTGTTATACTGGGTTAATAAAAAAACCCATTTACTGGCCAGGTGCAGTGAATCACACCTGTAATCCCAGCACTTTGGGAGGCCAAGGCAGGCGAATCACTTGAGGTCAGGAGTTTAAGACCAGCCTGGCCAACATGGTGAAACCCCGTCTCTACTAAAAATACAAAAATTTGCCGGGCGTGGTGACGCATGCTTGTAATCCCAGCTACTCAGGAGGCTGAGGCAGGAGAATCGCTTGAACCCGTGAGGTACAGGTTGCAGTGAGCTGAGATTGTGCCATTGTACTCCAGCCTGTGTGACAAGAGCAAAACACCATCTCAAAACAAACAACAACAGCAACAAAAACCATTTACCAAGACGTTATGGTTTGTAGGGTGTGACTTCATCCTTACCTTGCATGGCCTTAGGTCTTGTTTATAATTTGGTAGTTTATTGCCATAAAGAGTCTGTTATGTCAGCCTTTTGAGCGCTATTTTAACCTTAATGCTGGTCAATTGTGCATAAACTCCAAAAGGGAAAGGGTATAACGAGGTACTTCCGACCTCCTTTCTTGTCATGGCTGGAAATTCAGTTTTTCAGGTTTCTTGGGGTCTCCTTGGCCAAGAGGAGATCCATGTAGTAGGTTGGGGGCTTAGGATTTTATTTGTTGGTTTTTAAGACCAAATCACAAATTACACCAAGCACTGACTGGTACTGTAACTGGCCAAGGAAGAAGGGACCAGGCTGACTAGGGGGGTTGATGTAGAGGTCAGAGAAGCCAGAGGGCACCACCCAATCCCAGATCCAAGATCCCCTTCTCCACTGCCCCTCACACAACTACATGCCATCTTAGGGCAGGGGTGGTGGGTGGGAGGAGCTTGGAAAGCCTGGGCATGGTCCTAGCCTGGTAAGTCCCAGAAGTCTGGCTGTATCTGTCTCCTGCATGATGCAAGCCAGGGGCTCTGCCTTGCAGCCTTCAAAAGAGATAAGTCAATTCAAGAGAGTTCAGAGTATGGTCTCAGACAGAAAATTACTAGATTGAATTAAAGGGTAAATGTTTTCCCTCTGCTACTAACTGGTGGATACTTGTGCAAATGATCAGAAGAGTTCTACTAAAAAGGTACATTTTCTCTGCCTGTCTGACTGAAGAGTGAGAAATTTACATCCATGCAAGGGCACAGCAAGAAGGCAGCCATCTGCAAGCTAGGAAGAGGCCCCCTCACTGGTTCCTGGCCATGCCAGCATCCTGATCTTGGACCTCCAGCTTCCAGAACTGTGAGAGACAAATGTCTGTTATCTAAGGGACCCAATCTATGGTATTTTGTTGTAACAGCCTGAACTAAGACCCATTTCTTACTCACGAATTTGTCTAAATCTTTGAAAAAATTCACTGGCATGATCACTTAAAGGTAATAGGTTTCCTTAGTTTATTGCCCACATTGTTAAGTAGAAATTTCTTTGTAATAAATTCACCTCTCTCAAACATGTTACCCTTTGTTACTTTATCAGACAAAAGAAACAAGGAAAAATATGTTTTTATTTTTATGATGCATACTTCTCTTTAAAATGAGATGGTTTGAAAGTAACCTGGCAAATGAAATAGATGATTTACAAAAAGGCAGAAGTCAATGTTCTTTCTACCTCAGTAAAGAAATGATGTTTTCTGAAAATGGCTGCGTACTCTCTCTCACTGAAATCCAAAATCCTCTCTCAAGAGTTGAAGTTTGGGGATTGTTGTATCCGTCAATATTTCCTAGCAAGGTTTTTATGCTTTTCTGAGGCATGAGTAGGTGCAGTTCCTAATGTAGTTCTTCTGGTCCTTCCTTTTCATTGGGGGAATTAAGGTAGTAAGCTCCTTGTCATTCAAGTCTGCCGGATGACTAATAGCTTTTAATTGAGTGGTTGTATATTCAGTATACTTCATGGAGAAGAATGAACTCGAAAACCAAAATGTAGGCATTGGCAGACATTTCTCCATGAGTCTCTTGGCTTTCTGCACATCTTGTGAGCAGAAGCACTGAATGACTTTGTTTTGGGCTATCTTTTCAATGATGTTTTATGGCAAACATCCTTGGAAGATAGAGATAGTATTTCCTTCCAGAACAAAGGCAGCCATGCTTACTGTTCATTGTAAAATATTGGGTTCCTGTAACACCCTACTGAGTGTGCAGGTAGCACTTGGCTCTCATTGCTTTGCTTTTTGGTAACTGGGGCTTGGAACTGACCTAAGAAAATGTGAATACTCTGGCAACTACTATTGCTGTGAGTAACCCAGTGTTTTGATTCCGGCCCGGGAGTTTTATGTTTTCTGTTAGGATCCACAAGCTGTGGCAAGCTGAGAGTGAAAGAAGAATAGATTGTCAGAGAAAGTTGGCTTGCAGTTATTGAAAAAGGAAGAAATTGATCCTTAGCAAACAACAGCCAGGTATCTGCCACCATGGCTTACTTTCATATATATTCTCCTTTGCTCCTACTGATTTCCTTGGGTAGCATGCTCTCCTTGTTCAAGCCCTGGTCTTCACTCAAGGCCCAGGAAATCTCTCCAGCCCATGAATGGTGTGGAACCTCTTGTTATCTCATTTTTAAAAAAATGCATTGCATAAAGTAGGCAATAAATATTTGTTGATTTTGACTGCATTAGGGCTTCTCTGTCCTCTGGCCATGAGCACTTATAAGACAGGAAGTATGATATCTGGAACTTATTAAAGGGTTTAGCAAATATTAAAATATAATATAAAAAGTCACATTACCTAGAAAAATATATGTTAATATAAACAATGTTTTTAAATACTCATGACTGATTTCACACTGATATTGTGGGGGAAAAAATCACTCTCAGTAATATAAAACAGGTATAAAAACCCTTCTTTAGGTAAGGACGTGCTATCTTCTATTCTTTTCTGGACTTTGGGATCATGCAATAACTTTTTTCTGCATCTAAGAACTTAAAGAATCAATGTGAGAAGAGATGCATACTGAGAAATACTTTTACCTCAAATATTTCATTAGAATGATGGTACGTTTGATAAAAAATTGATAAGGAGAATGGTCAGAGGTTATGGTTTCAATATCTAGAGCTAATTTAACTACATGTTTGCCTCAAGCTGAACTTACTTTCTTTGCAAAAAGAAACTAGGCATGTTCCTGAGTACACAGTGTCATAGGACCAGTGCTACGTGCTGAGATTCTCTCTACAGCTATTGACCTCATTTGAAAGCATTCCAAACCATCTCTCTTGAAATACAAGAAATTTAAACACTTCTTTTCCATATCCATTACCAAGATTCCTTCAAAACTCCATCTCTTCCTTTTATTCTCTGGGGTTACTTTATAGACCCCAAAACTTTTAAAGTTTAATCATTCCTTTTAAAGTAATTCTTTGGAAATGGCGTGCAATCCAGTGGGTACAAATCTTTACTCAAAGGAATTAAATCCAAGGCAGCTGGTTTTGCCATTGGCAGAGATGTGTACACTGGGAAAGGACTGGCAAATTTGTGGATCTCTGCGGTGAGAGCAGTTCCTAAGTTCTCATAAGCGTGATCAAGGGAAAAACATAAGCAAATATCCAATAAGATTTTTTTTATAAATGACTTTATTTTAATAAAGAAACCATGAGGGAAACATTTAAGAGTTTTAATAAACAGAAAAAGTATATCAAAGAATTTTGAACTTGAAGATAAGTGAAAAGATAAATAAAGAACTGCTATGAAACCTGTGGTTCCCAAAACATTGTTGGAATCACCAGAGGGAAATCCTTAAAAATGACTGAGGCCTGGTTCTCACTCCCATACACTACAATTTAGTTGGCATGGGGTGCCATCTGGGCACTGTGAGTTTCCCAGGTGTTTGTAGTGTGTGAGCAGTTTGGGAACCAACATGCCACAGAGTATTACCTCAACAAGATGCTTCATGCTCTGCGATGAGTTTTTAAGGACATTAATTACCTGTAGTGGGCTGAATGATGGCCCTCAGAAGGATATGTTCACGTTCCATGTTACCTTATTTGGGAAAAGTGCCTTTGCAGAGGAGATTAAATTAAGGATCTTGAGATGAGGAGATAATCCTGGGTTGTCTGGGTGGGTCCTATATCCAATGACAAACATCCTTTTTAGAGGGAGGCAGATGGAGATTAGAGAGAAAAGGAGAAGGCAATAAGAGCTGTAGGACCAAGAAGGCAGAGATTGGAATGATGGACCCACAAGCCGAGCAATCCCCGTAGCCACCCGAAGCTGGAAGAGGCAAGGAGTGGAATCTCTCCTAGAGGCTCTGGAGGGAGTACGGCCCTGCTGACACCTTGATTTGTGACTTCTGGCCTCCAGAACTGTGAAGGAATACATTTCCATTGTTTTAAGCCACCTAGTTTGTGGTGATTTCTTATGGAAGCCCTAGGAAACTAATATATTACCTAATGCTGCTACAGCAGCAGGGCAGATGCTGATATGAAGGACAAAGCTGATAAATGCTAGCTTCTTGCCACAAATGCATCACAGCCACAGGGGAGCTTGGTGATTCAGGCCCAAATGTCTCTGCTGTGGGCAGCTGGGCTGGGGCAGGCCATTGTTTGCTACAGTGAAACCTCCTCTGCCTGCTATATCCTTTATCTTTGTATCATTTAGGACTTCTTCAGTTGCTGTAAAAAAATTCCAACTCATCTCTCTCATACTGGTAAATAGATGATTGACAGAGAGGTCCTAATGGAATGCTCAGTAGCTTAATTAGGGGATCAAACAATGTAAGTGGGATCGCATTTCTTTCCATCTGTCAGCTCTACTCCCTTCACTTGGGCCCCATTCTCAGGCAAGCTCATTCCTTGGGGGACAGAGAGCAGCAGCTCCGGATCTTATGTCCTTGAAACTTTAACTGCTCCATCCCAGAAGTATCAGCAAACCTCTCCTGGTACTTGACTGGCAGTGACAGGGCTAATTGCGAATTCCTGAACCCATGGCTGTGGTCAGGGGAATATCATATATTGACTGACGTAGGCTAGTGTAAAAAGTGCCCATACTTAGATATGTGCTGAGATCTCTGAATGTTTGATTTTGTCTCAAAGCTAAATTTTTATGATTAGGGGTTTTGATTCATTGTAATTTATTCTTACAGATAGAATACTTGTATTTTAGTCTTGCTGGTTTTAATTAGTATTCAGAAACTGTCTTTTGGGCATTTTTCCTTTTTGTTGTGGAATTTTCCTTGGCCACAGGCCCTGCATGGAATGAAATCTGTCCCTGTGTGATGATTAGTTAGATGACAAGCACTGCGTAGTGCCTCAACAAGGCAGAATGGATGCATCTGAATGACCATATTGGGGACCACATGGTTTGGCTTCTAGGTACACATATGTGGGCATTTCCTGTAGAAGCTGCTTTTCCTGAATAATGAGCTATTTGAAACTGAAATATGCTTACCTCTTGTCATCACTGAGATGTTGACATAAGGGTGTCTTTTATTCCAAGTATTCCAAGTAGTTACATGGAAATAAACCCTCCCTTTCTTTTGAGTATTTGGCCTGAAAGTCCAGTTTAACAGCCCATTCCTAGACACTGGGGATATATAAGGTATTTCTTAAGTTGCTTTTTTTCCTCCTCCTGCTCTCCCCTTCCCTTTTAAGTTAAAGAAATTGAATTGCTTGCTCTATAGAGTTTTTCATAGTCTGGATATTGCTGATTATATTCCTGTGGTGCTGTTTAACATCCTTTGTATTTCCTGTAAATGGGTAATGAGTTCTAGAGTTTAATCAGATTCAGATTCAGATTTGATTTGGGGCTTGGGGGAGGTCTACTTCACAGGTGGTATTTTGTTCATCCTTTGGGAAACACCCACAGTCTTGTTGTCTCTCTCTCTTTAAACATTAGCTGTCTTTGATGATCAATGCCTATACCTATTAATTCATTAGTAATTGCAAAATGACATTCCAATTTAATCATAACCCTATATTTTTAATCTATTAAAGTAATGCATGCTTAGACTAATACATAGTCTAAAAAGTCAAATAGTGTAATAGAATATACCAAAAAGCAACATTCCTCTGACCCACCCCAATTATTTCCTATAACAAACAATTTAGTGAAAACAGTAGCATTATTTTACATCTTTACAAATCTTTTAAATGTCTAACTTAATAGAAGGCAGCTGGATTCTCATAGCTTCTCTGCATGTACCCTCTGGAAAACTCCCCTATGTATTAATGAGAATGAAAAACACATATAATATTCTGGTATTATTATAAAAATAGTTTTGATCATGTAAATCCCCAGAAGTGTCCTGGGGACTCTATACTTTAAGAACTGCTGCTCCGGAGAACACATTTTTCTCCTCTTGCTGGTGTAAGACTGGGTTAGTGGTCTGTCTGTGCAAGTTGGGGAAAGGATCTGGGAGCCGAAG
Source organism: Homo sapiens (assembly GCF_000001405.40). Lineage (NCBI taxonomy): Eukaryota > Metazoa > Chordata > Mammalia > Primates > Hominidae > Homo > Homo sapiens. The sequence goes on from NC_000005.10 coordinate 113,662,012, forward strand.
TGCTCCTTATGTAGAGGTTCACCCAGTTTTGTTTCAACCTTCCCCCCTCTTTGCTGTACCCTATCCCTTCACCTTGGTATCTGATGTATTCAATTCCCAAGATGTACTAGAGTTCTACAGCATGAATTGCCTTGTTTTTGTTTGCATGCTCTTTTACAAATTCTAAAATTCCAGCTTTTCCCACTCTGCTAAGTAGATGTAGTGATTTTGATTGATTGATCGATTGATTCTTGGTTCAGAAAGGGTCTCACTCTGTCACACAGGCTGGAGTGCAGTGGCATAAACAAGACTCTCTACAGCCTCAAACTCCTGGGCTCAAGCAATCCTTCCACCTCATCCTCCCGAGTAGCTGGGACCACAGGCATGTGCTACCATGACCAGCTAATTTTTGAATTTTTTGTAGAGATGGGGTTTCGCCATATTTCCTAGGCTGGTCTCAATCTCCCAGCCTCAAGCTATCCTCCCACGTCACCCTCCCAAAAGATATAGTGGTTTTAAAACATGTCTGAAAATACTTTGACTTTTCTTCCAATGAAAGGTGGGGGTCTGTGTTCTCTCTTCTTGAATATGGGCTGACCTCAGTGAGTGATTGACCAATAGAGTATAGCGAAACAATAATAAGTGGTGTCCAAAGCTAGATCAGAAAAGATGATGTGCTTTCTGACTGGTTCTCCTGGGACACTCATCTTCTGATACCCGAGGTGCTATGTAAGAAGTCCTAGGCTGCCATGCCCTGACAAAGGCCTAGACTACATAAAAAGATCACATGCAGGTGTTTCAGGAGACAGACCAAGCTGAGGTTCCGGCCAATAGCTAGCTAGCATCAACTGCCAGTTGTATGAGTAACAGAGTCTCCAGATAGTTTTAATACCCACAAGTTGTTGAATCACTCCAGTTTTTGAGTCTTCCTAGCTGAAACCACCAACATTGTGAAGTGACAAGATGTTCCTGCCATGTCCTTTTCAAATTCCTGACTTCCAGAATCTGTGAATATAAAAAATAGTTGTTTTAAGTTGCTACGCCCGATGGTAGTTTGTCACACAATCACAGATCGGCAGGGCAGTCAGTGGTCACTCATTCCTCTGTTCTGCATCTTCTAGAATGCTCTTGTCATTGCTGGTCCATTGTCTTCTGGTTTCTTGCCCTTTTGTCTTTTTAATTTGTTTAGCCCCTTTGTTCCTTTATTTTAGGGATTTTGACAGGTAGTAGAGAAAATACATGCTCACTTTACAGTGTTTCAAAGGGCTGCTTTTCTAAGTGTCTTATATCCCACCGAAGTACATTTGAAGATTGTCTTCATTTTTAATGTAGCATGGTTTTAAATTGGCATCTCTGTGAGTGGGTATGCCTATGTACACGTGAAACATATTTATTTGACCTTTCTGAGGAGAAGTTAGAAGAATGGGCTCATGAAAACAACAGTGTGGGTATTGTCAGCATTGCCCATGGTAGTCCTCTAAAGCTGAGGTGCTCTAGATAAAAACACATGGTTTTCCACACCCTTGGTACTGGGAATGGCGTATTTTTGAGTTATTGTAGAAACAGTTATAGTGCTCAAAATCTCCAACAGGAAGTAATCACTCAATAATGTTAAGTAATTTTGCTTTCTCCATGGATCCCCATACCTGTCAGATAACAAAGGATCAAATCAAATCCAGTAGGGTTTGGTGAGCTCTTTCAGAAGGGTGATGTGTGAGAACATCTTCTAAGCAGTGCTTGAAGGAGATTAGTCTGGAACTGTCTGCTGCCCATCCAAATGAGATTAGGCTGATAGGGCTAATGCATTCTGTTTGATCATATTTCTTTTTTGAAGTTTAGGAAGAGGTAACACCCAAATGGACCCCATACACAGAAGTATTTAACTTGTTCTAGCCAGTATCCAAGGCACTTCTTTGGCTAAAAATTCCATCAAGATTTTGCTTTTCTCTAGAACCATTGAGTATACTACTAAGGAACTAGCACTTCTGTATTAAACGAATAATAATGAGATCCTTTGGAAGAAGCTGCAGGCTGCTGCACATTCCGTGAGACAGGCGAAAAACTGGTGTTCTCTCAAAAGCGCCACCTTCTGGCTGGAGGCCAGCCAACTCAGGACATCACAACAACTCATGACAGAACAAGCCTGCTCCAAGGAAGGAGAAAACAACAGCTAATTTCACTGCCTACAACATCCTGGCTAACCAGTGATCCTGAGTCTGTCCATGTGACAACTTCACTGCTAGCATAATCAGCATTCAAGAAAGCCAGCACTCTAAACATATCTACAACCAAGGACTCTTACAGAGTCTATTTAACTCCCCTGCCACCTCCACCAGAGCAGATGCTGGTATCCACAGCAGGGAGAACTGAAGACAGATCACATCACGGGACTTTTTGGGGACACTTCCCAGCACCAGCGTGGAGCCTTGTAGCCCCACTGGGTGGCTAGACTCAGAAGAGCAATAACAATCACTGCAGTCCAGCTTCCAGGAAGCCCCATCCGTAGGGGAAGGAGGAGTTCATCACATCAAGGGATCACCCTGTGGGACAAAAGAATCTGAACAGCAGCCTATGAGTTCCATATTTTTCCACTGAAATAGTCCACCCAAATAAGAAGGAATCATAAGAGTAATTCTGGTGGTATGACAAAATGAGGTTCTATAGCACTCCAAAAAGACTCCCCAGCAATGGATCCAAACCAAGGAGAAACTCTGAATTGCCAAATAAAAAAATTTAGAAGCTTGATTATTAAGCTACTCAAGGAGATACCAGAGAAAGGTGACAACCAACTTAAATAAATTAAAAAAAAAATCCAGGATATGGATGAAAAATGCTCCAGAGAAATAAATATCATAATGAAAAAAAATCACAACTTCTGGAAATGAAAGACACCCATAGAAAAATACAAAATGCCCTGAAAAGTTTCAACAATAGAATAAAACAAGTAGAAGAAAGAACTTCAGACCTCAAAGACAAGGCCTTTGACTTAACCCAATCAGATAAAGACAAAGAGAAAAGAATAATAAAAAAATGAACAAAGCCTCCAAGAAATTTGAGATTATGTTAAATGACCAAACCTAAGAATAATTGGTGTTCCTGAAGAAGAAGAGATATCTAAAAGTTTGGAAAACATATTTGAGGGAATAAGTAAGGAAAACTTCCCCAGCCTAGAGAGCTAGACATCCAAATATAAGATGCTCAAAGAACACCTGGGAAATTTATTGCAAAAAATCATCACCCAGGCATATAGTCATCAGGTTATCTAAAGTCAAGACAAAGAAAAGAATCTTAAGAGCTGCGAGGCAAAAGCATCAAGTAACCTATAAAGGAAAACCTATCAGATTAACAGCAGATTTCTCAGCAGAAACGCTATAATACAGAAGGGTTTGGGGTCCTATCTTTAGCCTCAAACAAAATAATTGCCAGCCAAAAATTTTGTATCCAGGAGAACTAAGCTTCATAAATGAAGGAGACATAAATCCTTTTTCAGATAAACAAATGCTGAGAGAATTTGGCACTACCAAACCCGCACTACAAGAAATGCTAAAAGGATTTCAATTTTGGAAACAAGACCTCGAAATACACCAAAATAGAACCTCCTTAAAGTATAAATCTCGCAGGGCCTAAAAAACAATAACACAATGAAAAAAAACCAAGGTATTCAGGCAACAACTAGCACAATGGATAAAGTAGTACCTCACATCTCCATACTAACATTGAATGTAAATGGCCTAAATGTTCCACTTAAAAGATACAGAATGGCAGAATGGATAAAAATCCATCAACCAGTATCTGCTGTCTTCAAGAGACTCACTTAATGCATATGGATTCACATAAACTTAAGGTAAAGGGGTAGAAAAATATATTCCAAGCAAATGGAAACCAAAAGAAAGTAGGAATAGTTATTCTTATATCAGACAAAACAGACTTTAAAGCAACAGTAATTAAAAAACACAAAGAGGGACATTATGTAATGATAAAAGGACTAACCCAACAGGAAAATATGACAATCCTAAATATTATGTTTGCACCTAACATGGGTGCTCCCAAATTTATAAAACAATTATTACTAGACATAAGAAATGAGACAGACAGCAATACAGTAATAACGGGGGACTTCTCATGCCTGTAATCCCAGCATTTTGGGAGGTGGAGGCGTGCAGATAACCTGAGGTTAGGAGTTCGAGGCCAGCCTGGCTAACATGGTGAAACCCCATTTCTACTAGAAATACAAAAAATTAGCCAGGTGTGGTAGTGCGTGCCTGTAATCCCAGCTACTCAGGAGGCTGAAAGCAGAAGAATCGCTTGAACCTGGGAGGCGGAGGTTGCAGTGAGCTGAGATCACACCACTGCACTCCAGCTTGGGCAACAAGAGTGAAACTCGGTCTCAAAAAAATAAATAAATAAAATAAAATAATGAGGAACTTCAATACTCCAGTAACAGCACTAGACAGGTCCTCAAAACAGAAAAGTCAACAAAGAAAGAGTGGACTTAAACTATACCCTAGAAGAAATGGACTTAACAAATATTTACAGAATATTATATCCAACAGCTGCAGAATATACATTCTTTTCATCAGCACATGGAACTCTTCGAGATAGACCATATGATATGCCACAAAACACGTCTCAATAAATTTAAGAAAACTGAAATTATATCAAGTACCCTTCCAGACCACAGTGGAATAAAACTGTGTGTTTTATTTCCTGTAAAAGGAACCCTCACGACTATACAAATACATGGAAATTAAATAATCTGCTCCTGAATGATCTTTGGGTCAACAATGAAATCGGGATGGAAATTTAAAAATTCTTTGAACTGAACGATAACACTGACACAACTGATCAAAACCTCTGGGATACTGCAAAGGCAGTGCTAAGAGGAAAGTTCATAGCCTTAAATGCCTACATCAAAAAGTCTGAAAGAGCACAAATAGACAATCTAAGGTCACACGTCAAGGAACTAGAGAAACAAGAACAAACCAAACCGAAACTCAGCAGAAGAAAATAAATAACAAAGATCAGAGCAGAACTCAATGAAATTGAAACAAACAAACAAAAATAATACGAAAGACAAATGAAACGAAAAGCTGGTTCTTTGAAAAGATAAATAAAATTGATAGACCATTAGCAAGATTAACCAAGAAAAAAAGAGAGAAGATCCAAATAAGCACAATTAGAAACAAAACAGGAGATATTACAACTGCTACCACAGAAATACAAACGATCATTAAAGGCTACTGTGAACACCTTTACGCACACAAACTAGAAAATCTAGAGGAGATGGGTAAACAATTGTAAACGTACAATCATCTTAGATTAAATCAGGAAGAAATAGAAACTCTGAACAGATGAATAACAAGTAATGAGGTTGAAACAGTAATTTAAAAATTGCCAACAAATCAAGTTCAGGACCAGATGAATTCACAGCTGAATTCTGCCAGACATCTAAAGAATAATTGGTACCATTATTTCTGAAACTATTGCTAAAGATAGAGAAAGAGGGAATCCAACCGAAATCATTCTATGAAGCCAGTATCACCCTAATACCAAAACCAGTAAAGAACATAACAACAACAAAAAAGAAAACTACAGACCAATATCTCTGATGAAAGTAGATGCAAAAATCCTCAACAAAATGCAAGCTAGCTGAATCCAACAGTATACCAAAAAGATAATCCACCATGATCAAGTGGGTTTCATACCAGGGATGCAAGGATAGTCTAACACACAAGTCAATGAATGTGATACTTCACATAAACAGAATTAAAAACAAAAATCATATGATTATCTCAATAGATGCAGAAAAAGCATGTGACAAAATTCAGCATCCTTTATGATTAAAACCCTCAGCAAAATTGGCATAAAAAGGACATACCTCAAGGTAATAAAAGCCATCTATGACAAACCCACAGCCAACATTATACTGAATGGGGAAAAGTTGAAAGCATTCACCCTGAGAACTGGAACAAGACAAGGATGCCCACTTTCACCACTTCTATTCAACATAGTACTGGAAGTCCTAGCCAGAACAATCAGACAAGAGATAGAAATAAAGGGTATCCAAATTGGTAAAGAGGAAGAGGAAGTCAAACTGTTGCTGTTTGCTGATGATGTGATTGTATACCTAGAAGACCCTAAAGACTTGTCCAAAAACGCTCCTAGATTTGATAAATGAATTCAGTGAAGTTTCAGGATACAAAATCAATGTACACAAATCAGTAGCACTGCTATGCACCAACAGCGACAAGGCTGAGATTCAAATCAAGAACTCAACCTCTTTTACAATAGCTGCAAAAGATAAAATACTGAGAAATATACTTAACTAAGGAGGTGAAAGATCTCTACAAGGAAAATTTATGAACCAGTGCTGAAAGAAATCACAGACAACACAAACAATTGGAAACACATCACATGCTTATGGATAGGTAGAATCAATATTGTGAAAATAGCTATACTGCCAAAAGCAATGTACAAATTCATTGCAATTCCCATCAAAATACCATCATCATTCTTCACAGAACTAGGAAAAAAATCCTAAAATTCATACGGAACTAGAAAAAAGCCTGCATGGCCAAAGCAAGACTAAGCAAAAAGAACAAGTCTGGAGGCATCACATTAACTAACTTCAAACTGTACTACAAGGCTATAGTTACCAAAACAGCATGGTACTGGTATAAAAATAGGGACATAGACCAATGGAACAGAATGGAGAACCCAGAAATAAAGCCATACACTTATAGCCAGCTGATCCTTGACAAAGCAAACAATAACATAAACTGGGGAAAGGACACCCTATTCAACAAATGGTGCTGGGATAATTGGCAAGCCACATGTAAAAGAATGAAGCTGGATTCTCATCTCTCACATTATATAAAAATCAACTCAAGATGGATAAAAAAGGTAAATCTAAAACCTGAAACCATAAAAAGTGTAGAAAATGACATTAGAAAAACTCTTCTAGATATTGGCTTAGGCAAAGAGTTTATGACCAAGAACCCAAAGCAAATGTGACAAAAACAAAGATAAATAGATGGGACCTAATTAAACTAAAAACCTTCTGCACAGGAAAAGAAATAATCAGCAGAGTAAACAGACAACCCACAGAATGGGAGAAAATCTTCATAAACTGTGCATCCAACAAAGGACTAATATCCAGAATCTACAAGGAACTCAATCAGCAAGAAAAAACAAATAATCCCATCAAAAAGGGGCAAAGGACACGAATAGGCAGTTCTCAAAAGAAGATATACAAAAGGCCAGGAAACATGAAAAAATGCTCAATATCACTAATTTTTATGGAAATGCCCATCAAAACCATGGGATAACAACCTCTCTGGCAAGAATGGCCACAATTTAATCATCTAAAATAACAAATGTTGCTGTGGATGTAGTGAAAAGGGAACACATTTACACTGCTGGTGGGAATGTAAACTAGTACAACCACTATAGAAAATGGTATAGAGATTCCTCAAAGAACTAAAAGTAGAACTATCATTTGATCCAGCAATCCCACTGCTGGGCATCTACCCAGAGGAAAAGAAGCCATTCTATGAAAATGACATTTGCATGTGCATATTTATAGCAGCACAATTTGCAATTGCAAAAATATGGAACCAGCCTAAATGTCCATCAACTAAAAAGTAGATAAAGGAAATGTACACACACACACACACACACACACACACACACACACGCACCATGGAATACTACTCAGCCATAAAAAGGAATGAAGTAATGTCATACACGCCAACCTGGATGGAGTTGGAGACCATTATTCTAAGTGAAGTAACTCAGGAATGGAAAACTAAACAGCTTATGTTCTCACTTATAAGCGATAGTTAAGCTATGAGAATGCCAAGCCATAAACATAATATAATGGACTTTGGGGACTCGAGGGGAAAGGGTGGGAGGTGAGTGAGGGATAAAAGACTGCACATTGGGTACAGTGTACACTGCTTGGGTGATGGGTGCACAAAAATCTCAGAAATCACCACTGAAGAACTTATCCATGTAAACAAACACCACTTGTTTTCCCAAAACTATGTAAATACAAATAAAAATTAAAAATTAAAAGAAAATAACAATGATGTAACACAAACCAATCTGAAGTGTGAATAGAGAAAACCCACAAAAGAGAAGGGTGGGTATTATCTAAGTCGGCCACATTCTTTCTCTTAGAGGGCTCTTTTACTTTTGAGATGCCACTATTTCTGTGTACAAGGGCCCTCTGCCAGGAATGTCTTCCTGTGACCCCCACTTGACAGCAGAGTAAATGCTTACTTCTCATAACCCAGATCTAACAGCTCTTTTTGAAGACTTCCCAGTTTAGCCACACCATTACCTTATTATCCTCTTTCTCGGAAGAACTGGTCAGTTACTTTCATTGTTGATGATATGGGTATGGTTTTTAAAGATCCTATATTTGAAACATTATAACTTTATTTTTTAAAACTGAATTTAATACTTGGGCTCCATTCAGTTAATTCTGATTTGCCCCACTTTTTTTTTTTTTTTTTCCAAGGAGGTTTCATATAAATTCTGAGGAATTGGCCAGGTGCAGTGGCTCACACCTGTAATCCCAACTCTTTGGGAAGCCAAATCTGGAGGATTGCTCAAGACCAGGAGTTCAAGACTAGTCTGGAAAATATAGCGAGGCCCTATCTCTACATAAAAATAAGAAAGTAGCCAGGGCTGGGCGTGGTGGCTCACGCCTGTAATCCCAGCTCTTTGGGAGGCCAAGGCGGGTGGATCACAAGGTCAAGAGATCAAGACCATCCTGGTTAACACAGTGAAACCCCATCTCTACTAAAAATACAAAAAAATTACCTGGGCATGGTGGCGGGCGCCTGTAGTCCCAGCTACTCGGGAAGCTGAGGCAAAAGAATGGCGTGAACCTGGGAGGCGGAGCTTGTAGTGAGCCAAGATGGCGCCACTGCACTCCAGCCTGGGTGACAGAGCGAGACTCTGTCTCAAAAAAAAAAAAAAAAAAAAAAAGGAGCCAGGTATGGTGGAGTGTACCTGTAGTCCCAGCTAATTGGGAGGCTGAGGTGGGAGGATTGCTTGAGCTTGGGAGGTCAAGGCTGCAATGAGCTGTGATCGCACCATTGCACTACAGCCTGGGCGACAGAGCAAGACCCTGCCTCAAAAAACAAACAAACAAATAAACTAACTAAATAAATTCTGAGGAATCTCCCAGCACCCATGAAGAAGGGACATCTTATCCTTGGTTGTCATTGGTCCCTATTGGCATCTGCTTCTGTCAGTCATACCTGCTCATTCCTGCTAGACTCAGTTATTGGCTTTTATCCTTGCCAGCATCCATGAAACATGGGCTTTCCCAAATGGATTCAGATGCAAGTCCTAGAAGAATATTCTCTGTTCTTGATTTGACTGATATTGAGTCTTCTTCAGGTCTTTGGGCTTTTTCTGTTATACCGAGTCGCTGTAGGTACAGTCAGGTTAAAGAAAGTTTTTGATGCTCTTCCAAGTGACATTGGGGTCATGAGCACTCAGTGAGGTTGTCTAAAGCTTCTCTTTCTTGGTCACTATATGTGCTCTGCCACTGCGGGGTGTGGGTGAACTCTGGGACCTTACATAAGAAGCACAGTTCAGATTTCCTCTGTGCCCACATCCCACACTTGCAGTGGCTTCCTTCTGCCGAGAGAGGCCAGGGGCAAAGTTGCCAGGGGCACTACCCAGGCTCTGGTTCTCTTGTCTTTCTGACTCCTCATGCAGCTCAGAAATCCTCCTGTGTGGGTGAAGAATGCTTGCTGCAAGTGGTCTGCTATTTGTTTTATATCTGACCTTAGAAGTACTAAAGCCAATAATTTGAATCCTTTGTTCTCTAGGCTGCCTCTGACAGTTCCCCTTCTGTCCCTTCACCCTTGAGACAATGGCGCCAATTTATGATTCTCTGTCAGGTATGGTGTGACTGTGTGTGTGTGTGTGTGTGTGTGTGTGTGTGTGTGTGTATTGTAGTAAAACAAAACATTTCTCCCTAAAATATTGAGGATTGTTAAGTTAAAAACACTGAAAACACAGGGGAACATTCTGCCTCAGCCTGTATTTGCCTGACAGTGGAGGTAAATCCTTCCTTACTGGAGACAGCACCTGCTTTTCAGCCCAGAGAAGGCACCAGCAAGCACCAGAGGACCCAAGGAATAGATTTTACTGTCTTCCCATGTTTTCCCACCTTTTAAAAGACTGTAACTGCTCTCCCCTTTTTCTTATCACTATGTAGGATTTATGGCTGTTTGTTAAAATGCTATGTAAGCAAAGCCCCTAAGCCACTGCCTTGAGAGAAATACTTTTGAACAAAGGCCTCTCCCACTGATGGGTACAGCAGGAGTTAATAAACTTCTGCTTGTTTTTCTTTTGTTTATTTGACTTTTGTTTTCAGGAGAATGTCTCAAGTAAGAACCAAAAAAGGGAAAGAAAAGAAATTATGCTTTCTCCCCTACGGTAGTGAGCGGCTTGTTTCCTTTTTTTTTTTTTTTTTTTAATATTTTATTTTTGGAGATCTGGTGTGTTCTTTCTGCTCTTTCTCCTATTTTCTCCTGCCTGCTGCCTGCTGCCTATAATTCATATATGACAAGTGGAGAAGCCTCAAGGTATTCTTGAGGATGAAAGTCAGATTCTGAGGAAGGCAGGGCAGAACTGAGTCTGGGGATCTGATAACTTCATGTAGCAAAAGTCCTTGCCCTGGACTTCTTGACCCCAAACAACCCTATCCCTGGGCTGCTGCTTCTTTTTTTTTTTGTCACAGAATACATCCTTTGTGTTTAAGCTACTATTATTTCTTCTTTATATGTGGCCAAACCTAACCTAATTAACACTGCTATCTTCATCATTTCAAACTTGAGTCTACAAGTGTTGTATAGAAACCAAAGTAAAACAGAATATTATTCTTGTTCTCAAGGAGCTCAGGAGCCAGTATGAGGGGTGAAAACCTGCACAAGTTACTTTGGCACAAGGCAAAGCAGGAGAAGTACAAAAGAGATGAGTGAGTGCTGTCAGAAATCAGAGAAGAAAGATGTACATAAAGTTTATTGTGGAGCAGATGTGATGAGTGGCTCAGAAGAAGATAGATTTAGAAGAAAATGGGTCGATTTTTTAAAATGGATGAAGACAGGAAGGGAAGGGCCTTCTAGGCAGAATAAATAGCACGAGGAAAGGGAGCTGCACAGTTTCTGTGCCAGGAATTCTGCATTGCCTGGGTTGGCAAAATTCCTAGGTGAAGAAGAGGAGAGTGAGGAGAGATGAGGCAGGAGAGTTAGGTTAAGCCTGCCTCTTAGAGGGCACTGAGTGCCCATGCACCAGGGTCAATGTATTGAAATTTAGTAACAAGCATTTCTCTTTGTTTTTTTCCATGTAACTGACCTTCTCCATAGTCAAGGCACACAACTTCCTAGAAAACCGAGACATTAGGATTCTTAAAGTTAGAATGCAAAGGAAAAGCAAGTGCCATTATTTAGCTTGTGACATTCAAAATGGACTCAGCAGCAAGAAAATAAGCCTTGGAAGCCAAATTTTATCTTAAAAGGAGAACTTTCTGAATTCCATTAATAGGCAAAGAATAGAGCCCTGAGGCCTCAGATTGTAGGATTCTACCACAGTGTTTAAAAGATTCCCCTCTTCCTTTTGTTGTGTAAGCCTGGAGTCTTGATGCCCAAGTAGGAATGAAACTCTCTTTGCAAGATCATAACAATGAGAAAATTATGACAGTGAAAGAGACATAATCTAACCAACCTACATCTTGCCTTTAACCTCCAAATTGCTTTTGGTCACTCCTGGGCTTGGGCCAAGCTAACTTTGGGAAAAAATTAGTTTATGGTTTAAATAATAATAGTCCTTCCCCAAAACTAAACTGCCTTTGTAAAACTAATGAAACACTACGAAGTTAGGAAGATGAGAGGAGCCTGAATTCTGCTAAGATCTAGGCATGAATGATTACCAGACATTATTCTGGCAGTCGCAAGATTTGCAATTTCCGCAATTCCTTCTGCAGATGACATCACTATTGTAGAATCTAAGACTGGCCTTTTGAGATGTCCTTTCAGGCTTTTGCATTTTTGATGACCAGATGGCCCCACCCAGACCTGTGATTTTTGGCTCAACTGCTCCTGTGGCCCCGACCCAGAAGCAGACTTAGCACATGAGGACAATTTTCCACACACCTACGATTGCATCCACAACCAATCAGCAGTACCCATTCACCTATCCCCCTGTTTACCAAACTATCCTTGAAAAACCCTAGCCTCTGAATTTTTGGGGAGATTGATTTGAGTATTAACTCCATCTCCATCTCCCATGTTGTGTGGCTGGCCTCATGTCAATTAAAACATTTTCTTTACTGCAATTCCATAGTCTCAATGAATTGGTATTGTCTGTGCAGTGGGCAGGAAGAACCCATTAGGCGATTACAGGATTACAGGAATCAAGAATAAGACAGTACAGATCTTTTCAATCTGGGTACAACCAGTGAGCTAGAAGCTTCTCTTGACCCTTGGTCTTCAGGAAAGCCTAACATGACCCAAGGTGGCCATACCTTTTGGCTGGTAGCTATGGTCCCTGGCTGGGAGCCTCTGGACATGAACAATTTTGTCTGGGGCTTGAGCACAATGGAATCAAGCACTCTTCCTGGGCATGGCCTAGGAGATGCTATACACCCAGTATTGACTTCAGGAGCCAGCTGGTAGGTGGGGTGTGTTGTTACCCATTGTAGACACTTGGACTCTGATGCTGCTGGAGATGGGGGAAGGGCTCATCTTCCAGGTGCACAGAAGCATGGGGTGCAGCTTGAGAACCTATGGTCAGTGTTCAGAGGTGAGTGGCCTCGTGGGTACTCCTGATTGACCCAGTTGGGGCTGTTTTTCCATATATCAGACACTTTTGTCCATGTGCAGCAGATGATCCCTTTTATGGTACCCAAACCAGTGGCAGAGTCTCACCAATGCACCACAATGTAGCATTCTCTTGTTGTGAGGTATCACCTGGAATGATTTGTCTCACAACCAAGAGAATTAAGGAGTGTGGACACAAAGGTTGAGGTTGGAGTGAAAGTTTAATAAGCCAAAGAAGAAAGCTCTTTGCTGTGGAGAAGGGACCCGTAAGAAGTTTGCTATTTTTACAGTTGAATGCAAAGGCTTTTATAGGAAACTGATGAGGGCTGGGTCTCTCATTTACATAAAGCATGAATTTCTTGTAGTTTCACCCTGTCTTCCTAATGCACATGCGGGCCCTTAGCTTGAGTTACTCCATATTGCTTTGTTCCCCTTACTGCACATGTGTCAGGGGACAGAATTTTTCATTGTGGGCATGTCCGGGCAAGTCACCTGTGTAGCCTTTCTTATTTGTATGCCTATGGGCATGTCTTAGGGATGCCCTTCTGTGCAAGTTCCCTTATCTGTGCTTGCAGGCTGTTTTTTTGTTTGAAAGGATTCAACTGAGGACCCACACTAACTGCCTGCCTGACTCAGTTTTTCCCTTTCTCCTTTCCCAGAGTGACTGCTCTAACAATGCACGTGGTTCTGCAAATTAACTTCACCACTAGTTTGAATACTTGATGTAGAAAAAAGTGTGATTGCACTCGAAGTGCCTTTGTATTATCACCAAAAATTTCAATGTTTCATTTGTCAATGGAAAAAAAAAAAAGGAAGAACTGGTCTTTTAAATGTAATTTTAACTATTGTCAATTTTTGAATTTACAATGTTCAAAATTCAAATATTTATGATAGTTATTTCCAAAATTTTAAATGGCTGTAAAATATCTGGTGTAAAAAATGGTTTTAAACCTATCACTCACTTGTGAGAATAAAGTTTCTCATCAATGTAGACTGTCTAGAGTTTGAAGAGCTTGTCATTAAAAACTTGAACAGGAATTGTTTGTGCCTATTTTTATGGATAAAAGCTGATGTAATATTTATGTGCATAGAATCAAGCTCAAGTTTCTCTTAAAAGATTGGAAGATACCTTATTTACGTGTTTTATAAATATTCAAAATTTAGTTACTTTTCTAGTACTTGGGTTTTTATTTATTATATGTTAGAAAAATAATGTAATAATTTTTTTCAGCAAGCCATGGATAGTTGTGCCCAGATCCCCTTCAGTTTATCCCAGTGTGCAGTACAAATATTATCAAATTTTTATGTTTGTTATGAAAATGGGTGAGAAGTATTGACAAAGAACACTCTACTCCCTTTACAGAGCTTAAGAAGGGAGGCTAAGTAAATCAAGCATCAAGGATTAATTAGAACTATCCAGACAAGTATATCAGAGAATGAGATGACTAGGACTAATAGTAAACTTCTCAGTTACACTAGAGGACACTGCAAGATTTAAGAAGCAGCCTTTCATGTAGCCCCTACTAACAGGAAAAATACAAATGATGGCTCAGCAGCATTGATAGGAAGAGCTGGACAGACAGGCCTATAGCAGTCCCTCTGGTTCCCCGTGAGCGAGGGATGCTGAAATTCCCATTTGTGCCAGGGAGCGGGCATGGAATTGTTAACCGTGATGGGGTCTCATTAAGGCCTGGAGGGAGCACATAGGAAATACTGTGGGTGGGGCCCTCTGGACTGGGAACAAATGACTGGGGCCTGAAGTGGTTGTTCTCACATCACTCCCAACACAGTCAGACGTGGCTGGTTGCACCTCAGAGTCAGTCAATCCAGCCATTCTGCAGCAAGAATCAATGGCCAGAGGAGGCCATGATGGTCTGAGGGCCCCTTCCTGCTGCTGGTAGGAGGGCACAGTAAATCCCTGTAACATATATAGTGGCTGTCATGGTGGAGTTGGAAGTGAGGGTGCAAAATCAGAAAGACCGAACATTTGGCGAAGGGTCTGATTCATCCAAAAGAGATCATGCAAACTAGGCATGATACTAAGTTGACTTTGAATACACTATTTAAACTTCATCATCCAAACTGACTGTTTAAAAGAGATGAGATTAAAATATCGCTAATTGTAACTCTAAATTACCCATGCTACTTAGCTAGGTGGGAGTTTGGTGAGGAAACTCGGGTCAGTCTTACAGACAGAAGAAACAAAGCTTTCTGGTCTCATCAGAATGCAGTGTGAAAAATGAGTTATCTGTCCTTCACCAGCTGAGAGGTTTAGGCTTCATTTCATAGGCAATGGGGTGCCTTTAAACCTTTGTTGGTGTCAGCAGCTTCCTGTGCTTTACAGACCAGGAATATACCTTCCTTTCCCTCTTTGCTCATCTGAACGTCCCAACTCTTCCAAAAAGGACACACACCACTCCTGGAACAAGAACCCCACCTCCACCTCCCGAACTCCTGTTAATGGAAATTATAAGGTTTCCTGTTAGGGAATAGTTGGGAGATTTCTGTATTTCCCTAAAATAATCTGGCCTAATGAATATGCTTATTAGAGTTTTTACTTCAGTTCACACTATCTTCTTTTCCTAAATCCTAAAATATATGAAAATACATTAGGTAACAGAATGATGATGAATCCCCTTACATAAAGTGACTATAACTAGAGATTGTTTTTAAAAAGCTGGCATTGAGACATCACCAAAAGCATCCTCCTAGGTCTGCAGAAGGGATTTTGGAAATGGCATGTGATACATTAATTCTAACTTACTGCTTCCCACATACCATGGAACAATCATTTTTTTAAAGCTGAAAATATTGAATGATTATTTCTAATGTGAAATGTTTTTAAGTCATAACATGTGCATTGTGAAATGCCTATCATATGTGTTTCTTGGGCTGGTAATCTCTGGGGTGAAGATACATAAAGATGAAAGCAGAGAAAGAATGTTTGCGAGGGAGCCTGGCCCCTCATTGACTATGTTGATGTGTCTTGGCCTCTCCCACTGTTGACATTACACTTTGCTTAGGATCTGACTTCTTAACTTTTCTGCCTTACTCTGTTCTCTTTCTCTCTGGGATGCATCTTAATGCAGGTCCTTTTTCTTGAAACACACATATTTTATCCCATAGTTTATGGGAGTCACACAGTAAAAATGCTTTGTGATTACAAAAATTTTTTTCTGTTTTCTTTTACAAAAGGTACAAGCCCAGTTAAGAAGTTTAAACATGAATTATATATAGAAAAATGTGAATATTACTCATTAAAATGACAACTTCTGTACCTTTTTATTTTTGGTTTTAAATTACACCACTAATCCAAATACTGTAAGGAATAACTGGTTTATAAAAGGTGATTAAGTTAGGAGTGACAGACACTTACCTTTTAAATAAAAAAGTCAGATCCTTAATATATCACAGGGTCCTAATTTATAAGGTCATCCTCTTTTAGCAGTCTGCCCATCTCAATTGTCTCCTGGGTTTTCTTAATATTTTGAGGACACAACAATGCTATTATTTTAGGTGTGGTAGCACTGGTGGAAAAATAGGGAAGCATTTCATATTGATGATGCAATGCTTTCCTTTATCCTGACATTCTTATCTTTGAATAGGAAAGAGGTAATGTGTTCACTATGTAAATTAATTATAAGCCTTTTTTTGCTCTGTAAAAAGGGGGAATATTAAGGTTTTAGATAGTAATTGTTCTTTGACTCTGGACATGAGTCTTTGGAGAAATTCTCTTTGGTAAATGCAGTTCACTCACACGCAGTGAAAACAGCCATCAAAAGCTTTCATAAAGAGGCTGATAGTATGGAGTAATAACTACTTTGAAGGGCGTTGGGGGAATTATTCAGAGGTTCTGCAAAGTGGTTTGGAGACGAAAAGTGCAATATAAATGCTAAGTAGCCCCATATTTTTCTGGGAAGAGGTGCAGTAAATGTAATCATGGCTCTGCTCAAGCTGAGAAGCCTGATGGCCACCTCTACGCTCATATTTAATGTTGATGAAATCGCTGACACAACTTCCAACAGAGGATCTCTTTCTTCCCCCCTCACTATCATGTAAATAATTTCCACAAAAGTCAGAGCAATTCCTGCTTATGAAAGCTTTACACAATTCCCAGAATTGTGAAGGAAAAAAAAAGCAGGCATATGGTATTTATATAGTGGGTACTCAGTAAATATTTGTTTATTTTATTTTACTTTATTTTATTTTATTTTACCATTGCTTTTTAGGTGCCCTTTACACGTGTGCTTTTGAATTCCCCTAACATGATATCAGCACTAGATGGCGCTATGTTACCGTGAAGACTGCCAGGGTGGTGGTGGTGGTGGGGTGAATCTCTAATGTTGTAATTAGCCAACAATGCAGATAAGCAGAGGTTTAATTTAAGTCATTTCCCCCCTCATTATACTTTATAAGAAATCATGACCTTTTTATTTTGGAGGGGGTACAGGGACTTACTGTATTATTTTATCTCAGCATAAGCAAATTCAATTTGCTTTAATTCTCACTTTGAAGGAGAGAATGTCAGGCTGCCTCCTGCTCTGTTTCACAGTGTGTGGCATTGGTAATGAGCTCTGACAGCACTCCTCCTGCCGCTAACTGTGTCACATGAGCCGTCGGAAGGTGACTTGAGATGTGAAGAAATGAAGGTGCGTAATTGATTCTCACAATGAGAACATGCTTTCTAGTCCTTTGAAATTCCCCTAATGGGCTAAAATGTTATGTTCCTTTTCCCTCTAAAAACAGTTTGTAATGATTCAAATGGTCAATGATTTTGAAAATAATTGAACAGCTAAGCCTTAAAGTACTGTATACAAGCAAATTTTAGCAGAGGAGAGCACTGGCTTCCACTGTGACTAGAATTATCTTTGTGGGGACAGAGAATATTCCTCCCAGCCTCCCATCTTTTATAGATGTGAGGTGACATGGTGTTTTAGTGTGTTAATGCATGTTTCTATCTGTTTGGTGTTGAAAACCTTCAAAGGCGATTAACTCCCTTACAGAAGCTGAGAGGGAAGGAAATGAGTCCTTCACCAGGATATAGGCCTCTGAATGGTGGCGTTACTATAATGATATACATGCTTATGTATCTCTGTATCTCTACATACTTTAAGTCATATTTGATTAAGACAGTCTGCGGCTACTCAAAAAGAAAATTGGGAAGGAGAAATTGTAGAAAGGCAGCCGGAGAAGCTACTAAAGAGAATAGAAATAGCTTGATCCAAGAAAATGAAAGAGGCTAAGGTATAAACTAACCCTGCTGTTTCCAAACTACGTGCTGGGACACCCCAAGGTGCTGCAGCCAACTCACAGAGAGGCCCCAGGATATTTTGAGTTTTTGAAGGAAATGGAGCAGCGTCTACCAGAAACCAAGCAAATGACTTTAGAGTTTTCATACTAAATTACACTACATTCCTACAGTCCTAGGTGACATCATATTTTTGCAAAGCTAGGTTTTTGGAGGTTGATGGGATAAAAAGCAAGTAGTATGCAAAAATGAACAGGAATAGTTAACAAGGATGGCAGTGTCCAGTCTCATTCCAATGATGGAGAGGCTGTGCAGGGCCTAAGGGACACACATGCCCCATTTGTAAGTAATTGTGGTTATTTAAGACTGAAATGAAAGGTATTTTTTTCAATTTGTATTATTATTTTCAAATAGCTACTTAATTATTAGGACATACATACTTAACATTTTTGGATTTAACTACCTAATGAAAGGAATGGCTATGTAGTTTTTTTTTTTTTGGTGGTTAAAAAATTACTGAGACACTGAGGGTGCCAGGAAGTTAGAAAGTTTGAACTTCTGGGCTAACACTGTTTCTTGATGTCCTTTGAGGAGTAGACACGTTCCTGCCTCAGAGACTTGGCTCTCGCTGTCCTTCTTCTGGAATGTGCTTCCCTCAGATAACTGGTTGACTCAATTCATCACTTGCAGTAAGTCTCTGCTCTAATCTCACCTACTCCTGGGGGCCTCCACTTACCACCCTCATTCATCCTGCCCTGCCCACCCTCCCCAGAGCTCAGCTGCCTCTTCCTTTCTCTATTTCCCCTTTTGTCCATCATCCATCTCACTTTTAATATACTACATCATTTATTTATTTATTTATTTTATTTATTATTTTTGTTGTTTATTGTTTGTTCCTCTCACTAAACTATGTCACGTGGAAAAGGTTCTTTGCTTTTTTTTTAAATAGACTAGTACATTTAAAAAGTGTTTAGAATAGTGCCTGACACATAGAGCTCTTAGTAAATATTTGTTGAATGAATGAAAAGTTCTCAGTGGCATCTCAAGCCTGGTAAATACATGTTTTGTATCTATTTATTTTACAAAAATGTATATAAAAATTATACAGAATAAAATATCTTAGGAGCTCTGAGATGTTTTGTAATTCATATACTGGAAAAATAGTTAACTGAGACATTTTTGTGGTTGTTGTTATTGCTTAAATAAATCCTATGTTTTTGCTTTATAGAATGAGAGAATGAGTACATCAAAGATTGTATTCTTACTTTTCCTAGTTTCTCATTCTTTTACATAAGCCAATATGTACCTAGAGCTATATAGTCATGTGCCACATAATGATATTTTGGTTAATGACAGACCTCATATATGATGTTTGTCTCAAAAGATTATATTGGAGTTGAAAAATTCCTCACCTATTGATGCCTTGATGATCCTGACCTGTGTAGGCCTAGGCTAATGTGTGTGTTTGTGTTTTAGTATCTAACAAAAAAAGCTTAAAAAGTTAAAAAAAATTTAATAGAAAAATCTTATAAAGACAAAAAAAATTTTTGTATAGCATTATATGTGTTTGTGTTTTAAGATGTGTTATTACAAAAGAATCATATAGTTTAGACAAATTAAAATGCTTTTAAAGTAAAAAAGTAATAGTAAGCTAAGGTTGATTTATCATTGAAGAAATAATATATATATATATATTTTTTGAGACAGAGTTTCACTTTGTCGCCCAGGCTGGAGAGCAGTGGCACCATCTTGGCTCACTGCAACCTTGGCGTCCTGGTTTCAAGCAATTCTCATGCCTCAGTCTCCTGAGTAGCTGGGACCACAGGCGCACGCCACCATGCCCAGCTGAGTTTTTTGTATTTTTGTAGAGATGGGGTTTCACCATGTTGCCCAGTCTGGTCTCAAACTCCTGAGTTCAGGCAATCTGCCTACCTCAGCCTCCCAAAGTGCTAGGATTACAGGTGTGAGTCACCGCGCCGGCCATGAAAAATGTTTTAAAAATAAATTTAGTGTAGCCTTAGTGTTTATAGAGTCTGCAGTAGTATACAGTAATGTCCTATGCCTTCACATTCACTCCCCACTCACCCAATCACTCACCCAGAGCAACTATCAGTCTTGCACATTCCATTCATGGTAAGAGCCCTACAAAGGTGTGCCATTTTTTAATCTTTTGTATCATATATTTATTTACATTTTCTATGTTTACATATACAAATACTTACCATTGTTATACAATCGCCTACAGTATTCAGTACAGTAACATGCTGCACAGGTTTGTATCCTAGGAGCAATAGGCTCTACCACATAGCCTAGGTGTGTAGTGAGCTCTACTGTCAAGGTGTGTGTAAGTGGACCACTCTATGATGTTTGCACAGTGACAAAAATCTCAGAACGTATCCTAGTCATTAAAAGATGCATAACTCTACTTACTAAGTTCCTTTAGTTGTCATCCAGTAGGGGCCAACGTTCTGTGAAAGAATTAGAAAGTATCACAAGGCATTAATTTAAAACTTCAGTCTTCTCTGAAGTGAAGAACAGCTCACACAGATTAAGTACCATGCGTCTTGTACTGATCGTTGTAATTACTACAAATAAATGAGAGAGGGAGCTCACACCAAAGTTTGATCCAAAGTAAAAAGGATTCCATGTTGACTTAGTGTATTGGTTCTCTATGCTGAAATTACCATAACTTAGTGGCTGAAAACAACACACATTTCTCACCTCATAATTATCACGGGTGAGGAGATGGCACAGCATGGATTAGCTGGCCAGGCCCTGTGGCTGCCAGCAAGGGGTCAGGCAGGTTGCATTCTCAGCTGGAGGCCCAACTGTGAAGGATCTTTGTCCACACTCATTCAGATTGTCGGCAGAATTCATTTCCTTGAGGTTGAATGACTGAGGATCCCCAGTCTTACCGGCTGTCAGCTAGAGACTGCCCTTGGGTTCTAGAGACCACCTGCAGTTCCCTGCCATATGACCCTCTCCAGAGCCCGTTCCCAGGAAGGCAGTTTGCTTCTTGAGGATCAGAAAGAGAATCTCTCTCCTACCTGCTGAGATAAAGTCTCATACAGTGTAGCGTAATTGTGAGGGTGACATTCCATCACAGGTCTCACCCATACTCAAAGGGAGTGGATTTCATAAAGGCATTAACACTAAGACATGGGAATTATTGGGAGTCACCCTTGAGTCTGTTTGTTACACTCAGGCAGCAGAAAATGGAGCACCCTTTATGTTCTTTCCTAGTCCCCTATTTGCCCCCTAAGCTGTATTTTAGAGTAGCCCTCTTTTCCCAGCATGTATTCTCCTTCAAGACCTGGGATGTTTACTGAAAGGCCGATCACTTGTGCTCCCAGCATGACCTCAGACAATGAAGTTCTTCAGGCTGAGGTGGTCTCTTTGCAGCTCCCTGAGATGTCCTCGTTCCCTCAGCACATGCTGCAATCTCCAGCCCCCTGGTCTGACAGAATTGGGTCTACTTTAGGTTCTTTGCTGCTAAAGCTCTGGGTTTATTAAAAAATAAAGGTTTGAGAATTATCTATTATGGTTATTCTCTCTGAGTATTAGGCTAAATAGTTTTATTTTTTAAAGTTTCATTGTTATATTTGTGATCTCATGAGTTATTACCTTTGAATCAATAATAACATGTTATGTCTAGCAAAGCACGTTTAGATATATTAATAATATGAGATATTAATACAGTACATATATTTTCTTATCATAAATATAAAATATTACCTATAAGAAATCCTATGCCTGAACTCTTCTTATCTAATTAGAGTTACTAGACTCTTCATTGCTAATGTAGGGAGTAGGATGATGTTACCTTAGTATCAAAGAAAAATTACAGTAATAGAAGTAGTGAACAGCAAGGTGGAGTTTTGTAGCTAGACAGGATCACTGATGAATAAACACTAAATCTTCTACTTCCCCTTGCCTCCCCTGTTCTCAGATTTTTCTCATGGGTAACATCCATGAAACATGTTCACTTCTATTCAGTCCTTGGGAAAGTGGGAGAGAGTTTTGTACTCAATGATCTCAGAAATCTTTGGACAAAAATGTGACTCCATTTATTATGTAGTGTGATATTAACTACATATTAAATAACTATATTTTGCTGGGCACAGTGGCTCATGCCTGTAATACCAGCACTCTGGAAGGCTGAGGAGTGATTGAGGCCAAGAGTTTGAGACCATGCTAGACAACATAGTGAGGCCTTGTCTCTAAAAACAAATGTTGGTACTCAATATCTTTTAAAAACAAGGTTGGAGACCACCATTTTGGATTAGAGAGAGAGGGTTCGTAATTGCTTTCTTGTAACATCTCTACAAAATACTTCCACTCTCTTGATAAATCAACTAATTATAAAACTGAATTAAAAAATTAAAGAAAAATATAACACTGATTTAAGGAAATTAATCTTTTTTTAACAGTGACTATATCATTTCTATACTATGAAAAATTAAATGTTATTAATAAAGACATTAACCTATCAAAAGATATATGGGGGCTATTTAGAGAAAACAAGTAGGAAAAAAAGTCATATTATGAAGTAAAATTCATTGGGGAAGAATACTAGACTGTTTTTCTCAACACCCGTGAGAATCATAAATCCATGGAAACTGAGGAGTCTCATTTTTCTTTGGCAAAAAAGAACCGTGTGAAGCTTTACCAGGGGTATGAATTTGCATTTATAAAAAGCTATAAAAATTTTAGTAAAGCCCTGTTTTTAATTATTTCACCATTGCATGGGTTTCATTGTACTGTGGGTCTACTCTGTACCCAGAGAGAGCATATTATTAGGTAGTTACCCAAAAACATACTCAGGATTCAACTATTCTAATAAGTAGATAAGCTTTTAAAAAGGTTTGTTAAGCACTGCCAAATAGTGCCATATAGAAATATGCATGGTTTTTCTCCATGGCCTCATAATTCAAAGCATCATGGTATTTATCCTATCTTTGGTTGTTGAAATACAAAACTGGACATATATGCATGTTGCTTTTGTAGGAATGTTTAGTTTAACCTTTTAAGGTTTTACAGGCTTGATGTGGACTTTAGAGGTAAGGATTTTTTGAGGCAGAGATTTCCTGTGTCCAGGAGAGGGGAGATTCAGAAAGGCGGTCAGCAGGCTGTCCCTGATGGGCAGGAAGATGGCTCTTCCAGGTGTCTGGAACCACACTGGGAAGGCACAGCATCCAGAATACTTGTATGACCCAGGGCAGTGTTTCTCAAATTAAGCCGCCTTCAGCATCATCGGGAAGCCTTGTTTGAGATTGCTGTTCCCATTCCCAGTTCCTGATTCAGTAGATCTGGCTGTGAGTCTGAAATTTTGCATTTCTAACAAGTTCCCAGATGATGCTGATACAGCTGTTTGAAGACCACACTTGAAAAACATTAACCTAGTGGGCCAGTCATCACTTGGCTTGATTAGGAGCTGGCTGTTTGCAGAGAGAACAGGATGCAAGGAAAGGTGGAGGGAGCACCTAATATGAAGGTGAAGACCTCAAGTCTTGATGCAAAATGCTTTTAAGGAAGCCTATGGATGACACTGACTTTGGGGACGATCACTCTTCCCCCCTCCATGTACACTGGCAAGAAAACAAAAACAAGTACAGTATTGCTCTCTAGGGGAAGGAGTTGTCTTTATGACCAGGGTCACAGGCTTTGAAGTCAGCTGAGACTTGAATCTGAGTTCCTGCTATACCTGGCATGTTCAGAGTGAGCCATTTAACCTCTTAAGTCACAATAGCGTCTTAGTGGGCTAATGCCACAGAGTGGGTTCTCAAAAATGACAGTGTCATCATCATCCTTTTCCATTTAGGGAAGCCCCCAATGAGTGTAACTCCCTCTCCCCATCCCTGCTTTAATTTTCCCTTTAGCATGATCTACTATTCTGGTATTTTTCTGATTTGATTTTGTGTGATTCTCTCATTAGAAGCTGAGCCTCAGGAAGAAAGAAATTTTTATCTTTTCTTCACTGTCATGTGCCAATGGCTAGAACAATACCTGAAACGTAATAGTACTAGATCAGTACTTATTGAATGAATGAACACTGTGAGCTTGTTATAGTCTCTAGTAAATTCACTATTTACCTAAAAGAACTAAAATCTATTTTTTGGTTGTAATTATTGACGCTGGAGATACCTATCATTATGAAGTGTTTTTAGTAGTTTTAGTTACCTTTAAAGTGTTTCCATTCACATACAGGAATTACTTTTAAAATTTCATGTAGTTAAGTTATCAGCTAAGAATGTTCCTTATTAACTAAGATTTTGATGACATACAAACATGAAACAGCTTTATGTCATTTCTCTGTTTTTCTTTTTTGCCATCAACCATTAACTGTCGAATATTTCCCATCTCAACAATATTTTGATGAATCACATTGCATTGTGGACATTTTTGGGTATGAAATTCCAGTCTCACTTAATTTAATAAGTTTGAAAGGTCAGCCTCATGTCCAATGGAGAAAGAACTCTTCTCACCAAGCTTGGCCTAGGACCCACAGAACCTGCCTTGGTGAGGGAACTGCATTGGTGGGAGCCTGTCTTGCTACTTTTCTTTTTTGGCATCTTCTTTTTTTACCTCTAGTGTGCTAGGGTATGGGAGGAATAATGGGGGAAGGGACAAATGCCGCCTACCTAAGAAAAGTCCTGTGTTTCTTCCTTGGCTGGCCACATGCTCTGTATGGCAGGCATCTAATGACAGTTCTCTCATTGTCCACTGGGCAGCCCTCTGGCCACCCAGCTTAAACCTGGGTAATTTCCGTGGTGTCCACTTGGCCCAGGGAGATGCACCTAAGGGTGGGAGGGCAGGACTACTATGTTGCTTCCCTTTCTTCAGGCAGCCGCCACCCCACACTTAATTCCCTTTTACTCTCTGCTCAAAGCAGGCACAGGAGCAGGTTCACAAACTCGCCCACACACAGAGTCCCCCTGCCGAATGGATGCCAGTCTTCTTGCAGTTACTGCTAATTTCTTTGAGCATGTGACACTTGGCTTTGGGATAGGAAAATAGCCCCATCCCTGCAGGGAAGAAGAAAAGCCATAGGATTTCACCTTGTCAGTGTCTCTTAATGAGAGAGCTAATGGAAATTAGAGTGAGATCAGGTTTTGCTGTGCAGGGCTCTCCCTTAAGTTGCAGGATATTTAGCATCCCTGGATCCTGCCCATTAGATGCTAATTGCACCCCCAACGCCTCCCCACGTTTTCAACCTCCACTCAGCCTGAGAACCATTGGTAGGCCAACAACTCAATAACACATTGGAATTCTAGAACTTCTAATCTATCGCTTATGCAGGCTGAAGGGAGTAATGGGTGATAGCTGCATAACTGATAAGTTCCACAGAGATATGTCTGGCAGTTCTCTTTAGAATGTGGAGGATCTTAGCACCTATTATCCTCAGCTTTGGGTTTTAGTAGAAATTCTGAGACAAGGGAAAAAGAGTCCTTCAACATCCTATTACAGGCTGAAAGCAACATGTCTCCATATTACAGTGTAAGATTTGTAATGTTTGCAGATTTCTTTATGTAGCTAGTTTCTTCCTGGTATGTAGGTTCCAGTCAGCCTCAGTCGGAAAAGCTGCCCCATTCCTATCTCCTTCATTCAAGTTCTTGTGGGGGACCCCCAGTCTTCAGAGCAGCATAGCTTTTATTCATCTCCTATAAATACAAATCCTATCCAAATAATCATAGCTATTTTTATGATGTCTGTATTTCTACAGCATCATAAAAAGAAAATGTTTTGTATTTGATTGAACCATGAAATGACCATTTTTATAGGTTAAAATCATTGAATATTGGCAATTTTATGTAATTCAATCTAAATATGTTAGTGGACTTCATACCTAATTTAAATGTAAGCAAAAAGCTTTAGCATAAAGCAGTATCAGTGATTGAAAATGATAAGACATTTATGAGAGAGAGAGAGACTCAGATTTCCTCCCCATTTAGCATGAATCAGTTTGAAATGAAGAACATGGAGGAGAGAAAGGGAGCTAATCTCTCAAGTATGCATCATGTTCTGCCATTTATAGAATGCCTTCACATGCATCATTTCATTTGCTTTTTTGTTGAGACGGAGTCTCATTCCGTTGCCCAGTCTGGAGTGCAATGGTGCGGTCTTGGCTCACTGCAACCTCCTTCTCCCGGGTTCAAGCAATTCCCCTGCCTGAGCCTCCCGAGTAGCTGGGACTACAGGCACATGCCACAACACCCAGTTAATTTTTGTATTTTTAGTAGAGACGGGGTTTCACTGTATTGGCCAGGCTGGTCTCGAACTTCTGACCTCATGATCCGCCCACTACGGCCTTCCAAAGTGCTGGGAATTTTTTTTTTTTTTTTTTTTTGAGATGGAGTCTCGCTCTGTTGCCCAGGCTGGAGTGTAGTGGCGTGATCTTAGCTCACTGCAGCCTCCACTTCCTGGGTTCAAGCAATTCTACTGCCTCAGCCTCCTGAGTAGCTGGGATTACAGGCACATGCCACCATGCCTGGCTGAATTTTTGTATTTTTAGTACAGATGGGGTTTCACCATGTTGGTCAGGCTGGTCTCAAAACGCCTGACCTCAGTTGATCTGCCTGCCTTGGCCTCCCAAAGTGCTGGGATTACAGGCATGAGCCACCACACCTGGCCTCATTTGCTCTTTATGCCACCCTAAAACCCATCTCACAGAAGAATATTGTGTTCCTTTAGGGGCACAATCGAAAATGAACAGTTTCTACACATGTATAAATATCTAGTCTCTTAATGAAATTTTCAGTTTTAGAAAAGCCATTTTGCTAATATTCAGGACAGTTCCTCAAATTTAGTCTGTAGTTAGGCTAAATATTTAAAATGCCCAAATAATTAAGAAATACCTTGCTGTGATAGTAGCATTATATAAATTACATTTAGTCATATTGTGGGTTGTGGTTAATGATTTCTACGTGTCCTAGAATGTGTGCTTAGATGAAATGTCTTTCCTGACTACCCGCAGCTCACAGACCCAGTGGAGATTTAATGTCAGTTTCCTTATGAAAGCAGGCTTGAAATGGCGAGGGAAGAGGATACTGATGTTGGAGAAGGGAGTATGGTTCAGGGATATCATAATACATTTCTTAGGCTTTATGACTTTTGGGAAAGGTTATTATAATGGAGTCGAGCTTTTAGCATTGTTTTGCACAAAAAAGAGAGTCTTTTGTCGGTGAGAATAAAAAGGAGAAGCAGTTAATGAAAAAAAATCCTCAGATCTTCTATTTGTCGGTATTTACAAACAAGAAGGTCTACCTACTTACCTAGTGCATGCCAAACTATGGAATTCCATTCAGTGATTTTTCAAGAAAGGAGGCTCTTTCCTAGAGTGAACTTAACCTTTGTGTCTATCTATATGGATTTGGAGGATATGCCCTAGTGAATAGTAGGCCTTTTAATTTGCATGCTACTTAATATGTTCACTGTAATTGTTTTAGCTGCGTCTTTCTTCTCCCAGAGGGAAAAAGTCATGAGAATCTTAATGCTGTGTCCTTTACTGTCCTCTTCTTGGAAGATGTCATGATGTCATGTTGATCAGTTTGCTATGAATTCCCTCTGTTTGCTCTCAGTGGTCATTTTTGCTGACCCTCCTTATTGGCTTCCCCAGAGGAGCAGTCCCAAATCTCTGCAACTCTCCCTCATCCTCACTCTGTCCTAGTCTCTCAGCAGATGACTCCTAAAAGTCCTGGAAAATGTTGGGGGAGTAGAGGTCAAGGGACGTTGGGCTAATTCCAGCCAGGCATTTATGTTTATAACAACTTACAAGAAACAAAAGCATTACATTCAGTCATATACCCCTTGGGGTACATCTGTCTTTTGGATGTGACATGAGATAATTAATGTGTAAATAATAATTAGAATGCTTGGTACAGAGCAAGCAGTTAATAACTGCTGGTTTCTATCTTTCTTTAATAACCTTTTGACCAGTAAAGATGGTTCAGAAAATATTATGTAATTCATTTTCAGCAATTATGATCTAATGAGTTATGATGACCTGATGTCCTTGCTTCATTTGGTGGCTCACGTAGTATAGCCAAAATATGAGTGTGAGATGGCTCTAAACCAAAGACAATACTTCAAATGACTCCTGCTGTCAAGCCACTTGGATGGAAGCATCTTTTTCAGCTGTGCCCCAACTTGGATTAATTTTTTATAATATAGGCCACATGATCTCAATTTTAGTGGCAGGGATACATCTTGTTGAAGCTCCCTAGCAACTAGCTAATGTTTGCAGCTTCTCCAAGCTATTGTCTCAATTTTGCTGCTGCTGTGGTTGCCACTCGCTTATCTGGACTGACTGGTGACCAACATAGTCCCCAGCTCTCTTCTGAATTCCACCAAATAATCATGATAGCTGGCTGGGTGCGCTGGCTCAAGCCTGTAATCCCAGCACTTTGGGAGGCTGAGGTGGGTGGATCACAAGGTCAGGATTTCGAGACCAGCCTGGCCAACATAGTGAAACCCCATCTCTACTAAAAATACAAACGACTAGCTGGGCATGGTGGCAGGCACTTGTAATCCCAGTGACAGGAGGCTGAGGCAGGAGAATCACTTGAACCTGGGAGGTGGAGGTTGCAGTGAGTCAAGATCGTGCCACTGCACTCCAGCCTGGGTGACAGAACAAGACTCTGTCTCAAAAAAAAACAAACAAACAAACAAAAAAAAACATGATAGCCTCCCAACTTGGTGTAATGTTAATGTGTGTCCTATTGTGCATGCTGGGACCATTTTCAGTGAGAGATTTATGTGGCACTGACTCAGCAAAGACTGACTTTTGTGATAAAATGAACTAATATTTATTTAGTGCTTTGCAGGTTAAAATTACTTCTCATTTATTGTCTCATTTCATCCTTACGTTAACCCAGTGAAGTAGATCCAGCAAATGTTTTTATCTTTTTTTTACCCATAAGATTAAAGAATATCGTTTGAGAATATTCTTACACTTTAATTTTTTTTTTTCCTGCAGGTGAAATGTCCAGCTGTTAAGTGAATTGGTATGGTATGGTGGCTAGTTCCAAATGAAATGGCTAAGCTTCACCCCTTTGAACACTCAACTTCTCAGGTAATACTTTGGAGGTATAACTGCATGTAGTTGGGATGTTGTAATGGTATGAGTGTTTTATGTATTGATGCTTTGTGCTTTGAACCGGTTTCTTCCAACAAGCTGTTGTGTTGCCTGCCCTTGGAATAATGCAGTTTCTTCATGAATAAGTCACATTAAACATGCACAGGAATTTTTTTTAGCAACATCAACTGTGATATTATTATAATCTTAAAGGAGGAGTGGCAATTTGTGAACAACAACTTTGGCAAAAGGCCTTGTGAAAAATTGAGAATCACTTGTTTATTATTGTTCTTTTAAATCCTCTCAAGTCTCTGCCAAAAAGAGACTTAAATATTTGTTGCATCCAGTAAATATCTGTTGAATAAATGAGTGAATGAATTATAGAAGGCAGCATTATAGATTGATTGATACACCACAGTTGAAATGGACAACAGTGTATCCTGTGCATTGACTAAACTGGACCATTGACCAATTCTTGAATGTTTCCAGCACCTTCCCACCCCATGCTTTTGGTCACTCCATTTCTTTAATCTGTAATGTCCTTTCCATCTCTGTGTATCAAAATTCTACCCAGCCATTGGACTAGATCAAAAGCTATTTTTTTCTCCATTTCTCCTGAAGCCTTTGTGGCTTTTTCCATTGCCAGAGCTGGAAATGACTATATCTCAAAAAGTTCCCATTGCTCATGTCTTTTTTGGTACTTAGTATATTTTCCTTGGAGAGCACATACATTATTATTTCCTGGTAAAGCATATGCATTATATATTTCTCTTTAGAATGTAAGTTCTCAAAGAACAGACTGTACTGTATTCATCTTTGCAACACACACACACACACACACACACACACACACACACACACACACGTATTTTAGCAGGGTGTTACATCTGCTAATTTCTCAACCTATTTTGTTGAATTAATTAGGTTATAGGGATTTAACTATTCTTTCTATATTGTAATACCTATAGTTAAAATTCTTATCCTTCATAAAATTTTTCAAAAAGGTGCTGACAAATAGGAAAAACATTGAAATTTGATTTTCTTTGACAATTTAAAGCCTCTGATAGAAATACAAACAACTAGTAGAATGGACAAGGCCTTGAGAGAATTAAGTTTTTAAAAGACACAGAGCAGATAAACTTGTTTTGATTAGTTAGGGATGAACAGAATCACTACGAGAATCATTGATACTTACTCTAAAAATCTAGTGAGCTAATATAGCATTTTTCTTCAGAGGAGGGCAAAATGTTAATTTTTTGAAGTTTTCTGCTTTGGAATTGAGCACGTGTCTCTTCAGTAGTGTCCAGATTTTTTCATAACGTTGCAAATCAAAACAACGATGTCAAAACAATCCTAGAATTATTTCTAGACCCAGTAATGGAACTGACAATAAGTATCAGGGGTTTGCCTGGGTTGGGGGTGGGGCCAGTGTGGAATGCGTTATTTCTCCCTTACTGTCATTCCAGGCAGTTGCCAATTTGGGCTGATTATTTATAGATGACTCTGCAGTGTGACAGGCAGTTCTCCAAGTGAAGCCTCAGGCAGTGAGGTCCTGAGGAAATAGGAAAGACCTGCACATTCCATAGAGCAATGGGGAAGGAACTGCGGGGCAGCCAGAAGCAGTCTTCCCCCAGAGCCCCCTCCTTGTTTTTTCCTTTTAACACAAATGTTCCCGGGGGGTTGCAAAACACTGATTCCTTTTAAAAGGTGTTATAGTAAATTCCCTAGTGGAAGCCTCCTTCCCTACAGAGACAAGCATTAGAGCCCTCAGAAATCTGGGTTACTGACTTGGAAACCAAATAATTGGGGATAAATGAATGGACGAGAGTAAAGAGGCTCCACATAAAAGGAATCCCTTCCGACAGCATCTTTCATGCTGGGGGACATTAGGATGCCAATAGACGCAGCCCATGGGTTTGGGTTGCCAGGTAACCAGGGTACCCGCAGATTTCCATTTTTACTTTATTTCCGATTCAGGAAAGCCTCGTTTCATACAGAGGAAGGGAAGAACACCTCTCCCCCACCCCGCTTATTTAGGTCTAACTAATAACATTCACCTGTTGGTAGCTAAAATGTTTCAGAGGACGCAGTTGTTTTTAAACATTTAAGCTGTTAGAAAATCAACAGGA
Source organism: Homo sapiens (assembly GCF_000001405.40). Taxonomy (NCBI): domain Eukaryota; kingdom Metazoa; phylum Chordata; class Mammalia; order Primates; family Hominidae; genus Homo; species Homo sapiens. Next base: position 113,693,287 of record NC_000005.10, read on the forward strand.
AACATCGGGATGAAAACGGGAGGGTGGTAACGTAAAGGGCAGCGGTGTTCCTGCTTGGTATTCAGGCAGCCAGTGGAAAAACCCCACGCGTCCCCCCTGGGGTTTCTCAGTTGGCCTGAGCGCATTAATCCTGCTTCAACAATTCAAGCTCTTCTGCCTCCTTGCTGTGAATTTCCTTGCCTCTAGAAAACATTCATGACATACTGAGGAGACTCACCCCATTTGCTTGCTTTTGTTTCTTTAAAAGCTTATTGGTAACCCATTCTTTTCTAATAAAAATAATCAGCCTTTTATGTGTAATTTTGCAATGCAATAAAACCAAACAGAACATTCTCCACTCCAATCCTGTCAAGCAATATGGGGCTAAGTAGTTTTCTTCCCGTTTGATAGAAAAGCAGCCGAATTGAAGAACATCTGAAATTCAATGGAACAAAGGCTAAATAAGCCTGCAGCCCAACATGTGGTTAGAAATGATCTGTTTGGATAGTGTTTATGTCTCTTGAAAATATAGCTGGGTGTGTAAGTGTGTGAGTGTGTGTGTACTGTTGGTGTTTTGTCGTGTTTATCCATCTGGACCCTGGACAGGAAGCTTGCCAAATTGTCCCTTTAGTGCGGCAATGTGCCCTTTAGTGTGGCAATCGGGTTGAGGCTGAGCTGTTTAAGGCTTATCAGCCACAACACTAATATTTTTCTTCTAAGGCAGATAAAAGTCTAGGAAGACTTACTGGGAAGTTTCCACAATTCTGGGTGTTGAGTATGAGTGGTGCTGGAAAGACAGATCTTCAATCTGCAGTCTTTTCACACTGCCGGCCTAGGAAGTTTTTGTCTTTAAAATCTGTCATTTTTCCAAGCTCTTACGAATGAAGGCCAAAGCAAAATGAGCCTTGGTCTGGCTGACAACTGTCATTAGCACTTTGAATAATTAACCCCTGACAGATCAATGAGATGATTTTCCATCAGAAAAACTTGGACATTTAAAAGATTGAACTAAAATGAGCAGAGTACAATAGTTTAGTGCAATTCCTAAAGTTGCTAATAATCTATAAAAGTAATTTTGGTTGAATTAGTAAAGCCTGCTAGCAGACTATTAACCCTAGTGTTTGCATGTTTTCAGATGCCTTTAGTTGCTGAGTCTTCAATGTTAGAGATGCTGTTTGGGTTAGTTATACATTACTCAAGGGAAACCAACAGTGCATATTCATGGTCTCAAATTACAGTACATTATAAAATGTTATTTCTTCCCTAACATTTCTATACAGTTGAAATCTGGGCAAGATGAGCATCAAGGGTAATGCTGAAGGGAAAAAGATGCCACACAAAAAAGCAAAAAAAAGTTCTGAAATGGTATTTGGGCAGGGCTGGCTGCATTCCATAGTCTTCTAGGAGAAGGAGAGGAAAAGAAAATAATTGTGGTTATTTTTATGTGTTTATGTGTATTTGCATACATATACATATTTGTTTGCAGGCATAAATATGAATATGTAAGCACATGTACAAACCTCATTTTTAGCGTGAAGGAATACCACTACATTCTCCTCCAGTTCTCTTTCATAGTTTGGATGCCACTGAATCTAGGCAACTGGAGTCACCCCAGTTGGTCCTACTGCAGGAATGTGTGTCTGTGGAATAGTCAGGAAGAGTAGGAGATGTACTTTTCGGCATGTAGCATATCCTCAATAAAGGTGTGATTTTTCTGAATTATGAGTGAGAAGGGAGGGGTGGGGAGAAGAGAAGCAGGAGAGCCAAAGCATAAGCTACTGTTCTGATAAAAAGTGAAAATATTGGCCCACAGGGAGTGAAAATGCTGGAACTAGGATTTGCAGATCCAGAGACTAAAACGTGACTTTAAATCAGACTGACTGCATCTGCCCATTTTGATGGTGAAGACCCCGTGGGAAAGACTTTTTGATAAATGAACAGGCATTAGTCTTATGACATTTCTCCAACATCCTGCAGTCATCTTGATGGCCACACCTCACTTTTCTTTACTGTCTGCTACTCCTTTGCTTCACTAAAAGCAGAAAAGGTGAATAATTTTCATTCCAAGGTGAGTTCAATTTAAAGTCTCTCCTCTCCTTTTTGAGCTCCAATCAGCAGGGAAATGATTTTATTTAGAATAATTATTAGAAGAATTATTCATAATTCTTCAGAAAGCCAATTTCATAGCATGTAAATGTTGAGTGCAGGCTGTCAGATCCAGTTATGCTGTGACTCCCAAGGATCCTTTCAAGGTTGTGTCCAGTAGCAGGATTTATGTCACAGGACGTTTTTGTCTTATTTATATGTATTACATTGTTTATGCTGCTAAGTTGCAAAAATGGTATTTACTTTCTAGTGATTTACAGTATCTTGCCCTTTTAAAGCAAGCTCTGGTTTTGGTGTAATGTGAGGTTTTGTTTAGGAATAAAATCATGTGGCCTGGAAGAAGTAAAGATGTCTACAGTACTTTGATTTGGTTTACTGTCATGTCTGGTTTCCTCAGCAGGCTCTTGGTCAAAGTATGCATGGGGTGGTGGATGGAAGCTGAAGAAAAGTGATAATGGAATGTAATTTGTCCTTGTTTCCCAATGACTTGGATGGATGTCAGCAAGTTCTTTCCTAATGGAAAAAAGATGGCTGAACCATCAAGCTTTTAGGAGTGCTTTAAATCATTGATCTGTTCTTCCTAAGAAATTATGTCCCACAGGTGCCTACAAATGGGGAGGAAACAATGGGGGGCAACTTACCACTTATCTCCTCTATTCACATGCTCACAGAGAGGGCAATTTGCGAATCAGTTCTATGTGTGCTCTTGAATAGATAGGATTGGGTCATACCCCTCATGAGTATTCAGGAGGGAATTGGAGGAGAGTTTGAGAGCCTATATCTTAGGAAGTTTAAAATGTTTCAAAAAAAATCACAAAATTGTTGCATCAGAAATTACCACTTTCAGCTGGACATGGTGGCTTGTGCCTGTAATCCCAGTGCTTTGGGAGGCCAAGATGGGCAGATCACCAGGTCAGGAGTTCAAGACCAGCCTGGCCAACATGGTGAAATCCCATCTCTACTAAACATACAAAAATTAGCCAGGCATGGTGATGGGCATCTGTAATCCCAGTTACTCGGGAGGCTGAGGCAGGAGAATTGCTTGAACCTGGGAGGTGGACGTTGCAGTGAGCTGAGATTGTGCCATTGCTCTCTAGCCTGGGCAACAAGAACAAAACTTCATCTCAAAAAAAAAAAAAAAAAAAAAACAACCCAGAAATGACCACCTTGAAAATTGTCTGTGAGGTATCAGAGAAAGTATTATGGCCTTTCCTGCTTAGAGGCACAAGAAACTGTGGAAACCAATGTATATGGCTGCTGAGCTTCAAAGAAAATTGCTGTCAATAAGTGCCATGTGCATCAATTATGAAATCATAACATGTCTGAAGTGGAAGAGACCTTTCGAATCATTTAACCTAGCTCTTTCATTCTACTCTTGAGGAAATTTAAATCTTATGCCAATTGGGGTAAATTTGTTTTCCACTTCTTATAAATCTGGTTCAATTACAGGAAATGAGAGCACATACTTTAAGTGCCTTTCAGCATCTGAGTGTAGCTTCTCAGATTGTTGAAAGTAGAAAGGAATGTGGCGGATCTCTTTCTAGAGATTCAGTGCACGAAATATTTCTTTGCAAGAGTTATTGGTCAATTGTAAACTAATTAATCAGTGTTTCCCATAGATCCTTAGTATTTCTTCATCCACTTCACTTCCCTCAAAAGAAAAAAAAGGAGGGTCTATATTATAGTTTTTTTTATGCTTAGAATAGGAAAGTATCAATTTTTAATAAAAATAATATTATATTTTATCAAAAATTGTTTTTTTGTCTCATGACAGCTATCTAGAGAGATTTCAAAGTCTTAACTTGAGTACATGTAGTAATTGGGAGGTATTATTAGGTTAATTAGAAGCTGTGCCTCTTAATGACCCAAAATTATTCAGGAGAAAAAAATTATAAGAGAAGAGAGAGTACAGGGAGAGAATTGTCGTCTCTCAAAGCTTTTCTCCTTTGAAAGTCATATTATTGTTATAGCAATATTTGCTTATGCTCTTGTTGGAAATTTTCATTATGCCTGCTTTGTTTCAGCTGTATTAAGTGAATAGTGATGGATTTATCAAAATATTTTCTGTTCATTGACTAAAAGCTAAAATATTAATACAAACCAGTTTGGACCCTGACATTAGTTAATGCAGCTCCTCGAAATCTAGTCCTCTCCAGTACTCTTTCTCCCTCTGAGACTGAATGGCTTCTTCTGGTCCCCATTGCTGGATCCTTTTCTTCTGCCTACTCCTGTTGTGTTGCTAGACCTGGGTGCTGTGTGCATGATTTAGCACTTTCCTGGTCTACACCTTTGTCATGAGCTCCTGCTGCGTCACCAGCCTCTCAGACTCTACCTAAATTGAATTTATTATATTCCTCCCCAACTTGCCCAAATCTGTTCCTAATTTCTGTAAATGGCCACAAAGTCCTCTAAGCTAGAAATAGATTCATCAACTTTGACTCTTCCCTCTCCCTCATACTGCAAATCCATTCAGTCATCAAATCCTGTAGATTCTATCTCCATAACTCTTTTAAATCTATCTCCTCCTTTTCAATTCTGCCAGTGCTCCTGTTGATCCCTTGTTCTATTTTTGACCCATGCTGCTTAGGCTACTTCAATCTCTGGCAACTCACTCAGGGCATCAGGAGCAGGAATATTTCTCTTTCTCTGTCTTTGGTTTCTTCCATGCAGGGAAACCAACTAGTACACTAAGCATGGTATTGTGGATACGGTTTGTTATATATGTTGAATGGATTGGAATCCTTTATAGAATCAACAGAGCTACAGTGCCTCAAAACTTCTCAAACACATTGACAGTTTCCATCTGGGACTCTCCTGGTAGTCTTACAGAGTCACCTACTTGTATATAATATTCTATTTCTAATTTCTTATATTTTCATATTTAACAAATGATGTGGCTTGGTGATCCAGGCATCCTTTATTGGCACCTACTTAGCTGTTCCTTGGTCATACCCTCTGTATTAGTTCATTTTCATACGGCTGTGAAGAAATACCTGAGAGTGGGTAATTTATAAAGAAAAAGAGGCTTAATGGACTCAAAGTTCCATATGGTTGGGGAGGTGTCACAATCATGGTGGAAGGCAAAGAAGGAGCAAAGGCATGTCTTAAATGGTGGTAGGCATGTGCAGGGGAGCTGCCCTTTATAAAATCATTAGATCTTGTAAGACTTATTCACTATCACAAGAACAGTATGGGAAAAAATACACCCTGATGATTCAGTTATCTCCCACTGGGTCCCTCCTATGACATGTGGGGATTATGGGAGTTACAATTCAAGATGAAATTTGGGTGGGGACAGAGCCAAACCATATCATTTTGCCCCTGGCCCATCTGAACTCTCATGTCCTCACATTTAAAAACCAATCATGCCTTCCAAATAGTCCCCCAAAGTCTTAACTCATTTCAGCATTAACTCAGAAGTCCACAGTCCAAAGTCTCATTGGAGACAAGGCAAATCCCTTCTACCTATGAGCCTGTAAAATCAAAAGCAAGCCAGTTAGTTCCTAGATACAATGGGGGTACAGGCATTGGGTAAATATACCTGTTCCCAATGGGAGAAATTGACTGAAATGAAAGGGCTACAGGTCCCATGCAAGTCTGAAAACCGGTAGGGCAGTTATTAAACCTTAAAGTTCCAAAATGATCTCCATTGACTCCATGTCTCACATCCAGGTAACACTGATGCAAGAAGTGGGCTCCCATGGCCTTGGACAGCTCTGCCCCTGTGGCTTTGCAGGGTATAGCCCACCTCCTGGCTGCTTTCATGGGCTGTTGTTGAGTGTCTGCAGTTTTTCCAGGTGCATGGTGCAAGCTGTCAGTGAATCTGCTGTACTGTGGTCTGAGGACAGTGGCCGTCTTCTCACAGCTCCACTAGGCAGTGCCCCCATGGGGACTCTGTGTGAGGGCTCTGACCCTACATTTTCCTTCCACATTGCCCCAGCAGAGGTTCTCCATGAGGGCTCTGCCCCTGCAGCACACCTCTGCCTGGACATCCAGGCATTTCCATACATCCTGTGAAATCTAGGCGGAGGTTCCCAAACTTCAATTCTTGTCTTTTGTGCACCGGCAGTCCAAACACCACATGGAAGCTGCTAAAGTTTGAAGCTTGCACCCTCTGAAGCAATGGCTTGAGCTATACCTTGGTCCCTTTAGCCATGGCTGGAGTGGCTGGAACACAGGGCACTAAGTCCCCAGGCTGCACACAGGAGGGGGGCCCTGGACCCAGCCAAGGAAACCATTTTTTCCCTCCTATGCCTCAGGGCCTGTGATGGGAGGGTCTGCCGTGAAGGTCTTTGACATGGCCTGGAGACATTTTCCCCATTGTCTTGGTGATTAACATTTCTCTCCTCATTACTTATGCAAATTTCTGCAGCCAGCTTGAATTTCTCCCCAGAAAGTGGGGTTTCTTTTCTATCACATCATCAGGCTACAATTTTCCAAACTTTTATGCTCTGCTTCCTCTTGAACTCTTTGCCACTTAGAAATTTCTTCCACCAGATACTCTAAATCATCTGTCTCAAGTTCAAAGTTCCACAGATCTCCATTGTCTTCTGGGAGCCTTTGAGACCTCCCTGCACCTGCTTCTCCCACAGTAGAGTTGTCCACTCTAAGTCCCCACTATACTTCACATGTTTCTCAGTAGCATTAGGTAATACCATCATCGAACTTAACTGAAGCTCACCTTAGAAAGCCCCTGGGTTCCAGGCTCCATTCTAAGCACTTTACATAAACCACTTGCTTGGTTATGTATCCGTCTCCCCTATGGGACTGCAAGCCCTTTAAGGACAGGAAAGTCTTAACAATATTTTAAAGGTTTTTATTTTTAATTATACAAGTAATAGACACAATTAGAGGAGAAATGCCTTTCCCACAACAAATTCTAACTACTTGCGTCTGTATCAATAGACTCTGTTTTCCATCTGCTTTTGTATCTAAGACTGATCCCTCAGCTTGTGCCCTGGTGCCTGCTCTCCCTTTCCTTTTCAGGGATTACTTTTCTACAATTATTTGCTTTCTTCCTTGCATCTTCTAGTGCAGTGGTAAAGAGCTCATATTGTCAGTTTTCAAATCATAGTTCTATAACTTGCTAACAATGTGACTTTAGGCACATTTATTGACTTTTCTTTGTCTCAGTAACTTTGCCACTGAGTCAGTGATACTTTTGACAATTAAATGAGCAGTACAAGAAAGTATGTGTGCCAGTGCTTGGCACAGTGTAAATGCTGAATAAATATAAATTAGCATATTATTAAAAATCATTTGCAATTGCATGTAATATGGCTTGTTATCATGCATTAACAAATATCCTTTGGGTTGATGTTTCCCTCTGGACACTGCCCTATTTTCATCTCTGCTTCATACAAAAATTGCTTTAAAGAGTTGCCTGTATGCTCTGTGTCATTCTCATTTTCTTTCTCTGCCTAACTCTTTGGAATGGGGCTTTTATCCAAAGCTGTTTACTGAAGCAGCTCTTGTCACGCTTACGAAGGTCACCAATGATTTATATTATGTCAGAGTCAATTGTCAGTTCTCTCTCCTTGTCCCAGTTGACCTCTCAACAGCAGTTGACATGGTTGATGAAATGCTTTCTTCTTTAGGCTCCAGTGACCCTGTAAGTCTGTTTTCCCCCACCTTTTGGGCCCCTGTTCCTCAGTCTTACTGCTGGCTTCTGTCCTTTCCTCTATCAGACCTCTGAAAGTAGAAGTCTATCAGTCTGGTTGTGTTTTTTTCTCTGTCTATGTTCTCATCCTATGTGATCTGACCTAGCTTGAGATAACATTTATGTGCTGGTAAATCCTCAGATTTATATTGCCAGCGCAAATCTCTTCCTGGGGCTCCTCAACTTAGATATTGAACTGATTATTGGACATTATGACAGGGATATCTAATACATATCTTGGATATAGCATTCCCCAAATAGAACTATTAACTCCTGTCCTTCAAAATTGCCCTTCCCCCTAAGTAAATGGCACCACCCTCCATACTAGCCTCAAGCTGAGTAATCATCCTGGATTTCTCTCTTATCTTCCTGCCCTATTCAAGTCCCCATCATCTCTCTTTGCATTATAGTCCCTGATGTTACTTTTGTACTCCTGCTGTTAATCTTCCTGAGTGATAGTTCTAAAACACATATCAAATCATGTCACCCTTGCTTAAAACACTCTAAAGCTTCTATTATGCATAGAATAAAATTCAGTCTCCTTGACATAGTATACAAGGCTTCCCATGTTCTTGTTCTTTCCTACTTCTGGGACCTCATCTTCTGCTTTCTTGCTTGCTCTCTTCTCTATAAGTTTACTGGATTTATTTGACCTTCATCATGCCACTCTCATTCCAGTATCAGGGCGTCTGCACTGTTATCCTTCTGTAGGAATGTTCTTTCCTACAGATCTTAACATGGACGCTTCCTTCCCATCATACAGGTATCAAGTGAAATACAGTAATAAGTATTAACAGAATTGCCTATATTTAGAATTCTTAATTGTAAAATTCTAGCTCTTTTATTGATCTGTATTTTATTTTTGTAATTGTTAGGAAGTAGAAGTCTAACTTAATTTTATCTTCCAATTCAGTCTTTTGTTACAATAGCATTTATTTAATAGACAACTATTTTCTCCACTGACTTGAAATGCCAATATCTGACATCTAGACTGCTTGTACAATATTTCTTGTGAAAGAATTGTTGAATGTACTTAGGAATCTAGGCCTGGATTTCACAGGATAGCCAGTAATTCCTGTGGATTGTGGTCAAGGTTTACATTTGATTGAAAATTACTCTGCCTTCACAAAATTTTTATTTTACATTGGCATCATTATCCAGAGAAATTTATTAATGAACAACTATTACTATCTTGTGAATATTACCTTTTATAAGAAATATTTGACTGGGTGTGGTGGCTCATGCCTGTAATCCCAGCACTTTGTGAGGCCAAGGCGGGTGGCTCACCTGAGCTCAGGAGTACAAGACCAGCCTGGCCAACCTGGTAAAACCCCATCTCTACTAAAAATACAAAAAATTAGCTGGGCGTGGTGGTGGGGACCTCTAATCCCAGCTACTTGGGAGGCTGAGTCAGGGGAATCACTTGAACCGGGGAGGCGGAGGTTGCAGTGAGCCGAGATCATGCCACTGCACCCAGCCTGGGCAACAGAGTGAGACTCCATCTCAGAAAAAAAAAAGAAAGAAAGAAATATTCAAGTTAAAATCCTAGGGGTTTGAAATTAACTGAAATTCCCTTCATCCTAGTTTTGAGTCTCCTCATTTGTAAAGTAACTTTTATAGCCCATTTAGCTGCTATCAGTGCTGTAACTGTAGACTTGGGCTTCTTAAAACTTCCTCCCTTATAATTTTTGAATGAAGTCTCCTCATGTACACTGATATCAAAGATATTCTACAGTTTCCATACTACATTCTTTGGTCTAGAAATTAGAGTGTAGAAATTCAACTGTTTCTAGGGTTTTTGTTTTGTTTATTTTGGAAAAACATTTGTCCACATCAAAGGCAGCATTTGTTATTAGCACTTTGAGGTTGTAAAGTTTTCCTCACATCCAACTTTGTTTCCTTTTTACTTCAGTTGCTATGTTTCTTTTTAAATATATGACCAGAGAAAATGTTGATAATAGTGAATACCTTGGGAGTATACTGGAGTTGTGCAAATTTTACTCTTTTTCTCCTTATTAATGATGCAAATTTCTGATCTTTGGAACTGAAATGCAGAAATACCAATGGTTGCTCAAGGTCATTAAAAATAGCATTGTGAATTTGCATTCTATTTGGACAGTTTCCATATCGAAAGGCTCAAAATGCTCTACTGTGTGACTCGCCTTTTGCCCTCTAAGAAAAAGGTCTAAATATTTTAAATGGAAATAGCAAGGCTATTATGTAGGAAGTGTGATTATAAAGCAGAATGTCATTTTGATAACAGAAAGCAAGAAAACTCCTGAACAGAGCCTGGCTTCCCTATTCTTAGTGCTAAATAAATAATGCATTTTTCAAAGCCTGCATCTTTGGATGCAAATCCAGTTTTTTTGGTGAAGAAGAAAGACATTTCAACTCTATTATTGGTCTTTGGACTGTTTCTGTTTTCCACCAATTCTGAAATTGCAGTCAATTAGATACTTCTTCTCATGACAGATTGGAAACCAGAAGGGAGCTTTATGAATTCAAACAGAGAAATTTGAGCTAAAATGTCTTTAAAATATTTCTTTACACATTTTCTCTTTAGAATTTACAGAGTACATTAATTTTCTGACATAATTAATGATGAGATGTTATAGGCTTAGCCTTATGTAAAGTTAATAGTAGGCATGCTTTATTTTTAATCCTTAACTACTTTTAGATTTAAATATTTATTTTAACAATTTGCATTCTGTTATGCAATTGGTAGACTGGTTGGAATGAGACCTCTTATAACTAGAACCCACATCTCCTTGACTATTAATTCCTAGTTTCTTCAACTTGATCCCTTGTTGAAAATCTATGACAGCTAAACTTTTTTGGAGTTTGTAGCACCATTTGGACCTCTTCTAAGTCCATAGTGTGAAAATGATACATTTCTTTTTATGGTTGGGAAAAACTCCCATTTCAATATCTTCATTTTGAAATAGACATTTTAAACCCAATAAGTATCAATCTGGGAAGGCAGTGCTCATGTTTGAAACATTTAGTGGATGGGGAATTTGGTGGACGCTGTTTTGATGCCCTGCCCAGATCTAAAAATGTTTTTGAAATACTTTGCATATTTTCTCCTTAGAATTTACATAGTACATTAATTTTCTGATATAATTAATTATGAGATATTTTAGGCTTAGCCTTATGTAAAGCTAATAGTAGGCATGCTTTACTTTGAATCCCTATCTATCTAAAAATTTATATATTTATTTTAATCATTAATTTAAATCTCTGATTCAGATTCTGCTTCTAGAGAACCTGACCTATGATGGTTGGTACCAGATGAGGGGAACTGGGAAGAATACTGTAAGGGATTCTGAAGTTGGATAACTTCCCAGGTAATTAGCAGTGAGTCCCTATCACCAGTGATAGGTGAAGTACTGATAGCCCCAGGCTTGTAGAAACAGTGAAGTTGCTAAGCCTTTTACTTGTAGTGAACTGGGATGGGATACAGGTGGGAGAGAGACTGGTTTGTGTAGTACCTCTGGCATTTGAGATGTGAAGGAGCAATAGCATTACAAGGACTTAATTGGGTGTCTGTTGCTGAATGCCCTTCATGCTCATGGCAATCACTCATTGTATTAGTTCTTTCTCACTCTGCAATAAAGAAATACCCAAGACTGGGTAATTTATCAAGAAAAGATATTTAATTGGCTCATGGTTCCTCAGGCTGTACAGAAGCATGATTCTAGCATCTGCTTGGTTTCTGGGGAGGCCTCAGGAAGCTTTCAATTATGGCGGTTGTGAAGTAGAAGGAGGCACATCTTACAGAGCTGGAGCAAAGGGAAGAGAGAGAAGAGGCAGGTGCTATACACTTTTAAGCAACCAGAGCTCATGATAACTCACTCACTCACTATCATGAGAACAACCCCAAGAGAATGGTGCTAGCCTATTCATAAGAACTCCACCCCATGTTCCAATAACCTCCCACCAGGCTCCACCTTTAACACTGGGGATTATAATTAAACTTGAGATTTGGGTGTAAACACAGATCAAAACCATATCATTCCATCCCTTGGCCCTCTCAATTCTCATGTCCTTCTTACATTGCAGAATACAATCATGCCTTCCCAACAATCCCACAAAGTCTTAACTCATTCCAGCATTAACTCAAAAGTCCAAGTTCAAAGACTCATCTGAGACAAGGCTAGTCTCTTCTGCCTATGAGCCTGTAAAACCAACAACAAGTTAGTTATTTCCAAGATTTAATGGTGGTGTAGGCATTGGGCAAATACTCCCATTGCAAACTGAAATTAGCCAAAAGAAAGGGCCTACAAGCTCCATGCAAGTTCAAAACCCAGCAGAGCAGTCATTAAATATTAAAGCTCCACAATAATCTCGTTTGACTTCATGTCTTATATCCAGGCCACACTGATGTGAGGGGTGGGCTGCCAAGGCCTTGGGAAGCTCTGCCCTTGTGGCTTTGCAGGGGTCAGCCCTCATGGCTGGTCTCATGGGCTGGTATTGAGTGCCTGTGGCTTTTTTTCCAGACACAGGATGCAAGCTGTTGGTTGATTTACCATTCTGGGGTCTGGAAGACAGTGGCCCTCTTCTCTCAGCTCCACTAGGCAGTGCCCCAGTGGGGACTCTGTATGGAGGCTCCAACCCCACATTTCCCCTCTGGACTGCCCTAGTAGAGGTTCTCTCTGAAGGCTCTACTCCTGCAGCAGGCTTCTGCTTGGATACTCAGGCTTTTCCAAGGCTTATGGCTTGCACTTTCTGAAGCGGTGACCCGAGATGTACCTGGGCCCCTGTGAGCCATGGCTGGGGCTGGGGTGTCTGGGACACAGGCAGCAGTGTCCTGGGGTTGCACAAGACAGGGCAGCGGGGCCCTAGGCCTTGTCCAGGAAAGCATTCAGTCCTCCTATGCCTCTGGGCCTGTGATGGGAGAGCTGCTGTGAAGGTCTCTGAAATGCCTTGAAGCCCTTTTCCCCATTGCCTTGGATATTAGCACTTGGCTCATCTTTACTTATGCAAATTTTTGAAGCCTGTTTGAATTCCTCCCCTGCCTCTGGACTTTTCTACCACATAGCTGGGCTGCAAAGTTTTCAATCTTTTATGCTATGCTTCCCCTTTAACTATAAGTTTCAGCTTTACTTCATTTCTTTGCTCACACGTATGAGCATAGGCTGTTAGAAGCAGCCAGGCCACGCCTTGAATGCTTTGCTACTTAGAAATTTCTTCCACCAGATACCCTAAATAATCTCTCTCAAGTTCAAAGTTCCACAGATCCCTAGGGCAGGGGCACAATCCAACCAAACTCTTTGCTAAAGCATAACAAAAGTGACCTTTACTCCAGTTCCCAGTAAATTCCTCATTTCCATCTGAGATCTCCTCTGCCTGGACTTCATTGTTTATATGACTATGACTTGTTGAATGGTTGTGACATTTTGGTTGTCACAAATTTGGAAATTCCAAATTTTCCCTCCTGTTCCTGTCTTCTTCTGAACCCTCCAAACTTCTCCAGTCTTTGCCTGTTACCCAGTTCTGAAGCCACTTCGACATTTTCAAGTATCTTTATAGCAGTGCCCCACTCCTCAGTACCAATTTTCTGTATTAGTCCATTACTGCACTGCTATAAAGAAATACCTGAGACTGGGTAATTTATAAAGAAAGGAGGTTTAATTGGCTCATGTTCTGAAGGTTGTATAGGAAGCATGGCAGCATCTGCTGGGGAGGCCTCAGGGAGCTTTTAGTCATGGCAGAAAACAAAGTGGGAGCAGGTGTGTTATGTGGTGGAAGTAGGAGGACGGGGTGCAGGGGGAAGGTGCTACACACTTTTAAACAACCATGTCTTGTGAGAACTCACCATCGTGAAAACAGCATTGAGGGGAGGGTGCTAAACCATTCATGAAGAATCCACCCCAACAATGCAATCACCTCCCATCAGGCACTACCTCTAACACTGGGGATTACAATTTGACATGAGATTTGGTGGGGACATAGATCCAACCATATCAATTGCCAACTAAAATTCAAGTGTGAGAGTCATAGGGCCTCCTCAGCAAAATTTAAAGAGATCCTCCTGTCCTGCTGCTTGAGGAATGACAGGGTTAAAGACAGGTCTCAGGACTCAATTTTACGAATGACAGATCTTTGAAAAAGGCTGAATTCTTGGCCTTTCAAGTCTTCTATGAGAAAGTTAGATCCCTATTAGGGAGGGATTGAAACTCTGAGATTTGGGATGGAGATAACTGAGTAGATGTACGAGAATAACTGGAATCCCAGATTCCTCTGAACTCTTGAGACTCTTGTAGTCCCCCTTGTTGGAATACAGAGTCCTTTGCTTGTTTGACTACTATGGAGAAGATGCATGTGATAGAAGTGCTTTCAGGACAATAATGGCCCTCTCAGCATCTGTCCCCATCTCTCTCCCTAGCCAGTAGACCAATACCTCAGGCCAAATCTCAGCATGACTCAACTGGGAAAAAGCTAAGCTTGCTGATAGAGGGGAGGAATTATATGCAAAAGGAGCTACATGGCCTGTCAAGATCCAGGAGAGTATGCCTGGGAGTGAAGTTGAGTGTGCTGGATTAAGGGAGATGGAATTTAAAGCTAAATAAGAACGATTAAAAAAATGGGATACTCTCTTTTGATACAGGATTTAACATTCTGGCAAAGACCCTGGAAAGCTAATTCTAATATTCTGCTGAGATGGGTCTTGGAAACTTGGAAAAAGTGATGACCCCCATTAAATTGATTAGGAATGCCCGAATGGTTATGGCTGACTTTGGAGAAGTTGCAATGAAGCCTCTCCCTCAGCTTATATCTATGATTTTGTGGAAGATTTCCTACAGTCAGCTGGTAAATGTGGGAAAACTTGAGCTTGGTTTATGGATGGTTAGTCTGGTATATTGGTGCAAGTGAAAATTGACAGCTGTTGTACTTCATCCCCACTCAAGAGTGGTTTTGAAAGACTGTGGTAAGGAGAAATAATTCTGGTTATGGGCAGTGCAAATGATTATCAATTGTGTAAAAGGAGAAGCAGCCAAAGGTAAGAATATATATGGATTCATGAGCAGTGGCAAATGGCTTAGCTGATTGGTTGGGGCTTGGAATAAGCAAGATTGTAAGGTAGGAGACAAGGAGTTTTCATGTAGTGACATGTGGATGGACACATGGGAGTAGGCATGAAGTGTGAATTTGTTGGTATCACAGGCTAGTTAGTATAAAACAGAAAGCATCTACTAGGCAAGAGTCATTAACTAACCAAGTGGACAGAATAACTGGCTAAGTGACTCTGAATTTGGCCACCCCAGCACTTTTGCAATGAGCTAATGAATGGAGTAACTAAGGTGGGAATACGAGGGACATATATGAACCCATTAGCACAGGGTCTCTCACATTCAGGCAGATGTAGCTGCTGTGGCTGAATGGTTGGTCTATCAACAAGAGTCTTATGCTGAATTCCTGAGATGGCAATATTCCTCAAGGTAAGCACCTAGGTACTTGGTGACAAATTGACTACATTAACCCCCTTCTACTGTGGAAAGGGCAACAATTCATTTTGAATAGATACATACTCTAGTTATGGGTTTGTCCTTTCCACCCATAAGGTCTCAATCAGAACCACTATCCAAGGGCTTAGAAGATGTTTGATTCACAAACATGGGATCCTGCATAACATCACATAGGACCAAGGGACGTGCTTCACAGAAAAAAAGGTGTGACAGGCAGCTTGTGACTGTGGGGTTTGGTGATCATACAGAAGCTACTGGATTCAAAGCATCAGCTGAGTCCTGCAGGAAAAAAATACTGAGATGAAGCAGGAGTGCAAGATGGTATTGGATTGGGGAATGCCTTTGAAAGATTAAAGGGGGATGCAACAAAATTGGACAGGGAAAGATTTTAGACTGGGATTCAATCTGACATCTGTGAAAAGAGGGGAGGAAGAAGGATTGGGAAGGAGAGCAAGACTCAGACCATAGTGTAGACCTTACAAAATCAACTGGGATCCCTAGAGAAATGGTTGCCCTTTAGAGTGCCACACTGGGCAGAGATGCTTTGTTGCTGGCTGATGGCTGCCAAGGAAAAGTGTAGCCTTGACTCAAAACTTGAGGCAGATCTTAAAGACATTAATAGCTGGAGGGTATTACCTAAATGCCTCCTTACAGCTGAGGAGCCTGTTATTTCTTAGAGGGAGATTTGAGTTGCATGTTTCTGTAGCTGCCACAGTCTACACCTTGTGCCATGTGGATCCACATGTTCAAGGGGCAGCTCTTTCAGAGTTCTAGTGGCCTCTCTTCATGAGGGGAAACTTAGAGAGGGAAAGTTAGTCAGATGATCTATTGCCCTAATAGCTGCAGTTGATCTTGGGGCTGTGAGTGGTACTCAGTTTTTCTTTTATAAAACCCATTCTATATTCTCTTGCTTTCAGCTACTATTTCTGTTGGCTTTGGTGGCTTACCTGGTGGGATGACCAAACTCTTCATTCCTGAGGAATCTGAGTCCCTGATAATTCTATTTTTCTCATGTTGGGCTGTTGCCCTTGTCTACTCACAGTTGAAACTGGGCAAAGGAATACCAAGAGATGTGAATTCAGTTGAATTCCACACACATTTCTCTTTTCCTTCACCTCCACCTGATAGAGTCTGTTACCCCTGCCACAATGGTGACTACTTTTCTTGTCTGTTATTCCCTGGACACAAAAAGTTCAAAGTGCCCATGTTGCAGTCATAACTTTTAGTTGAATAAGACCTTTGTTTTGTTCCCTGGCAAGAATGTGCCCCCATTGTGGACCCAAAGAGCCCAAAGCTGTGGAAACAGGAAGCATTAAATGCCCCAGTGGGACACTGGGACTGTAAGTGGGGCTATTTCTGTTTCTATGCCTTGGTTCCTGGATTCATATATTTTTACTGGGGCATAGAGGTCTCTAATTCATTGTGTATCCTACATCCTATTGGATGACACCCCACCTTCACAGAGTATTTCCTCTGAGATGGCACTGCAGCTTAAGGGGTCCCTTACATAGGGCAGGGGTGAAGCTCATGGTTGAATACAGTAAGTTTAAAGAAAAACTACATGCTGAGAACAGAGCTTCCAGTTTCTCCTTTCAGGACAGACTGATTCTCAGGACACCTACAGCCAAGGAGGAGATGAAAAGTTTCTTGTTAAAAGGTGCATGTATAGGTATTTGGGACTATCACTGAATATACAGCTCTCTGCTGATGGAGAGATCTCTTTTAAAACCAGATTATCTGATGTTTGAGCATTTAAAAAAGAACACTGGAAGACATTTGATAGATATGATGGAGAATGTGGGAAAAAATTAAGCATAGTACATGGAAAATGAAGGAAATGGAATTTTTAATGCTACCTACTACCTTGTAAATTTAATTATTTATTGTGTTTATTGTTTTCTACTGGAATGTCAAAGCCAAGGGGCCAGTGATCTTTGCTTGTTTGTTCACAATTGTATCCTAAGTGCTTAGAATAGAGCCTGGTACATAGGGGAGTTAAAGAAATACCAGTTGAACAGACGAACATTTTAAGCAAGCATAAACAAAAATACAAGCACTTAGCTCTGGGGGAATTTATATATAAAGGAAATCAAACTACATTAAACTCGAATTCAATAGTCACAATATAATACTATAAATCATGATTTTAATATTTATATTATAACTATGATAACATAGTGGAATATAAATATACAATTATGCAAAATATAAAAATTTTATAATAAATAAAATCAATATAATTTTAGTGTTTATATCATAATTATAATGAATTACTAATTTGATTAGGTAATATGTGGTTTTAGTATGATTATCATAATTTGCATATTGTACATTTTAACATATAATAAATATGATACAATTATAATTTTACAAAGTTTATATAACAAAGGAAATGAATTAATAATATACTTAACTCTCTAGTAAAATACTTTTACAAAATTCTGTTTAAATTTTTTTTGAAATTAACAGGTCAAATTGTATGTAGTTGCTATACACAACATGATATTTTGAAGTGTATATGCATTGTGGAATGGTTAAATCTAGCTACTTAACATATATATGCATTGCCTCACAGTTATCATTTTTGTAGTAAGAATACTTAACATTCACTCTTTTAGCTTTTTTCTAGAATACAATATATCACCATTCACTATAGTCACTATGCTGTACAGTAGATCTCTTGAACTTATTTCTACTATCTAAATGTAATTTTCTATCTTTTGACCAATATCTCTCCAATGCCACCCTTATGCTTTCCCCAGACTTTGGTAATCACCATTCTATTTTCTATTTCTATGGGGTCAATATTTTTAGGTTCCACATATGAATGAGATAATGCAGTATTTGTCTTTCTGTGTCAGGCTTATTTCACTTAATGTCCTCTAGGTTCATCCATGTTGTTGCAAATGACAAGATTTCCTTCTTTTTATGGCTAAATAGTATTCCATTGTATGTCTATACCACATTTTCTTTATTCATCCATTGATGGATGACACTTAGGTTAATTCCATATCTTGGCTATTGTGAATAGTTTCTGTAATAAACATATTTGGAGATTTGTGAAAAGATGGTGAAAATTTAAGAGCGCTAACTCATCACTTACCATGTTTTGAAGTCAATAGGTAATATTAAAAAAATTAAGTTAGAAAATAGCAGAATAAACGTATTATTTAGAAAGACGTAAGCAAATATTAGAAGAAACACTTTAAGTGGTTAAAATATTTGGTCCTGGAAACTCCAGAGGACATTTGAGAGGAAAGAGAGAAATGAGTGTTGTTTCTCATTATGAGCCTTTTAGTATATCTGATTTCTTCAACTGTGTGTATTACTTTGATAAAAGTACCAATTTATTTAATCAATTCTCTGAACATTTAAGGAAGGCACTGTGTAGTTTTTGTGATCATCTCAGACTTATCCTAGTGTTGGGAACAAGCCCCCCCAAATCTGGCCATAAACTGGCTCCAAAACTGGCCATAAACAAAATCTCTGCAGTACTGTGACATGTTCATGATGGCCCTAATGCCCATGCTGGAAGGTTGTGGCTTTACCAGAATGAGGGCAAGGAACACCTGGCCCATCCAGGGTGGAAAACCACTTAAAGGCATTCTTAAGCCACAAACAATAGCATGAGTGATCTGTGCCTTAAGGAAATGCTCCTGCTGCAGTTAACTAGCCCAATCTATTCCTGTTATTCAGCCCATCCCTTCATTTCCCATAAGGGATACTTTTAGTTAATTTAAGATCTATAGAAACAATGCTAATGACTGGCTTGCTGTTAATAAATACGTGGGTAAATCTCTGTTTGGGGCTCTCAGCTCTGAAGGCTGTGAGACCCCTGATTTCCCACTTTATGCCTCTATATTTCTGTGTGTGTCTCTTTAATTCCTCTAGTGTTGCTGGGTTAGGGTCTCCCCGACCAAGCTGGTCTCGGCCAGTGGCGTCCATTTTTGGGGGCTCAAATCCAGGTCGAAGGGTCACTGGAGCGACGGTTGGAGAATGTGGAACTAGCTGGAAGACACCCGAGTACTCTTAAAGCAATCCCTGTGGTGAGTAAGAAGGGGAGTGTGGAAGCATCAGGGTAACAGTGGGACAAGTATGGGCTCTGGTTTGTTCTACCTTGGAACTTTTTCACACTGATGATGAGGAGGAAGGAGAGTATAACGAAGTAACAGAAGAGGTTACAGACCAGGTTTATTTGCCAGCTAAAGCTAAAGCGGCAAAGGAGGGAGAGGTTCATCCCTATCCTTCTGCACCCCCTCATTATTATTTTGAAGAAAAAGACCCTCCAGGTCTTTCTTTTCTGGAGAACACTGGGCGAAAAGTAGTTGCCCCAGTGACTGTTCGAGCAGCACCTCAAGCAACCACTCTTAGTTCTATTCAGACAGGAATTCAGCAAGCTAAACGAGCGGGTGATTTAGAGGTTTGGCAGTTTCCTGTTAGAATACATCCCCCAGATCAGCAGGGAAATATTATAGCTACATTTGAGCTTTTTCCTTTTAAATTACTCAAAGAATTTAAACAAGCTATTCATACTAAAAAAGAATGTAGAAAAAATCAGCGAGTCAGGCCACCAGATAGGGGAAAAAAGAAAACTGCTGAGCCTGAAATATGTCCAAAATGTAAAAAAGGAAAACATTGGTCTAATCAGTGTCACTCTAAGTTTCATAAAGATGGGAATCTGATTTCAGGAAATGCCATTTGGGGCCCATCCCTGGCCCCATTCCAAACAAGGGCATTTCCAGCTCAGGCCATTCCCTCACCCCTGTGCAATGTCTGTCTCCCACCACAGCCAGTAATGCCACAGTAGATTGATGCTGCAAAAAAGCTGTGAACCTTCTGCCTGGGGAACCCCCACAAAAGGTCCCATCAGAAGTCTGTTGACCCTTGCCAGTGGGGACAATAGGATTACTTCTAGGAAGGTCTAATTTAAGTTTAAAAGGGGTACAAATACATACAGGAGTCATTGATTTAGATTACAATGAGGAAATTCAAATTGTTATATCTACTTCTGTTCCCTGGAAAGCAGAGCCAGGAGAGTGTGTAGCACAGCTCCTGATTGTGCTGTATATGGGAATGGGGAAAAGTGAAACTAAATGAACAGGAGGATTTGGAAGCACAAATAAACAAGGCAAAGCAGCTTATTGGGTAAATCAAATTACTGATAAACGTCCTACCTGTGAAATAACTGTTCAGGGAAAGAAATTTAAAGGCTTGGTAGATACAGGAGCAGACATTTCAATTATTTCTCTACAGCATTGGCCATCCACGTGGCCAATTCAACCCACTCAATTTAACATAGTTGGAGTTGGTAAAGCCCCTGAAGCATATCAAAGTAGTTATATTTTGCATTGTGAAGGTCCCGATGGACAACCTGGGACTATTCAACCAATTGTAACTTCTGTACCTATAAATTTATGGGGGAGAGATTTATTACAACAATGGGGAGCACAAGTTCTAATTCCAGAACAATTACATAGCCCTCAAAGTCAATATATGATGCATGAAATGGGGTATGTCCCTGGTATTGGACTAGAAAAAAATTTGCAAGGTTTGAAATAACCACTTCAAGTGGAAAAACAAAGTTCCCGCCAAAGATTAGGAAATAATTTTTGATGGCGGCCATTGTTAAGCCTCCAGAACCTGTACCTTTAAAATGGTTAACAGATAAGCCAATTTGGATAGAACAGTGGCCACTAAGTAAAGAGAAACTGGAGGCTTTAGAGAAATTAGTTACTGAACAATTAGAAAATGGGCACATAGCTCCAACATTTTCCCCTTGGAATTCTCCAGTTTTTGTAATTAAGAAAAAATCAGGTAAATAAAGAATGTTAACTCACCTAAGAGCCATCAATTCAGTTATACAACCTATGGGAGCATTACAGCCAGGATTGCCTTCTCCTGCTGTAATTCCAAAAAATTGGCCTTTAATAGTCATAGGTTTAAAAGACTGTTTCTTTACTATCCCTTTAGCTGAGCAAGACTGTAAATGGTTTGCATTTATAATTCCTGCAGTAAACAGCCTGCAGCCTGCTAAACATTTTCATTGTGTTACAGATGGGCCTAGCAATGGTAAAGCTTCTTATTCTGGATCA
Organism: Homo sapiens; assembly: GCF_000001405.40. NCBI lineage: Eukaryota > Metazoa > Chordata > Mammalia > Primates > Hominidae > Homo > Homo sapiens. Next base: position 113,714,592 of record NC_000005.10, read on the forward strand.
AAAAGCAAAGTTTTCCAGATGCCCTATACTTCAGCTCAAAAATTGGAGCTTGTAGCTGTAATTGAGGTATTGACTGCTTTTAATATGCCTATTAATGTGATTCTGATTCTTCATACATGGTTCATTACACACAGTTAATTGAAAATGCTCAGTTATGATTTCATACAGATGAACAACTGATGACAAAAATAAAAAAGGAGGAGAAACAGGGATTACAGGACAGTCCATACACAATTGAATCTAGCATTACTTGGTGAAAAGATCCAATAACAAAAAATTAGGAAATAGGTAAAATGATAACTGGGAGTAGAGGTTATGCTTGTGTTTCTCCCAGCCAAAATCAACAGCCAATTTGAATACCATCAAGACACCTAAAACCTTATCATGAGCCAGATGTGAGGAAGAGATGCTGGGAGGATCCCAAGGACCCCCTGGTTGCAGCCATGTTGAGACTGATGCTGAGGAGTCTCAACTGTCATGAGCAACACCTGTCGAACACAGCCATCCACCTGACAGATCAAGAAGCTGTCACAGATGGTGGAAGAAAACCTGAGGAAAGCAGGGCAACCAGTCACAATGAGTAATTTAATGGTAGCTATGATAGCAGTTATCACCACTACTGTGAGTATTCCTTCCACAAGGGCTGACACAGAGAACAATTATACTTATTGGGCATATTTATCAATTGTGGCTGGTAATAATGCCTGGATATAATCACTCTATGAGACAGTTACACATGCTTTCTGATCTCAGTATTTACCATAATCTGCTCCTATAATTGAGGCATACGGCCTTCAAAAACCTATTTGTAAACAAAATAGAACCTGGCCAGAAATAATGAACGTACTTGTTTAGGAAGATTGCTTTGCAGAACAGGCAGAGGTGCTGGACAGTGATTCCTATGGAATCATTATTCACTGGTCCCCTAAGGGAATGTTTAGTTTGAATTGCACCTCTTAGTCTACGTGCCATGGCCCAACTATGTTCAGCTGATCTGAACAAAATGGTCAGATGGTAGAAATGATAAGAAGTCCAGCAAGAGTTCATATTATCTGGAATCATGGCGGTATAGTGGCACCTCAACCTCAAATGATATGGCCCATTGTAGGAGCTAAACATAAGGATTTGTGGAAACTATTAATAGCTCTTAATAAGATCAAAGTTTGGGAAAGAATAAAAAAGCATCTAAAAGGACACTCTACAAACTTGTTTTTGGATATTGCAAAATTAAAAGAACAAATATTTAAAGCATCCCAGGCACACCTGGCCTTAATGCCAGGAACTGGAGTGCTTAAAGGAGCTGCAGACAAATTAGCAGCTAGTAACCCATTAAAATGGATAAAAACACTTGGAAGCTCTGTGATTTCAATGATGATTGTGCTTTTAATCTGTGTTGTTTGTCTTTGCATAGTCTGCAGATGTGGATCCTGACTCCTGTGAGAAGTAGCTCACCGTGACAAAGCTGCCTTTGCTTTTATTGATTTGCAAACCAAAGAAGGGGGACATGTTGGGAACAAGCCCCCCCTCCCCAAAAATCTGGCCATAAACTGGCCCCAAAACTGGCCATAAACAAAATCTCTGCAGTACTGTGACATGTTCATGATGGCCCTAATGCCCATGCTGGAAAGTTGTGGCTTTACCAAAATGAGGGCAAGGAATACCTGGCCCACCCATGGTGGAAAACCACTTAAAGGCATTCTTAAGCCACAAACAATAGCATGAGCGATCTGTACCTTAAGGAAATGCTCCTGCTGCAGTTAACTAGCCCAACCTATTCCTTTAATTCAGCCCATCCCTTCTTTTCCCATAAGGGATACTTTTAATTAATTTAAGATCTATAGAAACAATGCTAATGACTGGCTTGCTGTTAATAAATACGTGGGTAAATCTCTGTTTGGGGCTTTCAGCTCTGAAGGCTGTGAGACCCCTGATTTCCCACTTTATGCCTCTATATTTCTGTGTGTGTCTCTTTAATTCCTCTAGCGCCGCTGGGTTAGGGTCTCCCCGACCGAGCTGGTCTCGGCATTCTAGAATTATATTAATGACAGTGGGATCAGTCCTGGGAGTGGCTTATGCCCTATTATGCTTTGCAGAACTAGGAGATCTTCTTGGTTTCTGAGTGCATAAGATGGTGGATACAGGAGTGGAGGTTCTGGAAGGTGTCAGTGGAAGCCTGAACCTTTGACAGTAGCCCAGGAGCTGAGAAAAATGTTTACAGAAATCTTCCCAAAAATGCTAGTGATATATGTTCATAAAATGTATAGCCACCATGAAGGACATCGGAGTTGAAAGACACCAAAGTTGCAAATTCCTTAGAGAATTAAAGATGAATCATGTAGATAAGTAGCCTGAACTTTCTGAGACCTATGTTGTCCTAAGAATCTATTGATTCTGCACTACAATTTGCAGCAGATGATTTTGAGTAGAGCCTAATATGATGATCTTTTCTTTGCTAATGCAGATAACAATTTTCAAGTTGGCTGACTGAAATAAGAGTCAAGTAGTAGAATAGGATGCACATGGACAAATTTACATCCATAATGACCATTGTTTTGTGGAGCTCCTACTTCAGGTTTTGCTGCATTCTGTGTTCAATACATATTTATAAGAGGACTGACATTGTTATATCTTAATAAATCTTACTTCTCGAGGGATTGATATTCCTAAATATAGTAAGAACAGTTCCAAAACAACACCTGAATAGGCTCTGTTTCAAAGATTTGCAAATGTGACTATAACAGAGAAGAATATATAATTTCTTCCAACACCAAGAGTTAAGATTGGCTTTCATTTTACCACTAAATTTGCTTATAGGAATATATTGATTAATTTGTGTTTATCTATGGAAATTAAGTCTATGCTATTGAGAAATTCCAGAGTATATACTCTATTTCTTTGAAAATGAATTCGCAGGAAAGGTCCTAGGGATGGACTTTCAGGGCAAGTATAAAGGTAGAGATCAACCCATGTTCAAACACTTGAGTATGTACTATCAGTGCTCTGCCCACATCCCAAGGTCAATTCCATTTACTTGTGTACTGCCTCCTTAGTGCTTTCTCTCTGGAAGGGCTGCCTTCAGGCTGCTGGAAATGGCTTTGTTTTTGTGCAAAAGGGAGCAGAGAGTGCCTGGGAATTTGGCTTCCCAGAGCCAGTCCTTAACCAATGACTGACAGGTGCAAGGTAATAAACACTCCAACTTCCTTGCCCTTAATGGGACAGCAACCTACACTATCTCCAGAGGTCTCTGTGTAATTGAGCTAAGCTACATTCTCAAAGAGTTGGCTTGAGATCTCACCCTTGAAGAGCTTTTTTTCCTATCATGTTTCCTTTCCCCACTTCCCTACTGTTTGCTCCCTGAAATACTTCCCAGTAAATCAGTTTTATGTGAATCTGCATCTTAGGATCTGCCCCTGGGACCCCACCTCAGACACTTACCATATGGAATTGGAATTGTACTGTAGTTCTGAATACATTTTTATTCTCTGACTTTTCTCTTAGAACATTATTGCTTCTTTTTTTTCCCCACAAAAATTGCTCAATGGCCCTTTATAGGGTTTAAGATAGGCATGCACTTTAGAAAATTCATAGCACATTTTACTAAATCTCCATTTTTTTTCCTATTAGCAGGTTATTTGCTAATAAAAAGAAACTCAAGTTATTTTTATACTTGAGAAGGGAATTCCTCTTTCTCTTTAGCATTCAGATTCGTGAATCTGCTTTGTAAACAAGTTGCTTTCTATAGCATAATTTATTTTAGTGGGTTGAAAATAATGCTAAAAATATATCTGGTATCTGCATAAAGCTATATATATAAGAAGAAAAGGGAAAAAATGAGAAGTGGGGGAAGGATGTGAATATAGAATCTACCATGTAGCACACACTGTATATGCAATCCGAAGGATGAGAAGTGAAGGAATTTGCCCCAAGGACACACAGACAGTGACGATCCAGCCAGGGATTTAAACCAGAACAGAATAGAAATGAGTGAAATTAAGTTCCTTTGTGTTCTAGGAAAAATAGCACTCTTACATGTTATGATAATATTACTTTTATTATCTTGATGCAAACACATCAATCTTGGTTTGATTGCTACTGGCTCATTTTCTATAGTATTTCTATAGGATTTCTTTGGCCTTTCCAGGTTTTTCCATTCTCATAGCCAAATGGCTGTGAGGTATTAGTGGACTGCTGCTACACCCTCTGCTCACTCTATTTTTGAACAGGAGGATCAGCATTGGCTCTTTTTAGTGCGGTGTGTTGTGTTATGTCTTTGTCACTAGAACACAGCTGTGGTGTCCCAATTGCTTTTTCCACAACATTAAATATTTTTTTTAATTATAGTCCTACAGGCTCTCCATCAGTGGATGGAAAGTACCTTTTTGCCAGTTGCTATCAACACCCATTTGTTTTGGCACTTGTGTTTAGCTTAGGAGGATAGACTGATTTGTCTTTGATCCATACACAAGCCAAACTTAGGCCTTGGACGCCTTATTCTTCATTCCCTCTTACTCACAGGAGGAGAATTGATTGATCCATGTGCTGTTTCCTTGTGACATACACCAGGCCCCAGAATTTGAATACTTACCAGTAGAGAGAAGGCTGTGTTCATCTACCCAGTCCCCACTCACAGAAGTAGCTGAGTGTCTCTGAATAGCTGTAGATGGCTTTCTTCTGTATGTTTTCCTCTTCTGAATATTTATGTGTCATTTATCCTCCTCAAGCCCACTATTACTTGGGCAAACTTCTAATTTCCTTGTAGCTTTCTGCTAATTTGATAATTTTGTGTTTATTTTAAATGAAATGTCAGAGTTCAGAGTTTAGAACTGGAAGCAACTTTAGAGGTTATCTAATTAAACCCTATTTAATTTGTCCAACTCATGATGTAAATTATTTCCAAATTACAAAAGTCATATGTTTTTGAGTTCAGAAAACTTTGAGAACAGAAAGGAGAAAATAACAAAGATCATATGTAGATGTATTTTGCATGTGAGAAGGACATGAATTTTGGGGGCCAAGGGCAGAATGCTGTAGCTTGAATGAATCCCCTTCCAAATTCAGGTGTTGAAACTAAATGGCCAGTATGATGATATTAAGAAGTGGAGCCTTTAAGAGGGATTAGGCCATGAGGGATCCTCCCTTGTGAATAGGATTAAGGGCCACATAAAAGAGGCTTTATGCAATGCTCCATCTCTTGCCCTTTTACCTTCTGCCATGTGAGGATGTCATAAGACCCTCACCAGACAATGAACCCGCTGGTGTACTGATCTTAAGATTCCCAGCCTCCAGAATTGTGAGAAAATAAATTTCTGTTCTTTATAAATTACCCAGTCTCAAGTATTCTGTTATAGCAGCACAAAACAGACTAAGACAGTATGTAGTATTACTGTCTGGTAGTAACCGCTGCTGATATTTTGATGTATATACTTTAAAAAATATTGTATTATGTCTGTAATTTTAAAAATATTGTAGACATTTAATTTTCTTCATTTTTTCTAAGATATTTTAATTAAGTATGTTATATGGAAATGCTTACTTATTGTTAAAAATGCTAACAATATATATACATTGAAAATTTCCCTTAATCTCTCTTCCTTGCCCATATCCCAAATCTGTTTCTTCTAGACATAATCACTGTAATCAATTTAGTCTGCATCCCTTCATATCTATTTCCCTGTATTTACATATACATATGTACATATAAAAATATTTAGTTTTGTTTTATATATATTACGTTAATCACGTCATCATCTGTGCATTTGTCTGAAGTTTGCATTCTTCACTTATAAATGCTTTAAACATCTTTTCATATCAATCTGTCATGTAATTCAGGGTCCAGATAGAAAGCAAATGGATCAACTCCAACTAAGTAATTTGATTGAATCTTCATAAACTAAATTTTATGGCCGTGTATAGGGAAATCATAGGCAAGTACCCTGAGATTAGTAATAATAAAGACACTCCTACCACCTCTAGACCAGAACAGGGAAGGGTGAGAGGAGGAGTTTTTGGGGAGAGGGAGAGGTTGTGAGAGACAGAAAAAGAAACAGCAATAGAGAGAGAGAGACAAAGAGAGACAGAGACAGAGAGAGTTGTGTGGAATGGGCTGCTTGGCAGGGCTGAGACCTTCAGTGGAGGGAGGCAGTCAGTCTAAACCAATTCCACAGGGAGGGAATCAAGGAAATAAAAAGCTCTCCATCCCTTCCTTTCTATTGTGGATTGCATATTTCTATCCCCCTCCACCGCCTCAAAATTCATATATTAAAGCCCTAACCTCCAACATGATAGTGTTTGGAGACGGCGTTTTGGGGAGGTAATTTGGGTTAGATGAGGTCATAAGGACAGACCCTCATAATGGGAGTAGTGCCCTTATACAAAAAGAGAAAGGGAGTGAGAGCTTGCTCTCTTTCTCTGCATGTGCGCCGACTGAAAAAAGACCATGGAGCACATAGCAAGAAGGTGGCAGCCGGGTGCAGTGGTTCTTGCTGGTAATCCCAGCACTTTGTGAGACTGAGGTGGGAGGATCCCTTGAGCCCAGGAGTTTGAGATCAGCTTGGGCAACATAATGAGACCCTTGTTTTTACCAAAAAAAGAAAAAAAATGAGCCTGGTATGGTGGCTCACACCAGTAGTCTCAGCTACTCAGGAGGCTGAAGTGAGAGGATTGGTTGAGGCTGGGAGATCGAGGCTGCAGTGAGCTGTGACTGCACCACTGCACTCCAGCCTGGGTGGCAGAATGAGACCTGTTTCAAAACAAAAACAAAACGAAACAACAAAACCACAAAAACAATAAGAACAAAAGATGCCATCTGCACATCTGCAGGCCAGGAAGAGAGTCCTTGCCAGAAACCAAACCCCACTGAATCTTGATCTTGCACTTTACAGCCTCCAGAACTATGAGAAAATAAATTCCTGTTGTTTAAGCTACCCAATCTGTGGTATTTTGTTATGGTAGCTTGACTAGACCAAAACACCCTCTTTGATATTGGAGGGAGATTCTCATTGGCTGAACAGAGTCAGAAGCTGGAGAGAAAGGGAGTATGTTGATGCTATCCATATATGTCAACCTTCCAAGGAACAGTATTGGCATGTTCTTATAGATTTGTTAATTCTTTCAATAAAGAATCCTCAGTGCTTCTTTATGACAGACATTGTTCACAGTCAAGGGAATAAGGTCAAAAAAGTCATTGTCCTTCAGGAGTTCATATTTTATTAGAGTTGGTGTGCCATAGAATACAAAGTATTTCCTAGCTAGCACATACTAGAGTTTGTTAATCCATTACTGATAGGAATTTATGCTGTTTTAATTTTCTTTATTTATGCAGTGTTGCATGAATTTTCTTGTTTGTGCATCTTTCTGCATATGTAAAAATACTTCTTTCAGGTAGATACTAAGAGATAGAATTGCTGGATTAAAAGAAATATGCATATTTAATATTAAACAGGTGGATTTAAATTACACTTCTACTAATGGGGTGTAAGAATACTTATTTCCCCTTACTCAGCAACAGTTATCATTCTCTCAAAGTTTTGTCAATCTTTGGGAAGCAGGAATAGTTGGTAATTATTGAGTTTGAATCTTCCTGATTACTGGTGAGAATTAGAACATTTTAATGTATTTATGGCTGTCTGAATTTCCTCTTTTGTGAATTGCCTTGCCTGTTCATATGCTTTGGTTGCTCTCTCTGTCTTTTTTTTTTGAGATTCATTGTCGTTTAAATTTATTTCTAAGCATTCTTTATATATTTTATGTTTTATTCTAAGTCTTGTTCTGTTTGCTGTAGTAACACTGTTTGCTCAGTGTCCCTTAGGTTGTGTTTTTGTTTGGGGCCACTTAGAATATCCTGGTGCTGGTATTCCTCCTGTGTCCACCAATGTTTGGTTGAGCTCATGTTGTAATTACTCCTGTCAATGCTTTATCTCTTTGTGACTCCTGATCTGTAATGACTGGGGGTCTATGCCAGTAGGTGGAATATACCTGTAGCTTTTCTCCTAGGAATGTAACTCCCCTGTTTTTCCTGGGTATTGCTAGTCATCCGGAGCTCATATCTGTCCTAATACCCTGGCTAACGTGCCCCACCTCACTGCTCAAGTCTGGTGGCAGATGACTTTGCTGCTGAGGCTGGACATGGGGAGGTTGGAGAGGGGTAGGCTATCTGATTACTCCTGCTGACAGGTCCTGACCAACCACTCTCCCAGCTGCTGATGGACCCTTCTACTCTCTCTAATTGTTTTTCTGAGCCAGATGTTCCCTGGAGTCATTCCTGCCTTTTATGCCTGCCTTTTTTTCTGGGTGTATTATGTGTTGTAGTTTTCCATTTTCCTCTAATCCCATTTGCCTTATGTCTGTCAGGGATTCCTCATAAATTTAAGTGCCCAAGAACACTTCTTCTTGTTTATCAGGGCTATTACAGAATTTATATATATTTTTATATTCTGTCATGACCGGAGATTTGCAGTCAGAGGAAGAAGGCTGGAGCGTGATCTAGCCCAGAGATTGTCAAACATTTTCTATAAAGGGCCAAATAGTAAATACTTTAAGCTTTGCAGGCAAGATGGTTTCTGTCACTACTCAACTCTGCCTTTGTAGTGCAAAAGCGGCAAATGATGAATGGATGTGGCAGTGTTCCGATCGGCCTGATTTACGAAACAGGATAGAATTTGAACCAAAGACCTGACCTAGATCCCTTTCCCTTTATGGAAGAGATGAAGCATCTGTGCCTAGACAAGGTTGAAATATCTGCCCTAAGCTACTCAGCTAGTGTGAATGGAAGAACTAGGTTGATCACCTCATCTGCTTACTCAGCTGTGATCTTTCCTCCACTTTGCTGTTTTTGCAGGGTTAAAAAGACTCCTAAACAGATCTCAGTTCTCCCAGAGCCTTGGAAACAGTGAAGTTACCTTCAGTTTCTTTTACTTTTTGTTCTGTGACTTAAAAGCAAATAAAGTCCAGGCTAAGTTACTTAACTATGGCGCTCACTGCTGTTGACAAAATTATTCAAATTCTGTAAAATGTTTGAAAAGATTTGTTCTGAGCCATATATAAGTGACCAATGGCCTGTGACGCAGCCCTCAGGAGCTCCTAAGAACATGTGCCTAAGGTGGTCAGGGCACAGCCTAGTTTTAGACATTTCAAGGAGACATGAGACATCAATCAAATACATGTAAGATTTACATTGGTTCAATCTGGAAGGGCAGGACAACTCAAAGTTGGGGGCAGGTGGGAGGGGTTTCCAGGTCATAGGTAGATTTAAAAATTCTCTGATTGGCAGTTGGTTGAAAGATTTATTATCAATAGAAAAGATTGGGTTACTACAAGGGGTTGTGGAAACCTAGGTTTTATCATGCAGATGAAGCCTCCAAGTAGCAGACTTCAGGGAGAATAGATTGTAAATATTTCTTTTCTAAAAAAAATTTTTACTTTAAGTTCCGGGATACATGTGCAGAATGTGCAGGTTTGTTACGTAGGTATACATGTGCCATAGTGGTTTGCTGCACCTACAACTGACCTATCCTCTAAGTTCCTTCCCCTTGCCCCCCACCCCCCAACAGGCCCTGGTGTGTGTTGTTCCCCTCCCCTGTGTCCATGTGTTCTCATTGTTCAATTCTCACTTATGAGTGAGAACATGTGGTGTTTGGTTTTCTGTTCCTGTTAGTTTGCTGAGGATGATGGCTTCCAGCTTCATTCATGTTCCTGCAAAGGACATGATCTCATTCCTTTTTTTTTTCATTTTTTGAGATGGAGTCTTGCATTGTCACCTGGGCTGGTGTGCGGTGGCATGATCTTGGCTCGCTGCAACCTCCACCTCCCGGGTTCAAGTGATTCTCCTGCCTCAGCCTCTCGAGTAGCTGGGACTACAGGCACACGCCACCACATCTGGCTAATTTTTGTATTTTTAATAGAGACGGGGTTTCACTATTTTGGCCAGGCTGATCTCGAACTCCTGACCTCATGATCTGCCCACCTCAGCCTCCCAAAGTGCTGGGATTACAGGTGTCAGCCACTGTGCCTGGCCCCTTTTTATGGCTGCCTAGTATTCCATGGTGTATATGTACCACATTTTCTTTATCCAGTCTATTATCGATGGGCATTTGTGTTGGTTCCATGATTTTGCTATTATAAATGGTGCTGCAGTAAACATACGTGTGCATGTGTCTTTATAGTAGAATGATTTATATTCCTTTGGGTATATGCCCAGTAATGGGATTGCTGGGTCAAATTGTATTTCTGGTTCTAGCTTCTTGAGGAACTGCCATACTGTCTTTCACAGTGGTTGAACTAATTTACATTCCCACCAAGTGTAAAAGCATTCTGATTTCTCCACAGCCTTGACAGCATCTGTCGTTTCTTGGCTTCTTAATAATCACTATTCTGACTTGGGTGAGATGGTATCTTACTGTGGTTTTGATTTGGATTTCTCTAATGATCAGTGATGTTGAGCTTTTTTTCATATGTTTGTTGGCCTCATAAATGTCTTCTTTTGATAAGTGTCTGTTCATATCCTTTGCCTACTTTTTGATGGGGTTGTTTTCTTCTTGCAAATTTTTTTAAGTTCGTTATAAATTCTGGATATTAGACCTTTGTCAGATGGGTAGCTTGCAAAAATTTTCTCCCATTATGTAGGTTGAGTGTTCACTCTGATGATTGATTCTTTTGCTGTGCAGAAGCTCTTTAGTTTATTTGGATCCCATTTGTCAATTTTGGCATTTGTTGCAATTGCTTTTGGCATTTTCATCATGAAGACTTTGCCCATGCTATGTCCTGAGTGGTATTGCCTAGGTTTTCTTCTAGGGTTTTTATGGTTTTGGGTTTCATATTTAGGTCTTTAATCCATCTTGAGTTAATTTTTGTATAAGGTGTAAGGAAGTGGTCAAATTTCAGTTTTCTACATATGGCTAGCCAGTTTTCCCAGCATCATTTATTGAATAGGAGATCCTTTCCCCATTGCTTGTTTTTGTCAGGTTTGTTGAAGATCAGATGGTTGCAGATGTGTCATGTTATTTCTGAGGTCTCTATTCTGTTCCATTGGTCTATATGTCTGCTTTGGTACAAGTACCATGCTTTTTTCATTACTGTAGCCTTGTAGTATAGTTTGAAGTCAGGTAGTCTGATGCCTGCAGCTTTGTTCTTTTTGCTTAGGGTTATCTTGGCTATATGGGGGTCTTCTTTGATTCCATATGAAATTTACAGTTTTTTCTAATTCTGTAAAGAATATCAATGATAGTTTGATGGGAATAACATTGAATCTATAAATTACTTTGGGCAGTATGACCATTTTCACAATATTGATTCTTCCTATCCATGAACGTGAAATGTTTTTCCATTAGTTTGTGTCCTCTCTTATTTCCTTGAGCAGCGATTTGAAGAGGTCCTTCACATTCCTTGTTAGCTGTATTCCTAGGTATTTTATTCTCTTTGTAGCAATTGTGAATGGCATTTCATTCATGATTTGGCTCTTTGCTTGTCTATTGTTGGTGCAAAGGAATGCCTGTGATTTTTGCACATTGATTTTGTATCCTGGGACTTTGCTGAAGTTGCTTATCAGTTTAAGGAGTTTTGGGGCTGAGATGATTGGGTTTTCTAAATATAAAATTATATTGTCTGCAAACAGAGACAATTTGACTTTCTTTCTTCCTGTTTGAATACCCTTTATTTCTTTCTCTTGCCTGATTGCCCTGGCTAGAACTTCCAATACTATGCTGAATAGGAGTGGTGAGAAAGGGCGTCCTTGTCTTGTACCAGTTTTCAAAGGGAATGCTTCCAGCTTTTGACCATTTTATATTATATTGGCTGTGGGTTTGTCATAAATAGCTCTTATTATTTGGAGATATGTTCTATCAATACCTAGTTTATTCAGAGTTTTTAACATGAAGGGATTTTGAATTTTATCAAAGGCCTTTTCTGCATCTATTGAGATAATCATGTGGTTTTTGTCATTGGTTCTGTTTATGTGATGGATTATATTTATTGATTTATGTATGTTGAACCAGCCTTGCATCCCAGAAATGAAGCTGACTTGATCTTGGTGGATAAGGTTTTTGATGTGCTGCTGGATTTTGTTTGCCAGTATTTTATTGAGGATTTTCGCATCAGTGTTCATCAGGGATATTGGCCTGAAGTTTTCTTTTTTTGTTGTGTCTCTTCCTGATTTTGGTATCAGGATGATGCTGGCTTCATAAAATGAGTTATGGAGGAGTCCCTCCTTTTCAATTGTTTGGAATTGTTTCAGAAGGAATGGTACCAGCTCCTCTTTGTACCTCTGGTTGAATTTGGCTGTGAATCCATCTGGTCCTGGGTTTTTTTTTTTTTATTGATAGGCTATTAATTACTACCTCAATTTCAGAACTTGTTATTGGTCTATTCAAAGATCTGACTTCTTCCTAGTTTAGTCTTCGGGGGTTGTGTGGGTCCAGAAATTCATCTATTTCTTACAGATTTTCTAGTTTATTTGCATAGAGGTGTTCATAGTATTCTCTGATGGTAGTTTGTATTTCTGTGGGGTCAGTGGTGATGTCCCCTTTATCATTTTTTATTGTGCCTATTTGATTCTTCTCTCTTTTCTTCTTTGTTAGTCTAACCAGTGGTCTATCTATTTGGTTAATTTTTTCAAAAACCAGCTCCTGGATTCCTTGATTTTTTGGAAGTTTTTTTGTATCTCTATCTCCTTCAATTCTGCTCTGATCTTAGTTATTTCTTGGATTAGTTTGCTCTTGCCTCTCTAGTTTTTTAATTGTGATATTATTGTGCCAGTTTGAGATCTTTCTAACTTTCTAATGCGGGCATTTAGTGCTATAAATTTCCCTCTTAACACTGCTTTAACTGTGTCACAGAGAATTTGGTATGTTGTCTCTTTGTTCTCATTGGTTTCAAATAATTTCTTGGTTTTTGCCTTAATTTCATTATTTACCAATGAGTCATTCAGGAGCAGGTTGTTTAATTTCCATGTAGTTGTATGGTTTTGAGGGAGTTTCTTAATCCTGAGTTCTAATTTGATTGCACTGTTGTCTGATAGACTGTTTATTATTATTTCAGTTGTTTTGCATTTGCTAAGGAGTGTTTTACTTCCAATTATGTGGTCAATTTTAGAATAAGTGCTGTGTGACCCTGAGAAGAATGTATATTCTGTTGATTTGGGGTGGAGAGTTCTGTAGTTGTCTACTAGGTCCACTTGATCCAGAGCTGAGTTCAAGTCCTGAATATCCTTGGTATTTTTCTGTCTCATTGATCTGTCTAATATTGAGAGTTGGGTGTTAAAGTCTCCCACTATTATTGTGTAGGAGTCTAAATCTCTTTGTTGGTCTCTAAGAACTTTTAATGAACCTGAGTACTCCTGTATTGTGTGCATATATATTTAGAATAGTTAGCTCTTCTTTTTGAATTGTTCCCTTTGCCCTTATGTAATGCCTTCTTCGTCATTTTTTATCTTTGTTGTTTAAAGTCTTGTTTTGCCAGAGACTAGGATAGCAACCCCTGCTTTATTTTGCTTTCCATTTGCTTGGTAAGTTTTCCTCCATCCCCCCCTTTTTTTTTTTTAGCCTATGTGTGTCTTTGCCCATGAGATGGGTCTCCTGAATACAGCACACCAATAGGTCTTGACTCTATCCAATTTGCCAGTCTGTGTCTTTTAATTGGGGCATTTAGTCCATTTACAGTTAAGGCCACTATTGTTTTGTGTGAATTTGGTCCTGTCATCATGATGGTGTCTGGTTATTTTCCACATTAGTTGACGCAGTTTCTTCATAGTGTCATTGGTCTTTATGTTTTGGTGTGTTATTGCAGTGGCTGGTATCAGTTTTTCCTTTCCATATTTAGTTATTCTTTCAGGATCTTTTGCAAGGCAGGCCTAGTGTTAACAAAATCCCTCACAGCATTTGCTTGTCTGGAAATGATTTTATTTCTCCTTTGCTTATGAAGCTTAGTTTGGCTGCATATGAAATTCTGGGTTGAAAATTCTTTTCCTTAAGAATGCTGAATATTGGCTCCCAGTCTCTTCTGGCTTGTAGAGTTTCTGCTGAGAGGTCTGCTGTTAGTCTGATGGGCTTCCCTTTGTAGGTGACCTGGCCTTTTTCTGTGACTGCCCTTAACATTTTTTCCTTCATTTTGACCTTGGAGTATCGGGGGAAATTCAGCCAGATATCAGGAAAAATTCACCCCTGATATTTCACGTAGGTTCTTTTCTATTTTCCCTAAGTGTTGGCTGGTCTGAGAAATAAAGGGACAAAGTACAAAAGAGAGAAATTTTAAAGCTGGGTGTCCAGGGGAGACATCACATGTCGGCAGGTTCCGTGATGCCCCCTGAGCCTTAAAACCAGCAAGTTTTTATTAGTGATTTTCAAAAGGGGAGGGATTATACAAATAGGGTGTGGGTCACACAGGTCACATGCTTCACAAGGTAATAGAATATCACAAGGCAAATGGTGGCAGGGTGAGATCACAGGACCACAGGACCGGGGCAAAATTAAAATTGTTACTGAAGTTTTGGGCATGCATTGTCATTAATAACATCTTATCAGGAGCCAGGGTTTGAAAGCAGACAACCCAACTGACCAAAATTTATTAGGCGGGAATTTCCTCATCCTAATAAGCCTGGGAGTGCTAAGGGAGACTGGGGCTTATTTCATCCCTACAGCTTCGACCATAAAAGACGGCCGCCCCGCGAAGCGGCCATTTTAGAGGCCTACCCTCAGGGATGCATTCTCTTTCTCAGGGATGTTCCTTGCTGAGAAAAAGAATTCAGCGATATTTCTCCTATTTGCTTTTGAAAGAAGAGAAATATGGCTCTGTTCTGCCTGGCTCACCAGTGGTCAGAGTTTAAGGTTATCTCTCTTGTTTCCTGAACATTGCTGTTATCCTGTTCTTTTTTCAAGGTGCCCAGATTTCATATTGTTCAAACACACATGCTCTACAAACAATTTGTGCAGTTAACGCAATCATCACAGGGTCCTGAGGTGACCTACATCCTCCTCAGTTTATGAGGATGACGGGATTAAGAGATTAAAGTAAAGACAGGCATAGGAAATCACAAGGGTATTGATTGGGGAAGTGATAAGTGTCCATGAAATCTTCACAATTTATGTTCAGAGATTGCAGTAAAGACAGGCATCTTGGGGTTGATATTCTCATGGAGTATATTAGAGGTGTTCTGATTCCTGAATTTGCATGTTGGCCTATCTTACTAGGTTGGGGAAGTTCTCCAGGGTAATATCCTGAAGTGTACTTTCCAGCTTGTTTCCATTCTCCCCTTCTCCTTCATGTACTCCAATCAATTGTAGGTTCGGTCTTTTTACGAAGTCCCATGTTTCTTGGAGGCTTTTCTTATTCCTTTCCATTCTTTTTTCTCTAGCCTTGTCTGTATGCCTCATTTCAGCAAGGTGGTCTTCAAATTGTAAAATCCTTTCTTCTGCTCGGTTTGTCCAGCTATTGATACTTGTGTATGCTTCATGAAGCTCTCATGCTGTGTTTTTCAGTTTTATCAGGTCATTTATGTTCCTCTCTAAGCTGGTTATTCTAGTTAGCAGCTCCTCTAACTTTCTGTCAAGGTTCTTAGCTTCTTTGGATTGGGTTAGAACTTGCTCCTTTAGCTCAGCATAGTTTTTTATTAGCCATCTTCTGAAGCCTTCTTCTGTCAATTGGTCCATCTCATCCTCTGTCCAGTTCTGGACCCTTGATGAAGAGGTGTTGTGATCATTTGGAGGAGAAGAGGCACTCTGGCCTTTTGGATTCTTGGTGTTTTTTTGGTTGATTCTTTCTCATCTTTGTGAGTTTGTCTAGTTTTGGTCTTTGAGGCTGCTGGCCCTTGGATAGGGTTTTTGTGGGGCCTTATTTTTGTTTTGTGGATGCTGTTGTTTTTGCTTTCTGTTTGTTTATTTTTCTTTCAATGGTCAGGTCCCTCTTCTGCAGGACTGCTGCAGTTTGCTGGGGGTTCACTTCAGGCCCTATTCATCTAGTTCATTCCTGCACCTGGAGATGTCACTCAGTAAGGCTGGAGAACAGCACAGATGGGTACCTGCTCCTTCTTCTGGGATCTCTGACCTTAAGGGGCACCAACCTGATGCTAGTAGGATTGCTCTTGTATATAGGGCGTCTGACAACCCCTGTTGGAGGGCCTCACCCAGTTGGGTGTTTCATGGGGAACAGGACCCATTTAATGAACTACTTTGTCTGTCCTTTGGTGGAGGGGGTGTGCTTTGCTGGGGGGAAACCCATTCATCTGGGCTGCCTGGATTCCTGAGAACTACCAGAAGGAAAGGCTAAGTCTGCTGGTCCATAGAGACTGTGGGCAGCTCTCCCCCTAGGGGTCAGGCCCAGGGAGATCCGGGATCTGTCCTTGAGCCTCTGGCTGGAGCTACTGGAGTTCCTGGAGGGAAGCCTGGCCCAGTGAGGAAGGATGAGTCAGGGTCAGGCCTGAAGAGGCACTCTGGCCGTGGTCTGCCACAGCTGGTGTGTTGGGCTGTGGGGGACATATCTTGGGACCAAGCCATCCAGCCTCCCTGGCTCCATCAGGAGAAAAGTGTAGCCTGGAGCTATAGAGATGGATGCTGCCCTTCCCCCGCCCAGGGAGTTTAGCATGTGGGAGTCCCAGTGCTGGCTGCTGCCCCTTCCCCAAGGAGCTTAAACAGCAGGCAGCTGCAGCTGTGGTGCTGGTCACCCCTCCCCATGGGAGCTTGGTATGCTTAAGCAGATTCCATCTGAGAGGCTGTTGAGAATCTGCACGGCTCCAGGGTTGGGACGCTAGGCCCTTGTAGTGTGGGTTCACTGGTGGGATCTTCCAATCCGTGGGTTGCACGGTTCTGTGGAAATAGCACAGTTTCCCTGATGGAGTAGTAGCTCACTCACTGCCTCACTTGGCTGGGGATTGGGGGGTCCCCTGCCCCATGTGGCTGTCAGGTGGGCCACTGGACCACCCTGTTCTTCCTTGCTCTCAATGGATTGTGCCAGACTCCTAGTCAGTTCTGATGAGAGAACCTGGATACCTTGGTTGCCGGTGAAGGATTCACATACTTATTATGGTTCTTTTTGATGGGAGCCTCCAAATGCCACTGTTTCTAGTTGGCTATCATAGTCCCACCTCCTGGATTATAAATATTTCTTATCAGACTTAAGGTCTGTGCCATTGTTAATGTTGGTCAGCTTTTCCTGAATTCTAAAAGGGAGAAGGGTCTAATGAGGCATGTTCAACTCCCTCTTCCATCATGACCAGAGCAAGTTTTTCAGGTTAATTTTGGAAAGCCCTGGGCCTAAAGGAGGGTTCCATTTAGATGGTTGGGGGGCCTTAGAATTTTATTTTTGGTTTACACTGTGAAATCATAGAACTGATAGATGTTCGATTGAGGGTAGGACTTGTGTTCGTATTTCAGCTTTTCCTTTTGTGAGCTGTGAAGAAATTTGGTGAGATTAATAGAGCTTAAATTATTTCAGCTCTTCAGAGACAAGGTTCTAGATTAAGCACAAATATTATTACTCAATATTAGTAAATATGGTCCACAAGGGATAGAATTTGCTATCATAGTGAAAGTCATTTCTTTTTTTTTCTAGCTTTGGGGCAACAGGAAAGGGATTAAGTTTGGAATTTGGATTGAGGTTTACCTGTATTCTGCCACTTACTTACAGGCTGTGTGACCTTGAGAAAATTACTTAAACTCACTGTTTTCATCCGATTCATCCTAAAATGAGAGAAAAAAATGCCCATTTCAAGGCTTGTTTTGAATTAATTGAGATAATGTATAAAAAATTAACACATTGAAAAACATCATAAAAGTAGAAGTTATTAGTATATAGATTGAGAATAGAAACCCTGATACAAGTAACAAATTAGTACAATTGCTGTTGTTACTTGAAATGCAAAGAATAGGGGAATATAACTGAAACAGTATACTCAGGAACGTGTTAACTAGTAAGGCTGGGTTACATTTAGTAGGAAAATAATGTTAATTTATTTCTGTTGAAATTTTATTGTTCCCAGGGGCTTTATTTCAAGTTAATGCATCTACTTTTAATCTTCTTACAATTATCTAGGATAATAAATTAAACATTCTTTCCACCTCATTTAAATGAGGTATTTAAATGAAGTATCTCATTTAAAAATGTACCTGTATAAAACAGCCTTACTTGCTTTAGATCAGAGGAATGAGATAGTGAAGTTAATTTTATCTTTTGTTTAACAAAGTCATTCTTCATGCTCTTTCTTTCCTTCAAAAAGAGGCAGTAGGACATTGTGGTCAGAGTGTAGCCTTTGAATCTGGGTTACTTGGGCTTGAATTCCAGGATGCCAGTTACCAGCTGTGTCACTCTGGACAAGTTGCTTAACTTCTGTGTATCTCAGTTTCCTTATCCATAGAATTGGGATAATCACAATCCATATCTTCTAGGTTGTTTTAAGAGTTAAAAGTGTCACTGTAATAAAGAATTTAGAGCAGTGCCTGGCACTTAGTAAGGGCTCACTAAATATTAGATATTATTATCATTATTATTTTGAGACATAGTCTCACTCTGTTGCCCAGGCTGGAGGGCAGTGTGTGAACATGGCTCACTGCAGCCTCGTACTCCTGGGCTCAAGCGATCCTCTCACCTTAGCCTCCCAAGTAGCTGGGATTACAAGTATCCCCGTCTAATTTTTGCTTTTTTTTTTTCTGCAGAGATGGGGTTTCACCATGTTGCCCAGGCTGGTCTTGAACTCCTGAGTCAAGTGATCAGCCTGTCTTGGCCTCCCAAAGTGTTGGGATTACAGGCATGAGCCACTGCACCTGGCCAGATATTACTATTTATTTACAACACTTTGCCAAACATGGCACTAGAGGTCTAAGAGACCTCATCTGTGTGTTAAGAGTGCAAAATTAGCAGATCAAGGATTTTAAGAATGTATTCTACTCTGAATAATATAGGGAGAAATAGTTGGAGGTAGTTAGAGGTAAAGTGCATCTGAAGTTACAGAAAAAAGCAAACTCAGTTTCTTCTACTATACTTTTAAAACAGGAACACCTCCGTAACCAAATGTTTGGTGTTTTTCCTATACACCAAGAAGGCAATCAGTTCTCAGCAGATTCTCCAGTGGACACGAGGTGAGTGTCTAATTCAGTTTAATTGTGATACTATTGGCTGGAAGGTCACATAAGTTGAGGGCTCAGTCCCACAAGATTGTCCTCTACTTCAGATGCCAGTTGTTAAGTCGGGGCCTGCAGAACTTCTGGCCAATTGGCTATAATTTGGGGTTCCCATAACCTCTTCCTAGGGTTCAATTAATTTGCTAGAATGGCTCATAGAACTCAGGGAAACACTTCATTTATGTTTACTCATTTATTATGAAGGATATTACAGAGGATACAGATGAACAGCCAAATGGAAGAGATGCATAGGTCAAGGCATGTGACAAGGGTGCAGAGCTTCCATGCCTTCTCTGGGTGTGTCACCCTTTAGGAACCTCTGCATATTCCTTAAAGCCTCCTAGAACTCAGTCCTTTTGGGTGTTCATGGAGTCTTCATTACATAGGCATGATTAAGTATATCATTGGCCATTGGTCATCAGCTCAACATTTAGACTCTCCTCTCCCCAGAGGTTAGGGGGTGAAGCTTAAAGTCTTAACTCTTAAATCATGCCTTGGTCTTTATGATAACCATTCCCCCCATCTAGAAGCTGTCTAGGAGCCCCTAGCCACCAGTCATCTCATTAGCATACAAAAGACACTCATATCACTCTGGAGATCCCAAGGGTTTTAGGAGAATTTTGCCAGGAAATGGGGAAGGTCAAATATATTTTTCATAATATCACAGTGGGGGAAATACTTGAAGAATGAAACTGCTTGTTTAAAAAAACCTTCTTCCAAAGCTTCCAAGGCCTGCATTATGCTTTGCATTTTCTTTTATGGCCAAGGAAACCCAAGCTGCACAAGTGAAGAGTGTTGAAGCCTGATTTTGACCTCAAATCTTCCCTTCTCTGTGGTAGGCCACTACAAGGCCAGTTCCATGGAAATATATGGCAGCCCAATGGCATAGCAAAGATTAAAACATGACAGTAGCTGGATTATATGAAGTGCTCTGTCAATGCTAATAGCTGTGTTATGTTACTATCATGTATAGAGGATAAAATATAATTTCTTACCTTTTTTAGGTTCTTAGTTACAGATACTTAGACAGACATGAGCAGGCAGGGGCAGGGGAGGGCTTTCCCTCACTCACTAGGAATGTCAGATGATGGTTTGGTGATTATCACATTGCCTCTCTAAAAGTGATAAATTGGCAGCTGGTGCCAAGGAGAGGTCATTTCCTGATGGTCCACACCTGTTGCCCTGAAGTATTAATCGAATGCAGGTGCCAAGGAGAAGCAACTTTCTGGGCATGCACATTAAGAGACAAAGTGGCAGAGTATAACCTTCCAAGGGCACACCACTAGAAAAAGGAAAAAAAAAAACCCATATGGGCATGTATACAACTTCCTAAACACACTACGTGTGCTCACCTCCCAAGAGTAAGGAGGGCACTGCACATGTGGACAGCCCACCCTAAGAGAAGCGTCATGGGAAAGGGGCCAGCTTCTTTCTGGAGCTTTCTCTGTGGATCATTTTCAGTGAACTGAAAATGCTATCATTAAACCTGGGTTTGGTCATAAACAGAACTGGCATTTTTCCCCTTCATTTTCTTAGCACATCTGAGACTAAATTTTTCTAAAAACATTTATATTTATTAATTAAGGAAGGTCAGTTTCTAGTTATAGCAGGATAAAGATGATCATGATTTCTCTTTGCAAAGCAAATACTAAACTGGGTGACATTGTCAAAACCAAACACTTAAGGGCACTGGAAATTGACCAAAGGTAGATAAAAAATTTAGAAGAGTTTATTCTGGAAAATGAAAGTATTTCAGCTAAGAACATGAGGCTCATATGGCCTGTGGCTCCTCCCATTCCCCTAGGGTTGCTAGATAAAATACCAGATGCCCAGTAAAACTTAAACTTTAGATAAATGGTAAATACTTTTTTAGTATAAGTATGTCCAAAATATTAAATGGGACATATTTGTATTTAAAAAATTACTCCTTGTTTATCTGGATTTCAAATTTAACTGGGAATGCTTAATTATTATTATTTTTTACCAAACCAGGTAGTCTTCCCCTCTGCACACCTCACCCCCAACAGCTGGATCAGTAAAGACATGGGGCTGTCATAGGAGATAGACTTAATTTGAGGTGGGAGGTGGGGGTAAAAACATGTGGCTTTGCCGTTAAAACTGATGAAACTGGTTGGGAACAGAAAAAAATCATTTGCTTTGCTAACTTGAGATTGCAGTTCTTTCTGGGGTGAGTAGTATTAGAAAAGCCAGAAACTTAATGGAAAGATCCTGGAAATGAGATCAGCTTTCCAAACATCCCTGGTTGAATAGAAAACTACACAGATGCATGGGGAGATCTGAGAGAGCTGGGAGAAAAATATATCCCAAGGGATACTTAACCAATTGCAAATGTGAGTACATTCCCAGGCCACACACACACAATCAACAGAGAGGGTGGAAAGCTTTATGGACTTAAGATGTTTGAGTCCAAGCTCTATTCAAATCATTGACACAAGTGAAACCACTAAAAAGCCAGGGTAAAAAATGAAAATTAAGATTAAAAAACATGTCCAGAGACATCAGTGGCTGCATACCACAGAGAAGGCATATCTTTTTTTCCCTAATTTTATGTTCCAGGGGTACATGTTACATGGATAAATTGCGTGTTGCTGAGGCTTGGTGTACAAATGATCCCGTCACCGAGGTAATGAGTGTAATACCGGATAGATAAGCCTCCAACCCACCTCTGCTCTACCCTCCCCACCTCAAGAAGTCACCACTGTCTATTGTTCTCACCTTTGTGTCCATGTGTATTCAATACTTAACTCCCACTTTTAAGAGAGATCATGCAGTATTTGGATTTCTGTTCCTGCATGAGTTCACTTAGGATAATGGCCTTCAGGTGCATCCACATTGCTGCGAAGTACATGAGTTCATCCTTTTTATGGTTGCATAGTATTCTGTGGTGTGTGTATACCACATTCTCTTTATCTAGTCCGCTGTCGATGGGCTTCTTGGTTGATTCCATGTTTAGTATATATGATGATAACAGTATAAGGATGGAGGAGGAAATGGAGCTATAGTGAATCAAATTTGCTATATTTAATAAAGATTAAGTCAGTGTTAACCTGTAGTAGATTATGATGAGTTAATAATGCATAGTAGGGCCAGGCGCGGTGGCTCACGTCTGTAATCCCAGCACTTTGGGAGGCCGAGGTGGGCAGATCACGAGGTCAGGAGATCGAGACCATCATGGCTAACATGGTGAAACCCTGTCTCCACTAAAAATACAAAAAATTATCTGGACATGGTGGACGTGCCTGTAGTCTCAGCTACTCGGGAGGCTGAGGCAGGAGAATAACTTGAATCCAGGAGGTGGAGGTTGCAGTGAGCCGATATCGTGCCACTGCACTCCAGCCTGAGTGACAGAGCGAGACTCCATCTCAAAAAAAAAATGCATAGTAATTCTAGATAAACAACTAAAAAATATTTTAAAAGCTTAAAAAGCAATGGTAGAATTAAAATGATACACTGGAAAATAAATATTTTACACAAAGTAAGGCAGTAAAAAGGAATAGAAAAGCAAATAGGTCATGAGACATATAAAAAACAAATAGTAAAATGGTAGACAAGTCCAACCACATCAATAGTTACATGAAAAAGCAGACATTGGCAGACTGGATAAAAAAGCAGGATCCAAAAATGTGCTGTCTGTAAGAAATAACACATGTGTTTTCAAAGACACAAAATTGGTTGAAAGTAAAGGGATGGAAAAAGATGTACCTTACAAACAGTAGTCATAAGAGAACAGCAGTGACTATATTGATTTCAGACAAAATAGACTTTATGACAAACAATATTACTAGAGACAATGAGAAATATTTTCTAATAGTAAAGGGTCAAAACATCAGGAAGATATAAATTTATAAGTGATTATACGTCTAACAACATAGTATCAAAATACATGAAGCAATGAGAGAATTGAAAGAATAGATGATTTAGCAATTATAGTTGGAGATTTCAGTAGTCCTCTAAACGTAATTAATAGAACTACTAGACAGAAAATCAGTAAGAATTTGGAAGATAAGAAAACCACTGTCAAACAACTTGACGTGTTGACACATATAGAATACTCTACCCAACAAGATTAGAATATACATTCTTGTTGTTGTATGTCTAATAATTTTTGATTGATTGCTGCACATTTTGTATAAAACAGTAAAGCCTGAGGTCAGTAAGATTTATACCCACTTTTAGAGGACTACTGAAATCCCCAACTATAATGTCTCTTCTTCTTTGTTTTTTTAGTGTGGGGGCATTGAGCCAATCTGGTTTTTATTTAAGATGATTTTTGGTCTTGTTGCTATAACTACCATTAATGTATAACAGTCTTTAAATCTGTATTAGTCTGTTTTCATGCTGGTGATGAAGACATACCGGAAACTGGGTAATTTATAAAGAAAAAGAGGTTTAATGGACTCACAGTTCCACGTGGCTGAGGAGGTCTCACAATCATGGCAGAAGGTGAAAGGTACCTCTTACACAGCAGCAGACAAGACAGAATGAGAACCAAGTGAAAGAGGTTTCCCCTTATAAAACCATCAGATCTTGTGAGACTTATTCACTATCATGAGAACAGTGTGGCAGAAACTGCCCCCATGACTCAATTATCTCTCACTGGGTCACTCCCATAACACGTGGGAATTATGGGAGCTACAATTCAAGATGAGATTTCGGTGGAGACACGGCCAAACCATATCAAAACCCCTCTAATGGTAGACTACTGCTACAATGTACTGATTGTAAATCCTAAGGTGCTAGAGTATTTTTCTCCATGTTTTCTCAGATTTAAGAAGCCCTGACTGCTTGAACCACTAAAGGGTCTCGCTATGCTCTTATCTTTCTTATACTGTATACTGCTATTGTTGGTTATTTGGTGGAAGGCTAAAGATGGGAGTGGATGGGGACTCTTAGTTGTCTTGGTCCAGCCTCACTTGGCTAGATCCTGGGTACCTGGGTCTCAGAAGTGTTTTTTTTTTTTTTCAACATTCCTGTGCCCATGTGGTAGCCAAACCCTACTATCTATGAAGCACTTGGGGCAGGAGAGAGTTTCATCCTCCTCCTCCAGTGGTAGCTAACCTCTGTTTTCTGTCAGTACAGAAGGCTGGACCCCAGGGGGTTTCCTGTCCCTTCCCTAGTGTCAGCTAGCTATTGCTCTACTCTTCCCTCAGTAGCATTGTGCTTTTACTGGAGATCACGGACATGTGAATTGCCCTGTTTATCCCCACCCCAACCCCAGTGGTAGGTTGCTAACACTTGTTACTCTGTGCAAGGTTTATCGTGGAAATACGGAGGTTTTTGAGAAATCTCTTCAGAGTTTATCTTTGCCTGGGAATGAGGGAGGAAGGAAGGGTTCTCCACACCCTCCCAGTGATACTGGATTCTATCTATGACCAGAGGCAAGGAATTCTTGCCTGAGCTCTGGAGGCAAGAGGACTTATTTTGGTCCCTCACCCAGGGACCCAAAGCCCTTGGTTCCCATTTCAAGAATGGTCTCTCTTCAAGAAATGTGAGCAGATGGGGCTTTGTGTGTCTGTGGACTACTGAGAGTGGGGTACAAAGAGCGTGTGAGGCAGTGCTGACTTTCTAGTGTTGGGATGAACCAGGAGTCTAAACCATTGCTTTCACCCACCCGTGGCCTTTAAGGATTTGTTAAAATTTGATGTTTTCTTTTTACCCTCCCATAAGGTGGTTGCGTTTTCATGCTGTGCCTTGCCAAAGGTAAAGCCATTCATGCACCTGATCTCTTCTCAGAGTGGCCTGTCATCTGAAATTTAGTGCACTTGTTTGCCTTGCTACCTTAGCTCGCTGCTGAGCTCAAGGCAAATCATGATTTTATTGATTGTCCAGCTTTGTTCCTGTTTATGTGAAAGCCACATTATTTTGTGGCTTTCTACATCTAAGTGCAAGTGAAACTGGATCCTCCTTTAATTAGTGTCTTCCACTTCCAACTTTCTTCTTGAGTCTTCTGTTCCATTAGTAGCTATCAGCTTCTCATTCTTTTTGGAAGAAGATATCATTTGGTCTTTATACAACTGAAAAGAAACAAGCCATTAAGAAACCTTAGCTTTCCTTCTTAAGAGTTGAGTAAATAAATCTTCTAAAAGTCATATTCTCAGTTTAAAATTTTAGTATTTCAATACTGCATTGTTAAATAATTGCTTTTAAAAAGAGGATCATGAGAAAATGGGGAACATGGTTGTAGATTTTGACTGGCATCTGCTTTTAGTAATTTTAGATTCCTTATAGTTGTTTAATTAGACACCTCATATTGTATAGAATATGTTTTTTAAAATGTTACAACTTTTTGTATGACTTAGATGTATTCACTATAAGCATTTGGAGGAGAGTAGTTGAAAGAGCATTTGGAAGAGTCTGGCTTTAGCCACTACATGAAATTTTATTTGATCTTAATAACAAATGACGTTAAAAATGAAATAAGAAGCTTCCCGTTTTCTAATTTTTAGTTCTTTTGGCATGATACAATGGAAAGAAATCCAAGAAGAGTGCATTGAGTGGGATGATGTAATGTGAAATGCCAACAAAACTAATGACTTAATAATGGAAAAAATAGGAGGCTGTTTTATAATTCAAATATTAAGAAAAGTAGCTTATTCATTTTGATAGAAGAAAAATTTTGATGGTTTTTTTCTCTTAATGACTAATGAGTTAGCTTTAGAATTTGTATTTCATCTGGGAGTAAAGTCCTGCTTAACAGATAAAGCAAATAGTTCGCATGAACTTCTGACCAATTTCTAAAGCATTAAATGTTTAGAGATGTAGTATTATACCAACAAGCCAATAAAAAACTCACGAAAATGAATCTTAGGAAGAAAATAATTGGTTTAAATGCCCGTAACAATTTGTGGAGGTCCAAGATACCAAAACACAGAGAGGTAACTGTCTTTGCAAATCAGAGGTTTTATTTATTTTTTTGTTTATTTATTTGTTCTGTATTTCTTTATGAGTCTTACCCACACAACCTCACACATAAACTCACTTCACAGCCATAGTAATACTGTTGCAGAGAGGAATGCAGAGCCTTACACATACACAGTTTGATACTGAAACACAAGAGTAATTATTCAACACCCGCTATGTGACGGGCAGGCTCAGTGTAAGACGCAGTGAATACAAAGATGAGACACAACGTCTACTGGGAAGCATGCTCTTTAAACTTTCTGTGTTTGGGTAAAAGTATACATCCATGAAACCCCCACCAAACCAATGCCATACACTCATCCATCACCTAGGAGGTTTGATTTAAAACCCACTCAAAAGCTCTAGCTTTTCAGTTTTTATCTGTAAGGCCAAATTACATCTGCATAGAATTCAATCTGGGTGATGATTGGCTGTTTAATGTTGAATTTTCAGGCTTTGTTTAGATACAGAATAAACACAGTCTTCACATAGGACCTCATTTTTTAAATTATATGTTTCTTTTACTCCCTAGGTTTTATTGAGTCATCTATTACTCCTACCTACAAATTCTAGGATCTTCCTAGAGGAAGATTCTTTTTGGTTTCTGATTCAGTAACACAGACAGGCCTGGTGAGAACTGCAGGCTCTGCTCCTGACTCCCTGGCTTCTCTGATTTTATTAAGTAGCCAGCTCCTCAGTTTTCTTTTCTTGATCCTTTCTGTCTATTCATTCAACGTTGTGTCTTGCCCCGCTTCTCTTACTCTGTATTTTCTTCCCAGTGGATATCACCGGTTTCTGTTTTCAATGGATTTTTTTTTTCGTAGGGATGAGTCTCGCTCTGTCGCCCAGGCTGGAGTCCAGTGGCGCGATCTCGGCTCACTGCAAGCTCCACCTCCCGGGTTCAAGCAATTCTTCTGCCTCAGCCTCCCAAGTAGCTGGGACTACAGGCACCTGCTGCCACGCCCCACTAATTTCTTTTGTATTTTAGTAGAGACAGGGTTTCACCATGTTGCCCAGGCTGGTTACCAACTCCTGAGCTCAGGCAATCCACCCGCCTTGGCCTCCCAAAGTGCTAGGGTTACAAGCGTGAGCCACCGCGCTGGGCCCAATGGCTATTTGTATATAGACAACTTTCAAAATATTTATTGTCCAGGGCTTTTTTTTTTCTTCTGACCATCAATTTGCCTAATTGAGATTTCCACTTTGATATATTATGCTCAATTCAAAGTTCCTATTCCCCAAATGAGCTCATGATCATCAGCTCAAGATTGCTTCTCCTCCAGTGTTCTTTCTAGCAGTAAATGATTTGCACCACCCACTCAGCAATTCATGCCAGAGACCTAGGAGTGGTCTTTGCTTATACCTCTTCCTTAATCTCCGTGACC
Source organism: Homo sapiens (assembly GCF_000001405.40). Classification (NCBI taxonomy): domain Eukaryota; kingdom Metazoa; phylum Chordata; class Mammalia; order Primates; family Hominidae; genus Homo; species Homo sapiens. The sequence goes on from NC_000005.10 coordinate 113,741,995, forward strand.
GATCATTATCACCACCTCTTAAATAGCCCTGGAATCCACATCTACTTTCCTTTCTCACTGTCACCATTCTAATTTCAGTCAACATTATTGGTCATCTGCTTCTGCAATAGCTTTCTGTTGAATTCCCTGTATCCAATTTTGCCACTCTAAAATCAGTTGTCCTCACTGTGGCCAGAATAATCAGTTTAAAATGAAAACACAATCATATCTCATTTCGTCAGGGTAAGATCCAAACTCCTTATCATAGTCTGTAGGTCCTACAAACCTGGTTCCCTGCCCATGTCTCTGGCCTTTCTTGTTACTTACTCCGTTGCTTTCTGTGTTCCAGCTGTATTAGAGTTTTCAGGTCGCTGAGTTCTCATGTTGTTTTTCAGCCAAGTGCTTTTGAATAGTTCCATCTACCCATCATAAAATGCCTTTCCTTTCTAGTCTTAGAATTCACTTTCTCTGGGGAATCCTTTTTAAGCCACCAGATGAAGTCACATATGTGCCCCCACAGCATCCAGCATTTGTTCAGTGTGCCCCGTTAGACTGAAGCTCTGTGAGGAAAGGGGCTGTGTCTTTTTCAGCACTATATCATAAGCACTAGCAGGGTGCCTGCCATCAATAAATATCTGTGAATGAATAAATAAATACAGATAACCAGTTTGATTTGGATACATAAATATGAATGTTTTGGATTCATAGAAAATTTCTACCTTCATTACCCTGTACATAATCCATTTGAATCACTCACATTCCTATGGTCCCCAGCAGGGCTTAAATTCTTCCCATGTATGCACGTATAAATCAAGTTTGTGTTGTGAATTTCCTAGAAGGAGACAAGCTTCCTGCTTAGGCATGTGACATGTTCTGGGCTCAGAGAGAAGAACAGCAGGATAAGAGAATTTCTAGACCTGTGTGCTCCTCACATTATTGAGTGAATGAGTCCCTAGCTATAGCTACCCTTCTGAATGAGGCTCTGAGACAACATTCATTTTTAGACACAATACCATGATACACTTTCCCTGGCAGGATATTTGCAGTTCTTCCCAGGGATTAGAGACTTTGTCTCAATGTGTCTCAGCTTCAGTAACCCTTGTGATTCCATTCTAATGGGATACATTGAGTATAATGATGCAATTTATTGAGAATATATTGTGGCACAATAATAATAATAATAATAAGACTAATACCTAGGATTTATGGCATAATTATGTTCCAGGAAGTGTTCTAATCACGTTTCACTTATTAACTCATTTAATTCTTAACCAGCCATATAACATAGGTACCATAATTAACCCCATTTTTAGATAAGGAAACTGAGGTTAAATAGCTTGCCTGGGGTCATATGGCTATTATTTGGAGGAGCCTGGATTTTAAAAAAATCTGTTGGGAAACAACTTATTTTCTTGAGAGTTGGCTTGCACTATAGAACAATGAAAGATCTACCAGTCTGTTTCTTATATGTCACCCTTGGCCCACCTCCCCATCCCCGGCTAGGCTAGTCTCTCCTTGTGCTCTGAGTTCCTCATTTCTGTCCTACCCTTCCTCTCAATCACCCACATATTGCAGTTTACAATCTGTGCATTTTAGGGTGAAAGTAGAAAGCTCTGGCCCTAAAGTAGGCAAGGCAGTCTAAGCATGAATCTGTTTTTGAAGGCTTTAGTCTGCTTTGAAGACAAAGATGGATTTGGTGGAGCGGGAGGGGATTGGAGGCTTAGTACTTCCAGGATTGAAGGAAGACGCATCCGTCCAGGAGCATTTTGAGTACTTCCCCGGCTGGAATGGGGAGAGGTTGGGAGTCTTTGAGCGCTTAGTGCCTCTGAGGTGGGGGGAAATGGTGCTTGCATGGCGAGCCCACGGAGAGCTGTGGCCTTTAGAGTGGAGGCAAAGGTCCCCAAGGTCAAACTTGGCCTGGGGGCAGCAGAATTGTCGGAAGAACTACCTTTACCTAAATGGACTTGGTTTGGGCCAGAAGCAGGTCAATGCTGAGCACACAGCTGAGGAACAGGCCCTTCCTTGTGACCCAGGGCCCATAAAAACTCTGGGTTTTTGCATGGTATAAGGTGTATGGAGGAAGAGCTGAAAATTGGCTGTTATATTTGCCTGGAAATCATGATTTTACCACTTTGAAAATTATACTGTAAAAATATGTTAAACACTTTATATTCACATTAAGAGATTCAACGGATAAAACACAATACCTCAGGTAATCTTTTAAAAAATCCATCTGTTATTTAAATTTCCCTTGTGAAAAAAATTATTTTTTAATGTGTTAAACTGAAAGCTGATACACACACACACACACACACACACACACTCAATTATTTAGTTGTATGTGCACATTTACTATGGAGAAATGTGACATTATTTGCATCTTGAGTGCCCTGAATCCAAATACCCTTGTTTCAGTAGACCTTGGCTTTTCCTCATCTTTCAGGTTAGCCCAGATGAGTCTCAGGTTTGATGGAAAAGATGGCTAGCTGTCAATTACTGAATAATCTTATATAATCAGAGGAGACCTTGTGAAATCATCCTGGGAAAACATTCTTTAGAGGATAAGAATTTTGGTAGCAGTTATATGTCTAGACTCTCCAGTTACTACTGAAGGTAACACTATTTTTTCAAAGGCCGTTGTTGCTAAATTTAGTTCAAAATATTTCATGTCAGTAAGGAATAAAGTGAGAAAATACAGCCTGTGAGTTTACCTTTAATACAACAGAGTGTGATATAAACAACTGTGAAGTCTTATTTTTATTTAGCTGTATCCAGCCCACATGTAGTTTCCATCAGCCTGAGAAATGTTCCCAATGTAATTTCCTAGTGTTGAATTATCTTAGATCAATCATAACTGTACCTTTTAGAACATGTCTAAGGCCAGTCAAGCATCCTTTAGTTTAGCACATTAAAAAAAAGACAGTTTTTTTTTTCACAAGGGAAATTTCAATAACAGATGGATTTTTAAAAGATGGCCTGAGGCCTTGTGTTATATCACGTGAATCTCTTAATGTGAGTGTAAAGTCTTTAACATATTTTTGAAGTATAATTTTCAAAGAGGTAAAATCATGATTCCCAAGCAAAAATATAATGAACATGTATCACTGATTTAACTCATTAATTAATGAAGGAGCCAGTTAGATGTTAATATTGGTTCAAAGAACATTTAAGGAGCTCGGGCATTTATGAACAATTTAATAAAAACATATTATGATAAGATTGCTGAGTTAGCTGTAAAACTGTTTAACGTACAGCAGGCTGTAAATCTTTGGGGTTATCTGTTCCATTGAACAGAAATCTACAAGGTAGGGAAAGGGTCCTAGACTAGTCTAGGACCTTTAATCAGCAGTAAACAGTGCATTCCCCTAGACAATTCTTGGGTGCTGATTGGCTCCATAAGATTCTGAAAGTATGTGCCATGCACCATTTTTTTTTTGGCCTTATTTCCAACTTTCAGATAAATTGTCTGACATATTGTTTCCAAAGGAGTATTGACTCAGCTTATTTCTGTGACTCCAGATCCTTTCTGAGACTGGTGGAAATGACCCACTTAGGCATGCTTTCCTTACATGTTCCTGCCCTCCCAGTGGGGGTTAGTGGCTACATATATGTGGGGGGCAAGGATGCTTCCTTGGCTATTGAACAGGGCAAAGTTGATGGTGAACACCTACATTGGCAAAACACCTTCAAAACATTGCAGTGTCCTAAGGAATTTTAGGTTCTCATTTTAATAACAGATGAATGACATAGGCATAGAGTCTACATCTTCTTTTCGAGTGAGCTTCCAAAATTTTAGAGGTGCCAATGAGTTCTTCACCAGAAGGGTTATTAAATGAACTGTTTTATAGCTTAGGAGTCAGGAGCCCAGGAGCTGGATTCAAAGAAATCAGAGTTCCACCATTGGTATACCACTTATTCACTGTGTCATTCTGGCCAGCTTCTTAGCCTCTGAGGGCTTCAGTCTTTTTTTTTTTTTTTTTTTTGAGATTGAGTTTCACTCTTGTCGCCCAGGCTGGAGTGCAGTGGTGCCATCTTGGCTCACTGCAACCTCCACTTCCCAGGTTCAAATGATTATCCTGCCTCAGCCTCCCAAGTAGCTGGGATTACTGGTGCACACCACCACGCCCTGCTAATATTTTATTTTTAGTAGAGACGGGATTTCGCCATGTTGACCAGGCTGGTCTCAAACTCCTGACC